>NC_000011.10:115354242-115657273 GCF_000001405.40 Homo sapiens
TTAATTAGTTCTCACGACTCTATAAATTAAGCATGATTATTCATGTTTTCAAATTGAGTAACTAAGGCACAAAGAATATGTAATGTTCCGAAGGTCACACAGTTGATAAGAGATCAAGTGAATATGCAAGCCTAGATCCGTCTGCAACAGAGGACGAAGCAACTTCTTTCCACCCACATAACCCTGATATTCTTAAGACCTGGAAATAAACTGGACAAGGCAGGGCAAGGAAGGAGGGTCAAGAAATGGTAGGAGGTTACTGAGCCTTGATGACGGACCCTTCTACTAGGACAGCCAACAACTGCTTAAAGCCCTGATGGGAGCATTGGAGACACAAACTTCAATAGGACACAGTCCTTTCTTTGAAGGGATTTACAGGTGGCCCAATAATTACAATATAAAGTGACCTAAGCCCTAAACAGCAATAGGGAGGTCATGGGAAAGAGCCAAGTTTATGTATATCACATATATCTCTGAAAACTATAGGACTATAATAACTAGAGGTTTTCAAATAACACTGAAATTCAAGATAACCACCTTCAGAGTGATTCAAGATAACTGTCTCCAGAGTGTTTCTCCATATCATTAAAAAAGGACTCTCAACAAATTAGTAATAATTAACTTAATTATAAGATTTTATGCATTCATTTCATTCATCCCAATACATTATAGAAAGAATTTCCCTAAACATCTCTAATGTGTCCACTCATGCCAGTTAAAAGAAATCCTGCCTGTAATCATTTCCCTTCTTCTTGAACAAAAACACTCCTCTACATCTTGTAGAAGCTTAATTTGCTAGAATGAGATTAATAGAAATTATCACTCTAAAAGCCTTCAGCATTTTCAATCCAGAACACAAAGATAAGGAAATCATTCAAAAGTCATCTCAAGAGAAATCAAGTTCTCATGCACGCATATGTTCACTGCAGCGTTATTCACAATAATAGCAAAGACATGGAATCAACCTAAATACCCATTAATGGCTGATTGGATAAAGAAAATGTGGTATATATACACTGTAGAATACTATGCAGCTATAAAAAAGAATGGATCATATCCTTGGCAGGAACATGAATGGAGCTGGAGGCCATTATCCTTAGCAAACTAACACAGGAACAGAAAAACCAAATACTAATTGTTCTCACTCATCAGTAGGAGCAAAGTGATGAGAACACATGGATGCAACGCAAAAAGGAGAACAACAGACACTGGGGCCTACTTGAGGGTAGAGGCTGGGAGGAGGCTGAGGATCGGAAAAAATAACTATTGGGTACGAGGCTTAGTACCTGGGTGATGCAATAATATTTACAACAAATCACTGTGGCGTAAGTTTAACCATATTACAAACGTGCATATGTACCTCTGACCCTAAAAAAAAGGTATAAAAAAGAGAGAGAGATCAAGTTATAGGCAAACTACCTACAAATCAAAAACTAAACAGATTTAGCTCAAGTTTAAATTACTAACACACACACACACACACACACACACACACAGGCACAAATTCAGAAAGCAGGCTGATTTTACTGAACAGTTCTCTTATACTTTATGCATCGTATTACTCTTTTCCTGAGGTAGGTTTTGTTTATTTTTGTTTTTTGTTTTTTGAGACGGAGTCTCGCCCTGTAGCCCAGGCTGGAGTACAAGTGGCGTGATCTTGGCTCACTGCAACCTCCGCCTCCTGGGTTCAAGTGATTCTCCTGCCTCAGCTTCCTGAGTAGCTGGGATTATAGGCATGTGCCACCACGCCCAGCTAATTTTTGTATTTTTAGTAGAGACAGAGTTTCACCATATTGGCCAGGCTGGTCTCAAACTCCTGACCTTGTGATCCACCCACCTTGGCCTCCCAAAGTGCTGGGATTACAGGCGTAAGCTACCGCGCCCGGCTGAGGTACACTATAATATAACTCACATAGGATAAGAAGTTACTAGCCCATTTTATGAAATTAATATTCTATATTTTCTAAGTATTTCCCATATAATTATATGATTTTATATTATATATATTATATAATACATATTATATAATATAATGAGGACAGTAAGGTCAAATAAGTTGACCTAAATAACCTGCGAATTTGGAAGAAATTACAAGCAAATATAAAAATATTAACAATTTTGATACATCTAATGTCTCCAAAAGCAAAACTACAGGAGGAAACGACAAGTACCCTGCAGTAAAGCAGATGTCACTTACGAACATTTTTCACTGGCCCTCCAGCACCTGACACAGACCATGGCACATAAAGTGTCCTTGATAAATATTTTTTGAATGAGTAAATAAATAAATAGGGGAATGTCAGTGAATGACAGGTCTAATGAAATCAGTGGTATATTCCATATCCTTATAAGGGATTTTTTTTAAATGTGGCTATACAACATTTCAAGTATTTGTTTAAAGTAGCCCTTTCAACAGGGAAAACAGCAGTCCATGTAAATCCCAATGTGACCTCTACCTAATAGTATATGAGAAATAACTACTGCTTTTAAGCTAAACTAAAAAACTTTTGTCAGTGTTTGTGTTTAATGTACTACTATAAAATATACACACGAGACAAACTGATGCTGTAATGGCTTTTTTAAGAACACAAAAACACCAATTGCCTGAAGAAATATATATATTATTTTCAGACATGTAACCATTCTTTGTATTCTACAATTCTTATAAGATAGCATTATAACCAAAAGGGAAGACTAAAGTGTATTCCAACTGTGTTATAACATTACAATGCAAACATTTTTGTAATCCCTTTTTGGAATTTTAATACTGGCTTACAAAAATCAACTGTCTTTTAGAGGAATCTAACAAATAATACAACTGTGAAGAAAATTGAAATATATGCTCTCTTCATCCCCCTCCTGGAACAAAATCTCCAATATGACAATGGAGAAGCAATGTCCCTCGGGCCTTTCAGGAACCCCAGCTAGATGTGCTGGCAGAAGCCCAGGCTCCCCCAAAGGCATTCGCTCCTGCTGTACCCCAGCCTGCTTCCCATTCAGGTTTCTGCCAGTATAAACAGAGCCACGTGTAGGAAAACAACGCTGCTCTATTAATACCGGGAAAGTAAACAGAAGGAAAAAGATTTTCCCAGACTTTCAGCACTGGGTTCATTCATTCAGTTTTAAATGTTTACTGAAGTTCCCATTGTGTTGAAAGTGTGGGGCTAGGAAGTGAGTCTTATATCCTTGAAAATTTCCCTGTCACAGCTTTAAAAATCTATACAGGCCATAAGGAGATGCCAAAGGGTCCAAGCGCAGAGGTTACCACCACAGACTTTCAATCAGTCAGCCTTGATTTCGGTGTTGTCCACTTATTAGCTAGTGGTCTAGGGCATGTTACTTAACTGTTCTAAGCTCTGTTTTCTTTTCTGTAAAATGGGGATAACAAAATTGCCTTTCCCAAAAATACTGTTTGTGACGATTCATAACATAATGTATTTTGAGCACAGCACCCAGCATATGGCAAGTGCTCAGTCAATAATAGCTGTCTGTGCTTTAGCTAAATAACACGTCTATTTACTTACTCAAAAGTATTAAACTATGTTTAATATAGTATTAAACTATATTCAAACTATGTTTTAATTTAATGAGTACTTAATAGGAACCTCTCACAGGTTAGACATTGAGAACACAGATAAAACAGAAAAAAGTCTGTCTTTTGGGAGCTTACAGTCCAGTACAACAGACAGACACTAGATAATTACTTGATTATAATGTGGTAATTGCCATAAAATTGCATTTTATTCCTAATAGCTTGATTGAGGTCTAATAAATGCATAATAAAGTCCACATATATGAAGTGTACAGTTTAATGAGTTCTGGCACAGCTGTACGCAGCTGCAAAACATCACCACAATCAAGAGAAGAAACATACTCATCACTTCTAAAAATTCCTGGTACCCATCTGTCATCCTTCCTATAGCAGCACCATCCACCACCTCTCAAGCAGTCATTGATCCTCCTTCTCTCACTCATTGTCATTTATTTTGAATCTTTAAAATAATTGTATAGAAAAAGATTCATAAAGTATTGTATTAGCCCATTTTCACGCTGCTGATAAAGACATACTGGAGACTGGGTAATTATAAAGAAAAAGGCCTCACGTGGCTGAGGAGGCCTTACAATCATGGCGGAAGGTGAAAGGCATGTTTTACATGGCAACAGACAAGAGAGAAGAACAGAACTTGTGCAGGGAAACTCCTCTTTATTAAAACCATCAGATCTTGTGAGACTTATTCACTATCACGAGAACAGCACAGGATAGACCTGCCCCCATGATTCAATTACCTCCCACCAAACCAGGTCCCTCCCACAACATGTGGGAATTACGGGAGCTACGATTCAAGATGAGATTTGGGTGTGGACACAGCCGAACCATATCAATTATTACACTCTTTTTATCCGGCTTATTTCACACAGCATAATTATTTTGAGATTAATGTATGTCACATCAGTAATTTCAAAACATATTGCACAACAAGATCACCTAATCTAGTCTACTGTACGTAGACCTGTACCTTTTCCTTCAAATATCATCTCTCCACCTAAATTCATCCCTGTGAACTCTAAGGAGTATAAGTAAATCTAAAGTTAGCCACTTTTCTAAGAGTTTCCTTTGCAAATGCAACATGCAAAATACTATTTCCCTTATCATTCACTGCTTCGCCCACCGAGTATTTCATACCAACTACTATTTCTATTGTCAGAACATAAAGATAAATGTTTTGTGCTTCCCATATCAAGCAAACAAAACCAAGATGAGGAGTGAGTTTTCAATCAACCCTCAAAGAAGACTCTCAGGATAGATTTGTATACATACATGCATTACCATCTTGTTAATATACTACAAAATGAAGGCACATCTGTGTGGCTTTTCATAAGATGGTAGAAATTTTTGAGAAACTGTTCCATACAGGTTCTAGGATCTAAAATGTTGTTATGAAGACTGACAGTTTTCCAGCTGAGTGGCCAAGTATATCACTCAAAGGCATGAGCTTCTGATGGAGAATCCACGTAGAGGGAAAGGACAACTATTCCCTTTAGCAGATTATTAAGTAATTTGGGGATATAAAAATTAAATTAAAATTTCTCTTTCATTTTAATATGAAATTTCTTGTAATTCTCACTAGTACAATGTATTAAGATGAGATGATATTGCTCGAGAACCAAGTATAATAGTTGGTATATAGTAGATACCCCAATAAAGCATAGCCATGTCAGTAACAACCTTGATAGAAGACCAGCCCAAGGCAAAGACATGACACAGTCATATTAGAAACTTCCTTAGAGAAATGGGTCCCACCGTGATTACAGTGACTCCTACATTTTTAATTGGTCATTCAACAAAATTGAATATGTCTTATATTCAGCACCAAGCTAGTGTGCCAACAAATATTTACTGAGTGTCTACTATATGCCTGGCACCAAAGAAAGCTTTTTTTTAAGGATGAATCAGATAAAACGCTCCTGACTCAATCTTTGTTGAATGTTTTAAATTTATTTAGTTTAAATGTAAGAGAATGGCACATGCAAACACTGACATATTTGCTTTGTACTGTTCCAAATACAGTTTCTCTCCTAGTAGGGTTAAGTTTGAGACCTACGAAAATAATAAGGCATGTGCTAAATCATGACATTACACAAGCTTCACCCAGTGTTCCTCAGTTATCCTCACAATTGCCTTGATATTTCAATTTCTAGGTATCCTTCATTCAATCACATGTTGAGAGCCTTGAATAAAAACCACAACAATGGTTATATCCATTCATTGTTCACCTACTATGTGCCAGGCCCTGCCAGCTTAAATTCTGGCCAAGAGCATTAATCATGTAGAGGAGAGGATAAAGAAGCCTCTCTTTGGAAATAAAATAATATACCTGCTACTTTGACATTTGTATAAGTCACAAATCCAAAAGCTGACACTGATACTGTATTTGTTATTGAAGACACTTAAGAGCAGTGAGGTACAGTAAGTATAACTATAATACAACTGAGCCATCTAAAAACAACTTGCACTTTTGCTGACTTTGTTGGCTGCATCCTAACCAAAAACGTACAGTGAAATTAAATTATATTGCTGATAAGAGTTTTATGTTCCTCGGCATAGATGAAACGGTGCATTTGCCAAAACCTGCTAACACTGCTTACATGATTATTAATGATAACAGGGCCTGTACATGAACAGCATCAAATGGGTTACTTGAGACAGTGATGGAGAAAACTATATACACACATATTCCAGATGAAATCCTAGAATTAAATGCTGACACCAAAAAGGCATGCAGGTTAAGCGACTACGGCAGATGAAAATATATCAAAGCCAGATACATTTCCTGTTGAAATTTCCTTACATTCCATGACTAAATCCTAATGGCCACAAGCAGCATTGCAATCTCTGATTGTGCTGATGCACAGAAAGGAAACTGTACTTGTGTGGTCGTGCTGTCAGCAGAACCCCTAGACAGAACATAGTTGCAGTCTTAAGGCAAAATAAAAGTGTCTGGAAGGCAATTCACACGTTTTCACAGGAGTGCCAACTGTGACCTTGAGCCCCTTCTAAAGGTTCCTCTGCCTTAAAAATCTTACTAGGTTCCTAAAACCTACTCATAAAATACAGCAAGAATTTTATTTTATGTTTTTTAAGATTTTAACTGAACACTAGGATAAAACTGTCTTGATACAGTTGTAGTCCTCACGGCAATCACTATTTACTGACTACATAGGTACTAGGCATTCAGAGTATTCAAACTATGTTTTAAACTATCATTTACATTTTGATTAAGAACCCCCAAAACATTCTATAATGTCTATATGTAATTAATAATGCCCTACTTCTTGATCTCAAATTCTGCAAGAGCAGGGTGGGGAAAGAGGTTGCTAAAGAAATGGAAAATAAAAAAGTACCCTGAAGCAAAACAACCACTCAGACAACATACAACATTGAATCACCGTCAATATCTAGTGCTTGTCTGTGAAATCTCATTAGCAAATCATCCTTTATAAACTAGAGCTACTGACAGGATTCAGGACATTCAGAGCTGGGTACCTGGCAATTCTCTTACCAGAAAGAAGTCAGTAGGATTATAATGAAGTAGTATCAGAGTTGCAGTTAATCTATAGCCCATAAAGGAAATCAGAATGTATAACTCAGATTCTACCTATGACTATCCAGCTCTCACTTGAAACATTTTAAGAGTCCCACAGTAGATCCAGCACTGTGACTGCTGGATAAAATTGAGTGACTTGTATTTTGTTGAAGGTGACCCTGAATGGTGTATACAAGCCAGTATTTATGACTGCTTATGATTCTTCACCATATTTTGCATGTGACTGAGAAGAAAGCAATTCTAAGAGCCAAATTTATTTCGAGGAAAATGCCTATTATGTCTTCAGATTGTGCATATGTCTGTCTAGGCATATGCACACCCACAATACACCCGTGCATGCCAAAAACACTGCCCCAAATCACACACCCAAACCTTATTATTATTATTTTTTTTTTTGAGACAGGGTCTTACTCTGTACCCTAGGCTGGAGTGCAGTGGCACAATCATGCCTTATTGCAGCCTCGACCTCCTGGGCACAAGTAATCCTCCTAACTCACCTGCCCAAGTAGCTGGGACATGGGTGTGCACCACCACACCCGAGTTTTTGTTTTGTTTTGTTTTGTTTTGTTTTGGTAGAGTTGAAGTCTCTCTCTGTTGCCCATGCTGATCTCAAACTTCTGGGCTCAAGTGATGCCCCCACCTCGGCCTCTCAAAGTGCTGGGATTACAGGCGAGAGCCACAGCACCCAGGCCCTAAACCTTATTTTTCCATATTCTGAATAATCTTAAACTCTGTTGACTGAGTTTGGGTAAAGGTAGTTTGTTTCATTTAAATACTGGAGAAATATTATTCAGAAACAAGTCCTAACAGTGGCTTGTAATAAACTTTTCACTGAGGTTAATGATGCCTACATCTACAGAATATTGATGAGGCAGAATTGCCTAAGAAGCACTTAGTATAAAATAAAATAAAACCAAGTACCAAAACATAGTCAATTTCCTTTGCCCTATCTTATACCACTGAGAGTTAACCAGATTGGCCATTTGGAATGTTGATTCTCAAAAAAATGTACCTTGATATCAGAAAACTGACAGTTTGTATTTTACTTTTTAAACCCAACAAGGCATCCTGTTTTCTGTCTTATCTTCAAGAGAAAAGGCAGCTAAGTACAATTTCTACAGGCCTCAAGAGCACTGCGACCTAGTCAACAAAAATAGTTTTAATTAACAGATAAGTTTGCAGTTTAGTTGGTAAGAAATTTACTTAAAACTGTTTTAGGGAAAAGCCTGGAGAATAATAGTATAAACAGATTATTAGAGAGGTTTTTTTTAGTATCTCTATTATACAGTCTTCCATATCGAGGCAGATCTTGGCAGAGACAGATGGCCTAAGCCTCTATTTAACAATGGATGATTAAAAGCAAAGGAAAAAAAAGGCAAGATACTATTTAATCCTTCTTCACAAACAAACATCAATAAAGCAATGAGGTTATTGAGTATTTTTATACTTATAACCCCAAAGGAAGTACTCCTCACTAATTAAATGTATACTGGTACCATCATTACTTTTACAAATCCAATGTAGATATTAATTCTATTATAAGTCTACCTAGAAAATGTGTTCAGTTGATTCTTCATTCAATAGTCAAGCTCCTACTAGGTGCTAGGTGACAGAAATATAGAGCAAAGCTGTTGTTATCTGCTAAGGAGACTGAACTTCATGTTTATCTCATTCACCAATTTCAAGTCCCTACCAACAAAAAAAATCACAGATTCACCCAATCCAGATCAATCTTCCATTAAGAATCAATCTTATAAGCCAAGCGGCTGAGGCTCTTTAGCCTCTTGTCACTATACTCAAAGTTCCTTTGGCCCCACTGAGTGAACCTGGCACCTGTTCCATGATCAGCAGGACGTGGCATAGCTAGTGCCAAAATACCGCAAGCATTCAAGCACCAGTGACCTTAAATCGAGGTCATTATTACCATCTCCTACCGTTTTTCTGACAGTTGGCTGCTGTTCTCTGAATGTCAGAATCCTCTAAATTCTACTGCATCATTCAACTTGTGGACCAAGGTTGATTAGGGGTGCTCCAGGTAACGTCTTTTCAATATTAAAGAAAATAGTTCCCTCTCTTCTTGTAAGAAATGGGTTAAGGATTCAGAAACTCTGGACAGTGATCGATTTGTTTGTTTGCCCACTCCATTTTAGGCTAATTTTCCATTTTAAGCAGCAATCTGGATGACTAAGTTAAGAATAATAGAAAGAATAAGATGAATGCATACAAAAGCACAATTGAGAAGGCTTAAGATAAACAGAAATTTGTTTCCTTTGATTCAAGGTCCACTGATCATTGCATCAGTTCAACTAGGAAGTCTGAAGAATGCCTTCATTCACTAATGGGAAAAGGTAAGATTCTTGGACTATTTTAGTGCTTTATTGGGGCCTGAATCAAATGACCTTGGGATTGTGTGTTCTTATAATTTTAAATACAGTCATGCACCACATAACAACTTTCGGTCAACAATGTACAGCTTATACAACAGTGATCCCGTAAGATTATAATACCATATTTTTGCTGGACATTTTCTGTTTAGATATGTTTAGATCACAAATACCACTGTGTTACAATTGCTTACTATATTCATTACAGTAACATGCTGTACAGGTCTGTAGCCTAGGAGCAATAAGCTGTAGCATATAGCCTAGGCGTGTCATAGGCTACACCATTTAGGTTTGATTAAATCCACTCTATGATCCACAAAAAAAAAAAATCTACATTTTTGCATTATGATGACATTGCCTAACAACGCATTTCTCAGAACATACCTCCATCGTGAAGCAACACATGACTGTATATCTGTGATCTTTCTCAGTGAAATTTCAGATATGTTCATTCTTATTCTGTCTGGCAATGAGTGTGTCTCAGTTTCAAAACCTACAGTTCTTAAATTATATGCTTCTATAAACCTCTTTTCTAAGGCCAAGTTATTTCAAATGTGTTCCTAACATTTACATTTATGCCCATCCTTAAGTCTCCTTTATACTTGAAACCCTCCCAATTAACATTCTCTCCTATCCATTTTCCACTCTTTTAATTTTCCTTTTTAAGTAATCACTTGCTTAAATCAATTCCTTCCATGTATTCCCAATGGAAACACCTGGACTTGGTCTTGTAGAAGCACACATCTATCATGGCCATAAATGTCACCATTTAAAAAGTCTTCATGCATTTTCTATAGTGGGGGAAAATATAAAGCACTAGGAAGAAAAAAAAAAGCCTTTTTGTTTAACTTGTTTAGCAGGGACCACATCCACTCTGGTCATATTATACTTGTGACATAGCATATTGGTATCTATGATACTTCTTGAATCCTGTCACTGTCAGTCAGTAGTAACACTTAAGTCGTTGACAGTTTCACCTCTGCAATTTTATTTCACATTTGGCACATTATCACTCTCTACTGTTGAAAAATTTTAAACAGCTTCACAAAGCAATCAATTAATATACCACATACATAATATATGTACAAAGTAGTAAAACGAACAATTCAGAACTTATTAATGTTGGCGTGTACCTCATTTAATAACAGTTTTGTTAGTATTTACTTAGCTATATCTGGCTTTTCATTTGATAAAGAGAAAACAATATTAAATATTATATTCTTTATCCATTTTCACCTGTAGCTATTTGTAGATGTTTATGGAAAAACGTGACAGGCTTAATGAAGCGATGATGATGTCCATTCCCTCTGTAGAACATGCCCTGATGTGAAGGGCATTCTGCAGAGTCATCCTGGTGGACTTCTCTAATGTACCCAGGCATGGCTAGCCCCACCAGCTGAGTCACACATTCACAAGTGTACTGGGTTTGGTCCCAAGCCTCTTTACTCCAACTGTATGAATTAAATAGTATGTGAACAGATTATTCCATATAAATCCATGAAATACGAGGTAAACAGAAAGTGATTCATTGTTTCTATCAAAATTAAGCAGAATGTTTGAATGGCCTTCATCAAAATGAGTCATTAAAAAATACTAAAGCTGATGTAGGTTAGATAACTAAGAAGTTTTGGGGAAATTTAGTAAAAATCTAGGAGGATTCTGCATTTAGATTGGTTCCCAATATCTTTAAATTACCATGCCAATTTAGAGAGACAGAGATTGAAAATCATAAAGATTAGCATTGTGGGTATTGTTTATACAAGAAAGATGTCAGGGAATTTCAACTAGGCCTTGACCTAATATCAAATATTGGCAAATAAAAAAACAAAAATATATATATACAGATTTAATATTAACATGAAAAGTAGAAGGTATGTATTTATAATTTGTTATGACTTTTTTTGATTAACCAACTACTAGCATCAATCAAACCAGACAGGAAGACTTCTACAGTAACTTTTTAATTACCTCATATATTAGCTAAGATGTTCTGAGCGCGGCAAAAAATAAAAAAAAAATTCTTTGTTTAAACCCCAAATATATAAACATTTTCAAAAAATCAAACAAAAAAGCTGAAAGGCCCACATTGCTAATCTTGCTTAAACTAAGAATCAATTTTTAGGATAAGACCATTTAGAAATTCAGGATCATTAACATGGGAAGATTTTACCCAAGTGTCCCACACGGTCACAATTAACACTGGGGCAGCTGTCTACTGATTGATTGGGCATTTGTGGGAACACAGAATAGGTTTTATGTATGAGGGCCATTGCCATAAACTGCCAAGATTAATCTGCCCACTGTGTGGTAATATTTTCATTCAGATTAATGACTCCTTTTTGCCAGGACACATTTATTTCTGTCACTCGGGTCACATGTTATCATCCAGCCTTGCACAGATAGCACTGGCATTTTCTATACTCTGCTCTGACCATATAATGCACGCACATTTGGAATCATCAGAAGCAAACATCACATTTCTCCGCAGCACAAAAACAGGTGAACAAAAAGACTTGCTAAGCAAATTGCCTGTCTCAGTGCCTCCTTGATAGGAAAAGTCAGGAACCTACTTAAATATTTATTTTTAATTCCTCTGGCTAAGATTCTGACATGCAAAAATACAAAATGCATAGCTTTTTAGTGTCAAGTGATGTCCAAAGCAACAGGCAGTGCATTTTACACACAGGTCATCTGTACAGGATTTTGTAAGGTTGTAAAGAGGCTTAGTCTACTAGTACCTGGGAGTTCATATCCCCTCGGAGATCCTGAAATGTCTCTTTGTATATGCAGAGAGTTGCTAATTTTTTCCTTTCTTCCACTCATCACACAACATGCAAAGAAATACGTCATTTTGTTTCCAAATCTGTGTGATGTAAAAAATGGCACTAGAGAAAGGAAGAGAAATAGCATCCCAAGGATACACTTGTGTTCAAATTTCTTAGAACATGCATTTCCTCCAAATAAGGCAATTTACAAAAACAAAACCAAAAACTTTCTTAAGATGTCAAATGAGGAGTAACACAGAGGAAACTGGAAATATATGACTTGAGTTACTCAAAGTCAGAGTAAGTCAACACCAAAAAAAAAGAAACAAAAAAGGCCTAAATTACCTTTACCCCTAAAGTCATCTTTCTACATTATTTCACTAGGAATTAATGTGAAATAGTCTGAAAAGTGCTGAGCATATTTAAACAATTTTATGTGTGGTCAATGCTTCCTTTGAGTGTCCTAACATCTTGTCAGTTGGAATTTAAAATATTTCAGACTTTGGGATAGGCCATGCAATGTTACCCAGATATGCTGAACAAAACAAAAGTCTTAATAACTTATGTAAAGCCAGGCACAATGGCCATGTGCCAGTGGTTCCGCTACTCCAGAGGCTGAGGCAGGAGGATAGCATGAGCCCCGGAGTTCGAGGCTGCAGTGAGCTATGATTGCGCCTGTGAATAGCCACCGCACTTCAGTCTGGGCCTCATAGCAAGGCCCCATCTCTAAAAATAATCATCATATATGTAAGAATTTCCAAGACTTCTCTTTTGTATGATATCCTGAACGTTGTTAGAGATTAAAAAACAAACAAGGTGTGCTGGCTAGACAACCTATTTTCTCTGAGAAAGGTATCCAATGCCCACATGGAATTAGTTTTTGTACAAAGAAGTTTCTTTCCATTTGCTTAACCTACAAAGGATGAACCTATACATCAAATCAAGTGTTCTCTTTAACATGTGCTTTTTAAGTGTTCATTTACATTTTCTTTTTATTCTAATTATTAAAATAATGCATATTATAGAAAATGAAACAGAAAATAATAAAGGAGTAACGAGAACACGAATCCCACTGCCCAGTCAACCACTGTTAGCATTTTGTTGCATTTCTTCCACGTTTTTCTTTTCTGTATACTTTTAGCATACTTATATGCATATAAATTTTATATATTTTAACATGATTTTAAGAAATTATTCAGTAGTCTTCTGATTTCACTTTCTGTAGTTTAATAAATTTTAATCAATTCTCTGGAAATGCTTAGAATTTCTTAGAAAAAAAAACAGTAAGGTTATCTCCAGAAGTAGATACTTTATATATCCAAATTCAAATTTAAGTGAATCCTGAATATAAGATGATCTCTCATTTTCCATATGAGATGATTTCCTCAAAAAATAAGTTTTTTTAACAACTTGTTTACATTAACTTTTAAGACTGAGATTGAAATGGTTAAATGTCTAGGTATAGTATTTCCTTCATTTAGTTGTAGGCACATTCAAAATCACATGGCATATTATAGAACATATTTAATTTAGAAAAGCTCCTTGTTTTCTTTCCTCTCACATTTCATTAAAAACTCCCCAGGCACAAAAATGTCTTTATTATCACTAGAGTCTTTTTTTTTTTTTTTTTTTTTTTTTTTTTACTTTCCGGAGGAAATGGTCTTCCCTTCCAGATTGTTTGGGGGATAGCCGTTTTTAAAATTCAGGTGTGGCACGGTTACCACAAGTACCAATTTGCTAAATAGCAGGACAGTTTGTCATAGATCCTGCAGGGGTTGTGATCTCCATAGCAATGACACTTGTGGTGTTGCTTTATCTGTTCTTAAAAAGGGTTGTTTACAATAATGCCCAACACTTGTCGTTGTGAGGTCATGACCAAATTACTAAATTTGTGTTAAATCTTTCTTCTTTATAAATCTGATTTTACCAGTAACTTCTTCAAGCATCATAAGCAAACATTCATGAAAGCCATTTTGATGTTCAAAATAAAGTACTGTAATTGAAAGATTAGTCAGTAACATGAGAGCCTTTGTAAGAACCTGAATATATGTAATGACTTCTTTTTTGAATGATAATGTTCTGTGAAGAAAATCCTAATATTAGGGGCACATACAGTAACAAGAACACCTGAATAGCCCATAATAATTTTCCTTGTAGCATATTTTTGTTTTCCTATCCATCTTTGGGTTAACATGACTCTGAGACTAAAAACACTACTACAACAACCATATTTTGTGGGTAAATAAATCTGAATAATAACTCCTAGTACAGTACTGTCCAACAGAAGTTTCTGCAGTGTCAGGAATGTCCTATATCTATGCTGTCCAACATGATAGCCACTAGCCACAAATAGCTATTGAGCACTTGTAATGTGTCTTGTACTACTAAGGAACTGAATTTTTAATTAACTTTAAATTGAAATAGTCAAGGTGACTAATGGCTACCCAATTTAGTAGTGCAGTTCTAGAGGGGAAGAGGTCCTCTTAGTCCTTATAGCTCCCCAGTGCCTAGCAGAGTGAAAAAAAATCTAAAAAAAAAAAAAAAAAAAAAAAAAAAATTAGGTAAGCAATAACACTTTGTTAGATGAATCCTAAAAACGGAAGCCTCTTTCCCTTTATAAAGGCATCAGGGAATCATTGTAAGTAGCAGATTGTCCTAGGTACAGGAAAACTAAAATGCCCCTAATAGCCCAATCTCACTGCAAACATGCCACTAAAAGAAAGCTAATTTCCACAGCACCTTCTTTGCCTATATCTCCAAGGGCACCTTCATATATTTCTTATGGCACCTTCTTTGAAACCTTTGGGCAAATGTGAGAAACATTAAGAAAGCTGTAATTTTTAAACTCTCCTAGGATTCTATGGGAGTGGTTAATCGGTTGTTCAGAGCAAGTAATATGAACTGGGCATGTAAGATTTTATAATCCTATTTGCCTTAAGAAGCCTGGCAGAGAGTATTGTTTAACTTAACAAAACATAGTCACAGTTTTATTTTTCAATTAAATTTTAAAGCCGGGAAGAAAAATATCTCTCAGATGTTTAGAGAAAGAATAGCTAACAAGTTACAAAGTAAATTAAAATATAAAAGTATAATCCCACATAAAATTCTGAACAAATTTAAGGGCATATTGGCATCCTGGAATCTCTGTAACAAAATAAGTAGATTTGCAATCACCTAATATTAACAACAGAAATAAAATTCAACCACCTCACTCACATGAAATTTCTCAATTCTTTAATATCTTTACAGGTTTCACGGGTCCACAGCTTTGGTTAGGCAGAAAAAACAGCACTGTGTCTGATCAGGCTTCTGACTCTAATATTAACAGAAGGGAGAGGCAACAGCAAAAATTGAGCTACAATACACAATTCTGAAATGCTGCCACGGAAAAAAGACTTAGCACTTTTTCCTACCATTTCCATTTTCTTTGCAACAAATCTGTCCTTTAAGACTAAGATGTTAAGATATGACTTATCCTTGCTGAAGCCATCTCCTTATAAATGCAGATCTCCCAACAGGCTTCATAGCCCTGATCTCTCCTTCAAGTTGCTCCTGATTCAAGCTGATAATTTTGCTCTCTTTAATCCAGTGAAACTAAATAAGTTCTTGACACTTCAAAAAGAATTACGGGAACAAAAATTCTCTCTCCAGACAAGTACAGGTAAGGTTCTAATCTATTGATGGGTAAAGTGTTCCTTATATTACCACAGAGATGCCTAGAGGGGTAAGAAAGAGATCAGAGCAGATGTATGGCTCTGGTCCTTAACCACAAACTACACAAGTTATAAGGAGAAAGCTTCAGGTTCACAGAACACTATAACTTGTGGCTGCTGATATACACCAAATGTTTGTATCCGCCCAAAATTCATGTTGAAGTCCTAAGCCCTGACGAGGGGGTATTTGGAGTCAGTCCCTTTGCAGGAAATTGGGGTTAGACAAGGTTATAAGGGTGAGGCCCTCATGATGGCATTAGTGCCCTTAAAAAAAGAGCCATCAGAGAGCTTGCTGTGTCTTCCCCCATCACATGTTCATGTCCAAAGAAGAGGTCATGCAAACACACAGAGAGATGCTGGCTGTCTATAAGCCAAGAGAAGAGTCTCAGAATCAAACCAATCTTTCCAATGCCTTGATCTTGGAAGTTCCAGCCTCCAGACTTTGAGAAATACATTTCCGTTGTTTAAGCCACCCACACTATGGTATCTTAATATGGCAGCCCAAGCAGACTAATACAGCTACACTATCTGTACAGAGGAATACAACCTGGATTTTATAGTTATCCACCCTGATCCCTATATATTGACCTCTGAAGGAAGTCAGAGGCACCCACAGTGAATACCTAATGTTACTGCAACTCAGCTATTAAAGAATTCAGCATTAACTACCGACAACTTAACCTACATTTAAAACTAACGAAGACTTCCATTTCTCACCAAAATGAAGTTAACAGGGACAAGATTTACTGTCCTGCCTGAACAATAACAATTATAAAAAAGGAGATGGGGTGCAAAATAAAAGCAGCAACACTTCATCAGCAACAGACCCATATTTCAAGCAAAGCTAAAGGAAGTTATCAGGCAGAGGGAAAATAATAGAAATATAGGTTGACAGGGAGGAAAAAAGTGCACCAAAAAATGCACTTTATATATAGTAAATATGTAAGACTTTTTTGTTATTTAAAAGATATTTTAAATTATTTTTAATTTTTAAAAGATAAATTGAATAAACAATAATAATGTATTGTGGGGTTTATAGCATATGCATAAAAGTAAAATGTTTGACAAAAGTAACAGAAAGGCTGAGAGAGGAAAATAGAAACATACAGTCATGAGGTTCTTAGACTACAAATAAAGTGGTATAACATCATTTGCAAGACTTTGATAAGTTACAGATATATACAATAAGCTCTACAACAACCACTAAAACAAAGAATTACAGCTAATAAACCAACAGAGGAGATAAACTGGAATAATAAACAATACTCAACACAAAATAAGACAGAAAAAGAAGAAAAGGAGAACAAAGAGCAGATGAGACAAATAAAAAGAAATAGTAAGATAATTTAAAAATTAATCATGGGAGTAAGAACATTAAAAGTAAATGATCTAAACACGCAATTAAAAGGCAGAGCTTGTCAGACTGGATTTTTTTTTTTTTTTTTTGAGACAGAGTCTTGCTCTGTTGCCCAGGCTGGAGTGCAATGGTGCGATCTGGGCTCACTGCAAGCTCTGCCTCCCGAGTTCACGTCATTCTCCTGCCTCAGCCTCCTGAGTAGCTGGGTCTACAGGCACCTGCCACCACGCCCAGCTAATGGATTTTTTTTTTAAGTAGACCCAACTACATACTTATAATAAGAAAATCACTTTAAACATAAAGACTAATAGGTTAAAAGTAAAATAATGAAAAAAGATACATTGCATCAACACTAAAACCTAGTGTAAATGCTTCACTTAAGCATATATCTTGTACCTTTTCATCTGATATCATCATACCTAAAACCTTGGCAATGAGTTCATGTGATAATGGTTAAGAAGAGTAAGAAAAATGCTCATTTGAAGTTTACTTTTATATCTTTTACAAAATTAGCAGTGAAGGTATAATTCATTGTTACAGATATCCCCTAGTAAGATCATATAATATATTCTTCACAGAATTCAATGCCAAAAAAAGTCTGTACTCCATGCAAATTCATGTGCTTTCTTTAATCAGATAAGTATTCTATGAGCCAAAGTTTTCCCTTTATGTCTTGGCTAACAAACAGAAAGCTCAAAGCCAGACTAAATTAACAGAATTCTCACTTCCTTCTTCTAATCATTTTTGACCTTTCCTAAAATTATTTTTCTTATATTGTACTTTTGGAAGCAACTTTGAATTCTTTCTTTTTAAGAGTGTGCTTTATAACAGAAAAAAATACCAGGAATCAGACTGAGCAGTTGCTCCCCCACTTATAAGATGTGTGATCTAAATCACAGAGGTCAAATAATTGACCTGAAGTTCCATTTTGCATCATAAATTGAGAATTTCTTTGCCTCCCTCTCAAGAACATTGATAAAAATGTGAAAGTTTGCAAATTTAACATAAAACAAAGCTAATATTAAATGAATGTAAAAGATTATCAAAATTAATGTGGTTAAATTTTTAACCAAAGTCTGATCTTATGGTGTAGTCATTTCCAGGCTAATTAACTTCTTTTTCACCTATTATCAATACAAATCAATTAGAAGCTAAATGTTCAGATATAGATCTATAGTCTACTCTAAGAGAGAGAAGTGATAAAATGACCAGCCAGAGTCAAATTTTAGAACTCTGAATGCAGAAACAAGAACAAGGAAAACACTGGAACTCTCAGGTGAGCATGGATGAAAGAAGGCATAACCTAAACCAGGCCTGGATCTGCAGAAGTATTCAAGATGGGCCCCAAAGGCTTGTGAATTCAGGTATGCACCTGTTACTCCTTTGATTGTCAATTAACATTTCTGCCTAAGAGGAAAGAAAAGGAACAAGGGTACAAGGACATAAATTGCTCTGATATTTTATCAAATGCAGAGTTGCCTTTAAGCAAATCTACTCCAGTACCAGGCATTCTGCTCAAAGCAATGAGGGAGGATTCTCTCTCTGGCCTTGGGCAGAGCCTTAGTTGTGAGGTTCACCTGTATTTTAGCATTTCAAGCGGTCAAAGATAACTGCAGCCTGGCTTTCACAGAAGTGAAATAACTCAACTTTACTGTCAGATGCACAGACCAATGAGTTAAACAAGAAAAGAATTCAGATTGTACACAGGTGGCTCATCAAGAATATGGTCAACCTTGGCCAGGCGCACTGGCTCATGCCTGTAATCCCAGCACTTTGGGAGGCTGAGGCAGGTGAATTACTTGAGGTCAGGAGCTCTAGACCAGCCTGGCCAACATGGCAAAACACCATCTCTTCCAAAAATAAAAAAAGTAGCAGGGTGTGGTGGTGCACGCCTGTAGTCTCAGCTGCTCCGGTGGCTGAGGCGTGAGAATTGCATGAACCTGGGAGGTGGAGGTTGCAGTGACCCAGATCATGCCACTGCAGTCCAGCCTGGGTGACAGAGCAAGACTCTGTCTCAAAAAAAAAAAAAAAAAAAAAAAAAGAAGAAGAAGAAGAAGAAAGAATGTGGACAATCAACAAAGAAAAGGGGGATTCTAAGAAGAAAATGGGAGGTTCCATTTAAGTATCTATAACATAAAATAGTTCGTAAAAAATAGATCAGTGGTTCTCATCCTTGGGTGAGTATCAGAATCACCTGTGGAAATTGTTAAAAATGCAGATGCCAAGCTTTACCTCCCAGAAACTACTGTGCGTATGATGTATCCCAGTTTAAGAATCTCCAATGCTGGTGTCAGGATTTTTCACATGCATGAATGAAAACACAAATACATGATTTTAAGTGAAAGCTACGTAGTCTTGAATTTGAATTGGAAGAGTCAAAATGGAGTCCTTATACATTTTATCTTTAAGACAACAACAATACATTGCCTAGTTCTGTACACTAAAAAGATCTAAAAACAGTGACCTATCCAGTAGGAATAAGCACATCCCAGGGACCAGAGTATAGTTTCTAATTTTCCACTAAAAGAAATGAGCTTCTAGGAGAAATAGCTGATTCCAGGTTTGAGGCAAGAACAAAACAAAACAAAAAACCTTCTAAGATGAGCCTGGAATATCTTATCGCAACCAGAAAAGGATATTAGCAAAGATTCTGGGGTCATAATAAAAGAGTCTTCCACTAGCCAAAAGCAGGATAATTTGAGCATCAGTAAGAATAATAATTGAATGGATTGAAGCATGTTTAACCCTATAAATTCAAAATAATACTAAAGCAAAACAAAACTTTCATAAATACCTTTGAAGGGTGCTGAGAACCAACTAATTATTTTGAAAATCAGTAAATAAAGGTAAAGAATCAGTCATTTGTCTGGCCATTCTATGTATATTGCACTTAAGTTAAATGATAAGGGGAAGTTTCTCTTTATGAAGGAATGGCAGAATAAGATCCTCACCATTTTGCAGCCCTCACTGAAAGAATAAATCTACGCAGTGATCTTCAAATGGTTACTGACATCACATGCATACAAAAAGGTACAGACATTATATACCTACCTATGAAGTATTCTTACCCTTTATACCCTCCCATACCCCAAAAAAGAAAAGTAAGCCTGAATCTCATAGACTTATTTGACTAATAAGAAATAAAAAAATTTTTAAAAAACATGTTAAACAACATCAGGAAGACATAATAAGCAAAATCAGACTGTGGGCAATTATGGGACAAGCAGTCCAGTTTCTTAAACTTCGAGGGAGAAAAAAGGGATGAAGAAGCTATAGGCTAAGAAAAACTTGGCGTGCTAATCAAGTAGTTATACTCACGGACTTCATTTGACTCTTGACTCAACAAATAAAAAGGTTTTTTTCAAAGTAATAATAATATAAGGCAATTACAGAATTTTAATACTGCCTGGA
The DNA here is from genome assembly GCF_000001405.40 of Homo sapiens. Taxonomy (NCBI): domain Eukaryota; kingdom Metazoa; phylum Chordata; class Mammalia; order Primates; family Hominidae; genus Homo; species Homo sapiens. The sequence continues at coordinate 115,374,979 of NC_000011.10, forward strand.
TATTGTTGGTACAAAAGTATTTAGGTAAGAAAATATTATTGTGGTTATCTTTTTAAAAAAGAATCCCTGTCTTTTAGAGATACATACTGAAATCTTGATGGAAAGATAGTACAATGTCTATAATTTTCTTTAAAATGATCCATGGTTGGGGGAGTGGGTGAGATTACAGGTGAAATAATATTGGTCATGAGTTAATAACTGTTGAAGTTGAGTGATAAGAACATGATATTCAATACACTATGCCCTCTGCTTTTGTGTGTTTGACATTTTCAACAATAAGAAGTTTTTAAAATGTCAAAAGCAAAAGCAAACAAAAAAATGTAGAACTATGGCATTATAGTTCAAATCCTGGTTATCACTGGGGAGGAAGGAAGCGCAGTAATTTTGAGAGGCCATGAGGAAGCCTTCTGGGGTGCTGCTGGCAAAGTTCTTGACCTCGGTAATGGTTACTCGGGTGTTCATTTTGCGACAATTTACTGAGCTGCACATTTACACTATGTGTACCTCCCTGGTGTTATACTTCAACTAAAAAATAGTTAAGAGTAGACTACTATTCAGCAATATGAACACAGAGATGTATTTGATACGATGACAATATTTAATACTTTGTGATGTATAATACTTACATAGTGTTTAAGAAAGGTATGGACATTAACCAAATGGAATAAAACAATGTGTTGTTAAAGTTGTAGTCTCTAATTATATTGGAACCAATCCTGAAACATAGACCCATGACAGAATCAAGATATATTGCACGTAGGGAGTATGCTAATAATAATAATAATAATAGGAAATACTTATGAAATATCTATCATATGCCACTTGAGTTAAAAGGTGGTTATAATTTCTCTTAACAAGTCTCTCGAATAAGCTATAAATACTCAACTTACAATATTAAATTCATATTTGCTGGTATGCTGTCCAGCATATATTTATTGGTATATTGCATAGCACAAACATGAAATAACAATTCTTTCTATTTAATAATTAAAGGTGGTTATAATTATTAAATAATAAATAAATTAGAAGTTTGCTATACTTTATCTTTCCAGATAGCAAACTTGTAATTTATTTTGAAAAAACAAAAGTGAGAAGCCATGTTGCTTGGTGGTCACTAATAATATCTTTGGTGTCAGTCAAGATTTGAATCCTGGTTCATCTACAAGCTATAAGACAGTAAGCAAGTACTTAATCTTTTTGTGCTTCAGTTTTCAAATTTGTAAATGGGGAAATAGTGCTATAAGCTCTGGCTACCATGAGGATTAAATGAGATACAACTCTTAGCATAATGCCTGGCAAACAATACCTGCACATTAATGTTAATTACTATATATTTATTACTGTTATAACATAAAAGGATATCCACCTGCAATATCTCCCTTGGTAGCATTTCAAGATATTCTTCTAAAAGAAATATGATGAGAAAATTTTTTAAGATTAGAGGATGTTTCTACATAGTTTCTACAAAAAATGAAAATTTCAAATACAGGGAGAAGACAAAAGAGAGGTATGGCATAGTGCAAACAGAGGGCTAAGAATTTAGAAAGCCAAGATACAAAAAAAGCTAAAATCAAAACATAATTGCTAAATGGTTTCAAGATGAAAAAATAAAACTGCTTCTAAAGACTTGAAAGTTTACATATCAAAGCAGGTTTAGAAGAAATTATTCAATAGTCATAAACCACTGATTGAGAGAATCGTGTCACGTGGTATAAAAACCCGTGGGAAACCTACCTGAACCAGAGAGCCATGAAAAGTACATGAAGCTCTTGTCTGAAGCAGGTACCACTTACCTGAGTACAAAGAAATAGTGCCAGCCACCGGGGATTCTGTCAAGTAATTCCACAGGACACTGGTGGTCTTGGTGTCTCTCTGAGTCTCCATAGCTTCTCAGAGCCCACAGGACTTTTAAGGTACTTAAATATGTGGTATATTTTGACAACAGCATGTTTTATAAGTCATTTGTCATCAGCAAACTTTAGACAAGGTTAATGAAAGTTCTGTCACTTTAATGTCTAGCCGGCTTTAAATTACAAATGTCATGCGCCATGACTAAAGAAAGGGCACTGCAATAATACCATAAACCATCATCTCCAGGGACATACAGGTAATTGCATAGCTCATTAAAAAACTGTTTTAATTATTAATTGACCGTGTCAGAGTTGTCCTTTGAAGTCAATTTTAATTTTTTTTTCCTTGCAAGCATGATGATTTCAAGCTGACCTACAGAACTTTGTGCATCACCTACAACATTGGCAAGGGTGGCTGAGAAGAAAGCTCTCCAATACTTGAAATTATTTTCAAGTCACTTGCAAATAATCTGCTTACTGGGAGGAAGGAAACAGCAGAACGCTTCTGAGAGGTCTGGTGTGTTCCAATCACCTATAGAGAGAAACCACAGGACTAAAAATAAATGAATAAATAAAAATGCCCAGGAGTTACAGCAAGTATGCATCTTTTTGTTAAATTTTCTTTCATGATGACACAAAACAAGGACTAAAAATGTTTGCAAGAAACCACAAGGTGATCTAATCAGAACTTAGCTAAAATTACAAATCTGACAATGAATAAAATTCCCTACTTAATAAATAATTCTAGAAATAAGCTGATAATAATCGCCAAAGCTCAGTAGTCATTCAAAATGGGCAACAGTAATAATTCATATACCTAGGCCTATCTTTAAGTTCCATTATTCAAGAAGGAAACTAGTATTCTCACTTTATTTTTTTCTGAATGAATCTAGAAAATACTTTATAGATAAGAATATGTCCACTCTTGCAAAAGATACCAGTGGCAAGCTTCAGTGTGAAAGAGACAAGTATCCATGTGTCAGATGACAGAGTTGCCACTGATTTATTAGCAAATTGAACTTTTGCTTTAAGAGAAAAAAACTTCTCAAAATCTGTATCTGATAAATTAACCCAGTCCTTCATGAACACCATTTCAAAAAGACACTGCCAACCTTAAGTTTGAATGATTCATTGTACTGTAAATATTTGAGGTGAATATGTCTGGTAGCAAGTGTCTGAAACAAGAACCCTCTTGCAACACAACCGAAAAATCAACGGACAATGTATGAGACAGTTAGGGTGCAGTAATGAAGCTGACCTCAGACTATTTCCATCAATACAAACACTGACAGCAAGTTTGTTCACCAAGTTTTCAGGGCCAACAACTTACAATTCAAACCTGGGATCAATTTATGGACTCTGCTATTGTTAATGACCACGCAGGGAGAGTAATACCAGAAAACTGACAGCATCCTCAGGACTAACAGATCATCTCCCAGAATGTGAAAATGAGATAAGTCAATTCCGCCACCTTGTCTGCACCTTGAGAATTAAACAGCAACTACCAACTGATATCAGAAATTACTCTCATTGGAGGTTGAACACCTGATTCTCCTTTGCCACATCAAGCAGAGACTGTCAGATAAGAGAATGACAGGAAAATTCATTCCATCCACATTTCCTGCACTATGGAAAACTGCACGGATACAGAGCAAACCATCAAAGAAGTATAAGTCAATAAGTACATAAATATATAAATAAGAAAACTAAAATACAGTAAGAAAGGAAACTACAGAATAGGGGTCAGCAAACTAAGGCCTGTGATCCAAATCCAGCTCACCATGTGCTTTTGTAGAGCCTGGAAGCTAGGAATAGTATTTGTCAATGGTTGAAAAAATTCTTAAGAATATATCACAACACCCGAAAAACACATAAAATTCAAATTGCAGTGTCCATAAATAAAGTTTTATTGGAACATAGCCATGCTCATTCGTTTACATATTGTCTACAGCAGCTTTCACACTACAACAGCAGAGCTGAGTAGTTGTGAAAGAGACCGTATGGCCCACAAAGCCTAACATATTTACTACCTTGCCCTCTACAGAAAAAGTTTGCCAATCTTTGCTATAGTAGAATGAGACCTAAATTCCTAACCTTTGATGGCACATTACGTGAGCTAGCCCCATCTTCACCCCTTCAAGCAATCCTGATATTTAGTAATTTAAAGAGGTTCCCAAAAGAGGAGATTTCACAATAAATGATAAATGTCTCTAGCTAGATGATGTAGCATGAGTGCTTACAAACTGATTATCAAGTTTTGTCTCTGGTATACACATATAAGTGCAATGCAATGTATAATATTCTAATTAAATTAAAGAATGGCTGCACAAGCCATGTTTCTATTAGCCAGGTCTTATTTGATTTAGCAGCAGTAATGAATGCTGAATCAGGTTAGGGTTGCTAAGATTATCTGGCTTTGCCAATCTACTAAAATTAGGATAATAAAACTAAAGATATGTAATACTGAAGACATTTAAAAAGAAAACTCGTTTATCTTCAATTAAAATATCCACAATACTGACAATAAACTTACTACTCTTCCCTATAGAAAGGTTGGGTTGAGGAAAACAGCACATTAAAAAGAAATTCAGTCCAGCATGGGGACAATGGAGTTACATTTTAGAAGACCAAATGTAGTCTGATTTTCTTGTGATACCAACATTTCCCACATTTGTGTAAAAAAGCAACAGGGAAAATAAAGAAGCTCACAATATTCACTGACTGACAAAGTACTGCACTAGATTTTTTGACTCCAATAAAGCTAAGCCCCTTACATTGAACAGGGAAGGGGTGGTGATTGTGTTTCTTGATATAAGCAAAACCCTGTGTTATGAAGACATGTTAAATTATTTACTTGTTTGAGCCACTGGGAGGAACTACGTGGTCATGCTTCTGCTCAACTTCACTTTTTGATAGTAAAAATGAGATTATGACTCATTTCATTCTGCAGATTTTATGAGTTTATTGACACAAACACAGAAAAACAAAAACTCCCTACAGAAACTATATCAGTCATCTTGGTATGTTATAAAATACAGTATCTTTAATACTATTTGTTTTAGGCACCAATTAATTTTATGAGGTAATAGTAAAACTGCAGGCTCTTCCTCCCCCTACAGTATAGACTATATAATAAAAATCAACACATATAGGTCAGATCAATGGGGTGAAATAAACTATTTGAAGTCAGTTCTGAAGACGTACTAGTTCCGGTCCTTAAAAGACATTGTATTCCTAGGGTTTACAGCCCCTTCGCGTTTAAAACCAGAGCATCCAGATGCTACACTCAGAAAGGAAGAAATACAGTTCCTCTATTTCCTTATTTCCATAATTTCAAAGATGTAAAGTGAATTTGGAATATAAGTCAAACAGGAAACCAAGAAAAATACAATCGGGGGAAGAAAGAATTATAAAATGGTCAGTTGGCAGCCGAAGAGAAGTTACACAAAACTGCACTTACACTAGCTCTGATTTTTGAACTCAAGCAATTCTCAGCCCTCGCATGCCAGTCCTGATTATTCTCTTAAAAGTGCTACTGTGTGCCATCTTCAAAATATTAAACCATCCATCAGTGTACGTGATCCCATTAAACCATCTCTGGGTACGCTATCCAGCTGAATGAAAATGAAACCCTAATGATTATCTGAGATGGAAACCAAGTGATTTAAGGGGAAATAGAAAATGTTTTCTGAATTTATCAAAAGGCAAACAATATTTTTACAACTTTTTCTATTCTCTACCACCAAAATAAATAAATTAATTAAGCAAACATTAGGCTCCCTTGCAACTTTTAAATACTAGGATATTAGCATTAAAAGACTATGGCTGTCGAGGCCCTCTTTCATTTTTTAGTAATAGCTAAAGAGGAGACAGTGAGAACACCATAATTAGAGGTAATCAAGCAATAGCTAGATGATCATACGTGTATGCTGAAAATGGAACTCAGGCACTCATTTTGGATGAGAATCAAATCATCTCCAGGTTTCATCTCTGAAGTATAACATGATTTAGGCTACATAAAATGAAAAACAACTACAGAGAGAGAAGCTACCTCTAACTTAAATAAGAAGCTTAATATTTGTCTAAACTCTTAATTAGCAATACTTTTTAAAAATCCAAAACAAACATATTCCTCTTAGTAGTGCTAAGAGGTTCCCTTTCATACAAACCTTAAAAATAAGGTGGTAACAGGCCAGGCAAGGTGGCTCATGCCTGAATCCCACTTCGGGATTCTGAGGCAGGTGGATCACAAGGTCAGGAGTTCGAGACCAGCCTGGCCAAGGTGGTGAAACCCCATCTCTACTAAAAATACAAAAAAATTAGCTGGGCATAGTGGCAGCCACCTGTAATCCCAGCTAGGGAGGCTGAGGCAGGAGAATCACTTGAACCTCGGGGGTGGAGGTTGCAGTGAGCCGAGATGGCGCCACTGCACTGTAGCCTGGGCAACAGAGTGAGACTCCATCTCAAAAAAAAAAAAAAAGAAGGTGGTAACAACAACTTTCAAGACTGTGCAAAATGCAATTCCAGAACAAGATGACAAACTGTAAATACCATTCAGGGTCAACTCTATTCTAACTACAGAGGAATAACAACAGGAAAGCAGACAGTAATGCACAAGGTTAACCCACTAATCACTGAGAGTCCACAACATGTAGCAAAAACAGTACAAGCTTTGAAATCAGATAAACCTAGGTTCATAGCTCAGCTCTAATTTTTACTGAACTATTTGACCTTGGGAAAGTCACTAAGCCTTAGTGAGCCTCACTTTCCTTATGTATAAAATGGAGACATCTTTCTCATTCGGTTGTTATAGGGATTAAAAGAGAAACCATATGTAAACTATTGAAAACAATACCTGACACACGAAGTACATTAATCTTATTCCCTCCCCTCCACAATTAAACAAATAGTGACTACATGTGAGAATGTGCAAGGCTATGCTAGGGCACCATTCCTCAAGTGTGATGCATGAGATGACTTTTAAGTGGTATACAAATAAAAATCTATAAGTTCTAATAATAGGATTTTTTTTTTGAGACAGAAGTCTCGCTCTGACACCCATGTTTGAGTGCAGTGGCCCGATCTCGGCTCACTGCAACCTCTGCCTCCCGGGTTCAAGCCATCTCCTGCCTCAGCCTCCCAAGTTGCTAGGACCACAGGTGCCCGCCACCACACCGGGCTAGTTTTTGTATTTTTAGTAGAGACAGGGTTTCACCATGGTGGCCAGGCTGGTCTCAAACTCCTGACCTCAAGTGATCCACCCGCCTCGGCCTCCCAAAGTGCTGGGATTACAGGCGTGAGCCACCGTGTGTGGCAATAATTAGGATTTTAATGTAAATATTAATATGTATTAAAAGAAGATACAGCCCAACAAACCTGTAATTTCATGGCTAATACTGATTTGCATGAGGTTGGGTAAAAAGGTAAACCAATTTAAAGAGAAATATTATGTAAATAATAATACTGTTAATATAAAGATCCGGGGTAAGTCACACAAGAAAAAAAAATACATTCTAGGAATATAAAATGCACACGAGAGGTTTCCTGTCCTCAAAAAGCTTACAGCTTAAGGGCTGTGCAGATCAAGAATGAGCAAACAAATGAAATACCCCAAGTAAGAGTTCAGAAACATGTATGTTATATTCAAGAAGAACAGTGCTAAAAGTCCCTCTCTTCTTGGCTCTTTTAACATGTATCACATATAAAAGCTCTTTAAAAATAAATGAGTTTAACAATTGTCATGCTGAGTTGTAACATAAGCTGATTTGCAAGTCCTTGTATAGTGGCATGTTAGAGATTTTATGTTAAATCTTCTCTTTGAATTATCCAGGAAATCATTATTTTCTCACCTTTATTTCCTTTATAGGAAACTAAGAAAACAAAGGTTTCTGCTGGTTTAACAGCCAAATCACTCAAGACACTTGGAGCAAAACAAGGAACAATCTACTTAAAACTGTAAGATCCAGGAACGCTAAATAGTTTTAGACTTCAGCAAGTATCATCCTTAGAGATGGTACACGTGACAAGAATAAGCTGAATTTGCATTTGAAAATAGAGTGAAACAAACCAAGTCTCCCTTTAAAGGGAAATGGGTAGCAAAATAGGGAAGAAAAAGAAAAGGACTTTACATGTATTCCCAAGGAAAATCACAGACTCCTTAAAAGCTCTCACAATAGGCTAGCCCTTCTTAAAACTCTGACATATCTTAAAACAAAAGTCTTATTATCATCTCCTAACTCATACAATGTATTAACTTTTGCTTCTTTAATCTATTTTAAAGTTGTCTTCCTGCATGATTCTTCTATAACATTTTAACAGTAAACCTGCATCATGTCAAAATTTATCTGTACATAGTATTAGTTTAGATAAATAAACAGGTAGATAGCTACAGGCAACTGAAGCTATGTTGAAAGGGATCGAATGCTATCCATGCCCAGGAAGCGTACAGCTCTATTTCAGAAATGTACAAAAGGAGAATATTCAATGCGAAAGGAAATACATAAAACAGAATAAGTGAAAAGGTAACCAGCAGTTACATTCTCTGAAATACAGTGAGATATGCTTCTATAGTTTGGACCATACAAGGTAAGAGCATGTTAATGGCTAATTAGGATCCTGTATTAGCTAATAGGCAAGAAGAATAAAGCTTCAAGACCATATCACAAAAATCACTGTCATACTGACATTCATTCCAAGTGTCGCTACAGCATCGATTTTCTTAGAAGCTTTATGATTCAGCTGCCTTTGAACCACAGAGCAATGCCCACCTGCATCAGTGGCTAAGTACAGCTGTAGAACAGACAGACGTGGCAGACTTTAAAAATTATCTTTTCCCCCCATGACTTGCTTAGAAAATATGCACAGTGCAAAAAAGTTTATAAAAATTGGGTTGGAATTTTAGAGAGTCTCTAACAGAGTTTCTTAGGAATTTCTGAAACACAGATTTTATTAAAATCCCCTGTCTTCTGTTAACCCAAATGGCTGATCTTTATTCTGGTTCTTTTGCATCTGAATTTTTAAGTTAATCATCCTTAATTACCTTTCATAGCAAGAGCCAATAGCAAAGGACTGAAAGAAACAGGTTGGAAGCTCAGTAGATCCTAAGGTTTCCCTAAGAGCTCCTGGAAAAAAAAAAAAATTGCAACTGATCTTCATCTGTGTAGAGAAACACAAATCCCAGGGTCACTGCCACTAAATCGGCAGACCAACGTGATGAGCACTGCCATCAATATGGCTATTCTACCTTGACTTTTGAATGTCAAAAATAATATGGACAGAATTGACTAAGCAGTCTCCGAGGTACTGCCTTTAAAATTTTTAACTTCATGGCCATTAAATATTGAACAGATAATTGGATTTATCCCCTTCAGTGCTTTATGGATGTACAAAGTACCTACCTTCTCCTGTTTTATTCAAATTAATGGTGCTCTTTTAAAGTGTCTGCCCTGAGTGCACACTATAGCCGACTCATTAAAAGGATGCTTCATCTTCTGCTTACCAACTCTTTTCTCCATTTGCAGTGAGAGGGCAAAAACCACACTCAAACCCACATTGACAGTTAAGGGCAAATCCATTGAGAGTCACCCTTAAACCTAGACTCTTCCCTCCCTAAACTCAAGTACACAGTGTGATTTGGCAGTCGATTGGCTGTTATCACAGAAAACCACAACACAGAATCCATTCATTCTGTTTTTAATTAAAACATTTACAAATGCTTCTTTGCAACTGGGTAGCTTACTGCTACATTTTAAAATCAAGTTTGAAGAACACAGGGATGCCAGTACCTCTCTAGAGGATTAGCCAAGTGAAACCCTGGATTGTGTATTGGACAAGGAAAAAATATATACCCATGGAAAGGCTGTGCAATTCACACTTGTGATAAGGCATTTCTATCAAGTATGACTAACACCTACAAACGTACAGTCTGAAAATAACTCTGGTGGAGGTGTTAGTGGAAAGGGGTTAATGGAAATAATGTTTTCATTTTAAACAATATAAATCCACAACTGGCATTCCACTGGCCCGTGACCTCCCTTTACCCAATCCTTGTTCAAGTCATTTGCTAGTGTAATTGAAACCTTCTTTGAGAGTCTTTAGATTTCATTTCATGTTTTGGGGACAATACAGCTAAAAGACATTTACCATCCATCTTTCTTAACATTCCTAATCTAAATAGAAGACCCAAATCTAAGACTGTGCTTTTGATGGATCACTCGCCTCCCTATACAGTAGAGCTTAAAGAGATCCTATTATTGTTTTCAGAACCCTTACAGAAAACATACATTCATACTCATTTTAGTTTTTACCACCTAGCCACCTAGCTGAACAGCCTTTATTTGTAAAATGTGCTTTCCAAAAAAAAAAAAAACAGATTTTCAATTAAAAATTTCAAAAGAACAAGTTAGAAACAACTGACCCATTAAATGCAGATGGGAAAAAAGGCTTAACAAGATAACACACTAACAAATACACAAAATTGTGGAAATAGGATTTGCTGCTCCTGAGTACAATGCTAAAAATATTCCAAAGCTTTTTCTATGTGTGAGTACTTCTAATACAGGTCTCCATCTGTTCATTTCTCTCAAGAGTTGAAACAGACAATAAAACAATGCCTCCAGCCAGCCAGCAAATGCCTTCACTATGACTCTACTAAGGGACATGCATCTGAGAATCATCTCAATTATTCTATTACATATTTGAAAATATGATTTTTACTTTATGTTTGCCTTGGAATGTATACAAAGTCTGTCTAATAAGAAGTGGACCAATTCATAATTTATAACAAGAAAATGTAAAGGATTAAAGAAAAAAAAAAAAAAAAGCCCGCCACAGGTACATATTAAACTGGGGCTAACTTAATCAAGATTTTGCAATCTGCCAGAAAATTCCTCCCAAATATAAGTAGATAAAGCCTTAATTTCACCACTCAAATTGACTGCCCAGACCAGCTAACTGGCTGCACAAAGGCAGCCTCCCTTCATCTAAATTTCTAAGTTCTTTGACTTAACAAAAGTCACAACTGACCAGTATAAAAAATAGAAGCAAAGCTTGCTGACAGCTCCCTAGACTCTACCTTTCTAGTATCTTTGGTGTTCAAGCTACTTTATTTCTTCCCTGCATTGGGATTTCCTGTATAAGAACAGGATAAAACTGAACACATTCAGATATTAAGATTACTTGAGTTACCTCTAACAAAATTACCTGCTGGAATGAAAGAAGCAATTTTGAAGTTTGTTGCCACCCTTAATTCTACAAATCAAGATCTGTCCTAGAACACCATTTCACCTTAACCTGTCTGGCAGTTCATTAAGTCATTCAGGATTAACTGTTGTGAGTCCATCATTCCACAAACCCGTTGTAATTTTGAAAAAGAAAAGGACATGAGACTATTGCATGGGCAAAGTCCATAAATTCCAAATATTAAAAAAGAAAGCTTATATATCTGACCACAACCCTAAGTGGGAGGAACACTTATATCCTATGCAGAGCTGGAATATATGTCAGCCTTTATATTAAATGTATTTTTAAGTCTTATTGTTAAAAAAACAAAGACACATGTCTTAGTCTATTTTCTGTTGCTTATAACAGAATACCAGAAACTGGGTAATTTATAAAGAAAAGGAATTAATTTCTTACAGTTATGGAGGCTGAAAAGTACAGGGTCAAGGAGCCACATCTGGTGAGAGCCTTCTTGTTTGAAGGAACTCTCTGCAGAGTCCCAGGACGGCTCAGGGCATCACATGGTGAAGGGGCTGAGTCCGCTAGCTCAGATCTCTCTTCCGCTTCTTATAAAGCCACCAGTTCTACACTTCTATTATAACCTATTAGTCTATAACTCATTAATCCACTAATCCATGAATAGATTAATCAATTCATGAGGGCAGAGCCTCATGACCCAGTCACCCCTTAAAGGCTCTACCTCTCAATACTGCCTGCCATACTGGGAATTAAGTTTCAACATGAGTTTTGGAGGAGACAAACATTCAACCAAAGCAACATGTGATCAAGAGCTTAACCCTTGAAAAATGCATATAGTTGATATACCCACTATTCAAAGATGTTTTCAAAGTTAAACTAGAAGAGTGGGAACTAATGAAATTTATCACCAGTAAGCTAGCATCAAGAAGTAAAATATAAAAACAACAACAACAACCAAGTAGCAACAGTGTATGGAAGCAGGGAACATAACCCATTGTACACAGACAAAGGGGCTAAGCAAGCCTCTGTCGTGAAGTGCCTGTCACTTGCCTTATCTGTGAACCAAACATCTCTTATTTTCTACTATACAAAAAGCTAAGGCTGGTCACAAGAATCAAGGGTTGCTTTTCTTCTCTTTGAATATCTAATAAGTATGCTTGATTAAAAAATAAAGTTGATCATTTTAAACTTGAAGAGATGAACCCCATTTGCTATAAATAAATGACCAACTTCTAGCAGTAATACATGTCTCAGTATACCTTTATACAGAGTTTTGAATTTGGAAAGCATATTAGTGTTCCACATATTCAAAAAATAAAATTAATAAACAAAGATGGGAAAGATAAAAACCTAAAATTGAAAGGAAAATGAAGCAAAGGGAAAATGAAGCAAAGGGAAATTGTACTTCAAATTAAAAACATAACCACTATGAAGAGAGGTGAGAAAAAGAATAATATAAGTTACGAACTCAAAATTTTACTATCTACCCTATTCTAAGAAAGTGTGGAGGGAAAACATGTCCTGAACTTTTTAGTAGGTCTTTTTCTGTAGTAGTATGGGTGACATAATTTGAATCTATTTTTAGATGTATTAAAGGACTGAGTAAATGAACAAATGTGTTAGGCAGCAGGGTTTTCACTGTGGAAGAATAATACATTATAGAATGGAGATAAGCATTCTCTGTGAAAATGGTTTGAACTTGGAAGTATTAGTGTGAACTCACAATTCCTAAAATATGTGCTTGTGTATGCACACATGCATGTGTGTGTATATTATTTTTCCTGTCTCCTAAAAAAGGCCTAGAATCAAATCTACCCTGTTAGTAAGCAGCACACCTAGCACCCCAATATTGGTTTCTAATACCTTTCTCCTCTAAAAAAAAAACAAACAAACAAACAAAACTACCCAAAAAACAAAAACAGAAGTCATCAGAGAAATGGTTGATTACAGGGCTAGGGCAGGGAAAGGACAAGATAAGCCTAGCACATCTCACACCAGAAAAAGTTAGTGCTGAGAAAATGATGGGAGCATATTAGAAGAACACAAGAGACAATCTAAAGGGGCCCCCACCAATTAAATCTAGGACAATTTGAGCACCAAAATAATTAAGAAAAGTAGTGAACTATACACCACTAAAAAGGGGAGTCTATAAGTCAATACGACTGACAGACAGGCAGACAGACAGATAGATGGATAGACAGACTGACAGACAATGAGAGTGGGTGGGTGGATGGGTGGATGGGTGGATGAATGGATAGAAAAATTCTTTATAGGAGAATGCTAACTACTGACTGGTAAAGGTTGATGAAGTGTTATAGTTGGAAAATCACCATAGAAAAGACTGGTTCAAGCAAGGATCATCAATAGATGTTAAATCTAAGGGGTGAGTTTTGAAGAGGAACAAGATATTTGCATGCTCTTAAAGTGCCTTCCCACGGATTGCTTATTAGTTGTAAGGGTTAATATAGTAACTATACAGTAGAAAAATCAGGCAATGCCCTGATCAGATAACCAAAATTACTATCACCAACAAAGGGTAGAAGGACATTGGGTACCTCTGGATGTAATAGTGTAATCTCCAGAATAATAGTGAAGGACATGTTACTTCAGTATTATTCTGGTTGGGAATACACAGCCTTAATCTCATCATGACAAAACATCAAACTCAAAACTTTTTTACCTAAAAAATAAAAGAGGTGGGGGAGTTCTGTATATTTTTTAATGTCAATGTCACAAAAGACAAAGAAAGCCTGAAGAACTGTTCCCCATTAAAGTAGATTGAAGAGACATAACAGCTAGATGCAATATGTAATCCTGGACTGGATCTTGCACTGTAGGGAGGAAAATTGCTATAAAGGATATCATTAGATCAACTGACCAAACTGAAATATGGAGAATGCTGACAGAAGATTAGATAAAAGTATTATGTCAATGTTAAATTTCCTGAAGCTAATAATTATACCATAGTTACATAAGAAAATCTTATTCTTCGGAAATATACTCTGATGTATTTGGAGGCAAAAAGACATGGTGGATGCAACTTACCCTAGAATGGTTCAGAAAAAATGCACAGAGAAAGATGGAAGGGAAAAAGATAAAGAAGGAAGGAGTGAAAAAGACAGAGGGAGAGTTCACAGACACAAATGATAAAGCAAATGGAACAAAATGTCAATAAGAGGCGAATCCGTGTAAAATGAATACGGGTATACATTGTACTATTTTTGCAACTTTTCAGTAAGTTTGAAACGATTTCCAAATAAAAAATGTAAACAACAACAACAGACAAACAAAACAATGTCTTCACTCACACAGCCTTGTGAATTTAAAATAACATACACGGTGTTCCTAATCTCATAACTTTATTTCTGGAAATATCACCTCAATGTGGAAAAAGTCATATGTGCAAAGATATTTGTCAAAGCATTGTTTATAAAAGCAAGCAACTTGAAAATACCACATGTAGTTTTCAAAAACTGAGGAGAATGGTTAAATTATGCTATGTAAATTCCAAAGAACATTATGCAGTATTTAAATGTGTTTACAAAAGTTTATAACAATTGAAAACACATGACATGATATTAAGTGCAAACAACAGGACTAAAGATGATACATATAGCATGATCACAACTAAGTAAAACAGGCAGATAAAAGGAAAAACCTTAGACAAAAATGCCTATAAAGAAATCCAAGAAACTATCAATATTGGTCATCTGTTCCTAGGAGATGGTTCATGGATGATTTTTTTTCTCTTCTACTAATAATTAATTAGATATATAATCTAATAATTATATAATACAAAAGAAGCTTTATTCTTTAAATTATAGAAGTTAGTAGGAATAAGTTACATTTACTTATCTTCAGGAACACCTGTTATGTAAGTAAATTATACTGTGGATGTGCGACTATCAAAATCGAATCTGAGCTACTTGTAGTCTCAAAGATGGGAACTAAAACAGAGAAGTCATAGTCATACTAGGAGACAGTCGTAAGTGGTACTTATTTAGAGTTGTGCATCCACACATTCATGAGCCATTAATGCCTCTTTTCTCCTTATTCTGAGCCATCAGAGGATAGTGGGATTACTGTGTACCCTCCCATCCCACCTCCCCCCATGTCACAGGAGAAAAAAGGAAAAGCAGTGGTGCTTACAAAGATGGAGCATGTGACAGTGGCTTCACTGATTTCAAGCTATTAATTTTTGAGCTAAACAGTCACATTTCTTACCACTCCTGCTCAGAGTATATGTTCAAGCTGAAATTCTCCAATATTCTACAAGTCGAACTGGACAAGCCCAATTATATTGGGAAATGGTGATATTCACTGAGAGAGAGGGAGAAGGGGAAAGGGTTGGGGGGCAGGGAGGAGAGGGAGGAAGGGAGGCGAGAGAGAGAAGGAGAGAGGAAGTGTAGAGGAATATAGGAAGAAGAGAAGTAGGGGACAGAGGGAGAGAAGGAGAAAAGCAGGGGAGAGACTGAGGCAGAGAAAGAAGGGTAAGAGAAAACACCTGTGCTTTGAAAAACTAAGTGACAATGATCAGATGTAAGTGTTTAGTTAACTGAAAGGCTGAAAGGAAAACTGAAACAGCACCACCATTCATTTTCTAATAGGTTCCCGGAGTCACCAGCAAAAGGTTAGGCTACTCTTAAAAAAAAAAAAAAAAAGGTTGGGGGAGGGTGGGAGTATTAAGAGAATAGTGTATAGCAAAACAAAAGAGGAAGTTTCTAGATTAAACAATTATTACAGCTCAGTTCCTGTTTAAGACCTTCACATTTGTGAGCATTTAATTGTATTTATTTCTAAATGTACCCTGGTTTGAGTAATCTTGAACTATGAATCTCATAAACTCAGCCAATAAAATAATTAAAATTCTTTTGCCAAGTTGATATGTATGAAAAAGTCAAACACTTCATTTAAAACTTATGTGAGGCACATTCATAAGAATACACTAATTTCTCATTCAGATTTCAAATTGAATCCATTTAATGACTGCCGATAGCAAAGCAATAGAAATGCACAGAATAGTCATGCAATCGACAATTACCCAAAGTTCCTCTCATGTTTTATGAATCAACAATTGTCTCCTAACTTGTGAAAGAAATCAGTGTGAATTAGCGTCTAGAATCTTATAACCTGTCTGCATTAAACTATAAAAAAAATGAGTACAATTAGACATACAATTTAAAGAATTCATCAATTTAAATGAACAAAAATAAAGAACTTCTCTGTGATCTCATGTTCCTTTTCAAGACAACACACTCTCAGGGCTGTCTGGTTTACCACTATTTCTTCTTTACATTCATGTTCTTTATCAGCAAAACGATTACAATGGTCTTTCAGACTTGAGTGATGAATGACAAAACAACACAGTTCCATTCTAAAATGTGAATGGCCGTGGAGCACAGCTCCAAAAACGAACTGCAATGGTTATGCCAGAGAATAAATAACATCCAGCAACAGAATCAAATTCTAAAATTAAGCAAGAAAAAGAAGTAGAAATAAAAGGAGAAGGAGGAAAAGGCAAAAGAGAAGAGGAGGAGGATGCGGGAGGGAGAGAGGAATCCAGAAATTTCAACACCTGCATCATGAAAAATGTTTTTTCCTTTTTCCCCAAAACAAAACAACACTAGCACTTACTGCAAGACAGATTATTTCTCACCAGGTGGTGAAGAAATCTCACTCCACCCTCAGATTCACACTGACAAAACTTCTCTTACAGCTATGCACATTCTGACATACAAAGGCCACAAACTCAGTGCTCTGGTGCTACAGCTGGTGGAGCCTGATTAAAGGCAGAGTTCCCGCCCATGCATGCAGACAGGAAGATCAACTTACAGACCCCTTCAACAGTGTACAGCAGGGCTCTGGACCAAGGTGATTCATTTTAGCTATCCTAAAAAGGAGATCACCCACAGAGCACAGAATTAAATCTGTGTTATTAAAAAAACAAAATATCAGGCCCACACTAACAATATCACCACAAAGAACAAATATTTCTATACAAGAAAAACAACAAGTCGTTTCTGTTCACATGTCATATTCTCATTACAGCCAGTCCTAACCATCCCATTTAAAATTGTAATCCTTTCCCTAGTACTCCTAGTCCTTCTTACCTTGCTTATTTTTTTCCATAGTTGCTGTCATTCTTAAAATACTATACAATTTGTTCATTTATTGTGTTAATTGTTTATTTCTTACTCCCCACTCAAATATATGTTCTATGCAGGGGGAGATATTTGTCTATTTACTCCAGTGCCTGGCACGTAATAGATACTCAATAAGTGTCTGTTAAATAAATGAATCATTCATTAAGTTCAATGATTTCTTAAAGCTTTTCCTATTCAAGCAGAAAAGGCAAAAATTAGGCAGAGAATTTCTAAAGAGTTATAATAGGACATATAAAGGCTTATTACCTCTACTCTAAAAAGCCTATTTACATTGATTAAACACCACACAGACACACATATACGTACACATTAAACATTGATTCAGAAATGGGTTAAAGAACCTAAAACCCTACTGAAAAGAAAACCAAATGGTTAATAAACTTTTGGAGGAAAACAACCTCGCTGACAGCAAATAAACACAAATTAAAGCAAAATTATATTTTTCCTCTGCATAATTATCAGATACTTTAAAAACTAACATTCGCATTCCCAAACACAAATGACCATGTGGTGAGATGGTCATTTCCAGCCAGGAGGAAGGAAATCAAGACAACCATTATCTGACCCAGGAATTTCAATTGTGAAACCTGCAAAGAAACACTATATAATAGAGGCAAAGATCAAATACAAAGATATTCATGAAAGCAGTATTTACAATAGCAAAATTCTGGAAAAATCTAGAGGATTAAAAGTGGTGAAACAAGCCAGGCACAGTAGTTGTGCACCTGTAGTTCGCATGTGCTCAGAAGGCTGAGGCTCCTGGGCCCAGGGAGGATCTCTTGGGCCAGGAGCTCAGGGCTGTAGTATGCCATGCTTGCACCTGTGAATAGCCACTGCAAACCAGCCTGGGCAACATAGCGAGACCCCATCTCTTCCAAAAAAAAAAAAAAAAAAAAAAAAGGAGAAATAGCCCATTCAATTATGATACATCCACAAAATTAATTATTATATAGTCTTTAAAACATATGCTTGAAGAATATTTACAAAGACAGAAGACTGCAAATAATACAATATTAAATAAATAAAAACAAGAAGAGTCTAATCTGAACTAGGCATGGTAATATGCATGGAAGGTGAAAAATATTAATATCAAGAATATTTTTCTCTGAGTGGTAGGATTATAGCTGAATTTTATCCTCTAAACTATACTTTTATGGATTATCTTTTTTATCAACATAAAGATATTCTACCTTTAGAATTAGAAAAAAATTTTAAATGAAACAGATTTCACAGAAGACTGAAGGAAAGAAAGACTTAATAGAAAAGTTGGGATAAAATATACTTTTCGGGGTTGTCATTAATCAAACAGAAGAATGAAGTCTTAGTAAATAAAGTATTAGAAAAAAGAGCAAATGTTAACAGTATCTGAAAAAAAAAAAACATAGAGGTAGCATTTTTTAAAAACAGAATGCATTCTTATTCCCCTATTAAAAAAAAATCCACAGCTCTGAATAACCTTATAGGGTCCATTCATTCCAAAATTATCTCATTAAAATTTGTATCTTAAAATTCAATCTGAAATTTGACAAGGGATCTTTTCAGTTTTAGTTCCTAATCCACATAGCTATGAAAGAGGAACAAACCTGAAAAAAATGAGAAAATACAAAGCATTATGGCATTAGCACTGTCCTTACCATGAATATAAACTAAAGTTACTGATAATAAATGGACTTTTCAATAAATCAGCCAAATACAGAGTCACCGACCACGGTAATAAATCATCTGCTATGAAAAGGCTGAATTTATTGAAGAAAAAAAAAGAAAACAAAAAACCTTTCTGGATGGTCAGAAGAAAAAACTACCCAAGCTCTTAGGGAAGCCCTTTTTCATAGTATGTACAGGTAGAGTAATCATTTTGACTATCTAAAACAAATTCAAACATTTAGAACAAAGACAATGGTTGTGCTTACAGATCTAGATCTACAGACTTAACATCTGCACATGCTCATTGGAAATCTACAAGGCAGTGTCAACAGAAATATTAACATCCTTTGCAGTCATCTTACAGCACTGCTTTATAAAATTACATCAGATCTCTATCTAAAGCAAGTATTAGAGCTATCCATAGATGCAGTAAAAGAGAATGTGAAGGAAAAGTAAGAAAATTCAAGCAAACCTATTACTTTTCTTTTAAGCTCAAATATATTTCTTAAGGCTAAACATCAGAAGCAAGATGCTTGGATACCAACACTTTCCTTTATGACTTTAGCTTTCTATCTAGCTCCAGAGGGAAAATCATGTTTACAAGAACCACGAGACATGTGAAAAGCAATAACCAAGATAAATGAAAAAAAAAATGCCGGGTTAAGTTTTAGTCAGAACTTTATTGCAAAGGTAGTTTGTTTTATGAGATGAAGAAATCTACTTCTCGTCTTCTCTAGCGTTACATATTGAAAAACGAAAACATGATTAAACTATTCTTTTAATGTCATCTTATTTATAAAGAGCTTAAGGAAAACAATCTGCATGCAGACTGAGCACACTACAGAGATGGTGCATAGTGTGGAACCCAATGTCAAAAACTAAAGTTCAATTTCCAGTGCTAATCAAGTTTCTGAAACAGGAGCTCTGTTGATTTCCCTACGAGCCACATGACTTTGTTTTATAGTCTTGATGCAAAATTTCCTAAAATTTTGAAGCCAATTTTTTTAAAAAGTAGAAAATAAAAAAACAAAACAAAACGCTAGAGATAATTAATGTTCATCCATTATTCATTCCAAAAGAAAGGGAAAAATTCGTGGGTCAGAGATTGATTACTTTTATAGCATGTTCTTATACAGAGGAAATGAGACTTGGCATAAAGTAGGAAGGGGCACAACAGATTTATAAAAATCAAATACACGTGTGATATTTAGACTTGCCTTTGATAGTTCAATTTTCAGCTATTCATATATAGAAAGCAGAAAGCAAACTTGTCTGTATATTAGAATCACTTAAAGATATTTTTTAAATGCCAAAGCCCAAACCACACCCCCAAACAATTAGATCACAATCTTTGGGGGTGACAGCAGGCATTCAGGATTTCTTGATGCTCTCCAAGTTTGGGAATCATTGACGTAAAGTACAGAAAACAAACAAATTCTTCTACCTTCTTTCAGATTTCTCATTGGGATTATCCCAGAGAACTGAAGGGGGAGAAAAAGATAAAGGGAAAAGGAAAGAGTTGGGAAAAAATTACTAAACCAATGCATTAATCTACATCTGCTTTTTAAAGCAAATCATTTACACACATACTCACTGCTGTTTCTGAAGCTGGCTCAACAAAATGCTGAAAAAAAATCATTATAGAGGTACATGGCATATTATGCTGACATGAGTTTCTACAGCAGAGCCCCAGTCCTTTAAGAAGGATTTGGGTGAGAGAGCAGAAGACAGATTATTCTCATAAACACAAAAAAAGGTATGCAGATTCCAAGGTGACTACCACAGCTTTCTAGTGACAAATCGCCAGCAATCGGAGATGTTTGAAATGTGAACTTGCTTAACCTTGCCTACTTTAATGGTTTATTTTAATAAGGGGAAGGATATTAAAACTCTCTATTAAGTTCAAACATGGAAGAAGAGGGCAAGAAAAAAATCCTAAACCCTGTAATTCCAACTTTTTTTAAAAAAGACTCACTGTAGCTAATTTCCTAATTTTACATATTATTTAAACATAGTCCAAAAGATTTTAGTTGCTACATAGCATTTTATTCTCCTTCTGTCCCGTATTTCTTTTTTAAAGAAATGATTTAAGGTACATGCATTCCATTTGTACCATTGGTTCATGACATTCAAAGAGTTCATCATGCACACAGGATCACCTGTGTACTTAGCTTAACTCTGTAGAAATCTCTCATCCCTAGGAAAGAACCTAGATTATTTTTATGCCATCCAAATGGGAGACTGTCCCAGATACCAGATGATGAAGGGGCCCCTGAGGGACCATAATGCTAACGTGCTATGAGCACTACAAAATTTGACTTCAAAGATGCCTCTCAGTTTGGCAGGGCCTCCACATATGTCTGTGAATAATAAAGATGTGGTTGTCATTGGTGGTGGAAGCAAAGGGCGCGTGTCCTTGTGAATGTGACCACATTAGATTTAAGATAGAAGAAAGTCCTTTACAAGAAAACCAGAAAAAATGGTGTATCAATTTATGTGCTACAGACATGGTTGTGCTTCATTACTGTAGCATAGGATTAAAAACATAAATCTTGACCACTCTTCAGAGAGCCAGGGTTGAGCTACATAACATTTTTTCCTTAGTGCTGGCTTTTTGGCATTTTGGTCATTTCAACAATATTCGTTGGCCAACCTTCAACAAGTCACCACTTAACTAACTTTATTTATTTATTTATTTTTAGGAGCACATAAAGGTGAAGGGAATACTTCTTTTCCAAAACAGATATGCTGGAGATTAACTTTAGAGTTGTTCTATTTCATCCTAAATTTTCCACTGCTTCTGTCCTGCAGTGAAGTCACAATACATCTGTGACAGAATAACTCCCATGGCAACAGGCTGACATCATAAACACCAGATTAAGACTTGGCTGCAAAGCCAAAGGAGATGATGGGCTGGGAAGGAAGAGGCTATAATTCAAACAAATCTCTGCCATAATAGCTATGGGAATACTAAACATTACTGGCCAAGTAAATTGCTTTCTGTATAAGCGTTCTCTTTTTTTTTTTTGAAGTTTGCCCCAGTGTGAAAGTCTCTCTGTAAGTCAAAACCTTAGCATTATTTTAATGTACTGTGCTGTATTTAATAATCTTATGCTTCAGACATTAGTCTGTTACCATGGGAATGACAGCAGCATAAATACAGGATTATGGCTATCAAGCAGGAGAAAAGAAATTATGAATAAGCCTCGTTATGTTCAATAATTAGCAGCTACATGGAAAAAAACAAAACCATGAATTTAGGTTGATGCATTTATCTCAGTGTTTGAATACAACTCTGAGTGTGTTATTGCTTTAAAATGAGATTCTAACAAACTGCCAAAAACTTCTTGACTAGCAGTTGTTACTCAGTGCTATAATTTAAAAATTCATCCTGTCCATCTCTTTTTTCTCCTATTTATATTCTTCCCCAGCAGAAGATTGGTAACTAATGGGTAATACACAACATTCCAAGATAGATTCTGGTATCTTGAGCCAACATATCAGGAGAATGGTACAGAAAAACTGAACATTACCAGCCCCTCTACCTTAGCTAACTGCAAAATGAACAACTTCCAAGGACTTGCTGCTACTCTCCCACAAAATGAAAAGTCTATGTATCAAGATGTAGAATAGTACAGCTAAGCACAAGGCTCCTCCCCAGTCAAAGAGGAGCAGAGAGTGAAGATCACTATCAGTAAAAGCGCTGGCCTAGAGTTCCATCACTAAACTGATATGTAACCCAAGGCAGGTCTTCTTTCTTTGAGTTTCAGTCTCATCATCTTTGAAGTGAGAATAACAGAGCATAAAAGTCAAACTTGAACCAACACATGATCTGTATAGCTCATTTTTTTATTCTCAATGACAATAGAGACATTGTACTCTATCAGTTACGTTAATGACTAGGAAGTGTACCATACAGTTGGAACTCTTAACAGGCATGCACCCCTTTGCTAATTGTAGAACAGATTAACAAAATGGTGGATAAAAATTTTGAGACTAGCAAAGATGGTTAAAACAATACCTCCCTAAACCCAGAGACTACATCCAAATATTGAAGAAAGTACTGCAGCAATGCCACAGCATCAAGTCTTCCCTGAATATTTGGGGAAATGGGCACATCGCCATACTTTTGGCATCCTATGGAATCACTCACCCTCTCTACAAGAGTATCATTACTCATTTTCCCATCCAAATCAGATGACAAGAACGAAATCTTAATCTACTCATAAACCAGTAAACACTTGACTAAGATCAACAGCTCCTTGGTACTTTCAAATTTCCTTAATCCCCTCTTCCGTGAGGTTTCTGCATTCAATGGCAGTGGCACAACACATCATTGGGGGAAAGTAATTTTAGAACGTGCCATCCAAATTAACTGGTCGTGAATAGGCTCTGATTAAAATATAAAAGGCTTTTAAAATAATTTAAAATGATTCACTGGAACTAATTTGGAGATATTTTAATCTCTGAATGTGCAATGAACTGTAGTCTCCCTTGGCCCCAGCATCTCCTTAGAGAGGAACATTTCTTGTCAGGCCTTATGCCACTGGATTAGAGGTATTTGAGCCATATGAACTAAAATGGCCATGCCTGAATCTCCCCCTGACTTTTCTGACTTGTGTCTCTCCAACTTAAGCATGGTTCTCTTCCACGTTCCAAACCAAATTGTATATACTTCCCCTCTCAGTGAATATTGCTCATCTGTTTACTAGGCCAGATAGCTAGATAATTCTAAACACAACAATGTGACAATTATTTAAAGAATCACATGAGATCAAACAATCTCAGCTTACATTCTTTAGTCATTTGTTTAAATTCCATTTTAGATTAAACAAAACAATATTTTCCCAACCTAATATTCTAACATATTTATTTACAGGGATTCCACTAAGGCCACTTGTGAAACAATATCTAAGCCACATTTAACTAGGCTCTTTTAATGTGACTATGACATTCAAGAAGATGGCTGATGCTTTAAAAAGTGCCTACTTAGACCCACTACAGATTCCTTTACAAAATCCTTTGGTGCCTGGTCTCCAAGATTTCCTGAATCTCAGCCAAAGACCCTTCAGATAACAGGAGGGAGAGTTAGTCTCTATTTTTATATGTTCTAGACATTGTTGTTTCTTTCTGAGCCATGGGATAGAGCTGGAAAGAAGAAATGAGCAACAAAATCTATATATTGGAGCACTGTGATAAGGATAGATATTCCCTGATTTAATCTTCCCAACAATCTGATACGTAGTTATTATTACACCTATTGAGTAAATGAGGAAATAGAAGAAGAAAAAGATATCCAACTGAGTTATCACACAGTAATGAAAAAGTGAAATTCAAACCTAATACAACTCCAAAACCCAAGTTCTTTCTGTTGTATCCTTACGAAAATCCAGTCTTCTTGAAAGTTGGAAGCTGGTCCTTTTATTCTTCTGTGCAATCTCAGAGACTACACATACAAAGAGTTCTTAACAAAACACGTATATCAAGTAAAAGAAGCAAAGTGTTTACAAGAAATTATCTAGTTTCTTTTGTCAAGCCAATCCCCTGGCCCAGACCAGACCAGAACAGAGCACACATGAGAAGTATGACTTACTGCTACAGCATCAGAGAAGAGGAATGAAACCCTCAAAATCCATCCATTTTGAAGCTGATGTATCCAAGCATAAGATTGTCACTTACCTAAAAGAAATATGAGAGAAAACACCATTATTGTAAATGTAGACATTCACCTCTCAGAAACTTTACCTACTAATATATTAAAACACACTTTAATTTTATAGTCAATGTATCCTGAGCACCATAGTATAAAAAGAGCTGTTTTTTTTCATCTTTCAATTTTTCAAAGCCATCCTCATTCTTTTTTTAACAGAGTATTTAAATTCCAGTCTTTTTTCTCACCTTTACCTGGAACAGTCTAACTTTTTGTGATGATAAAACATCTTTAAAATTCATGTATCTTCTCTCCAGAAAAATCACATATAGAAACCCTCTTTCACATAGCGTTAGCCAGTTCACAGTCCACCTGCGGTCTACCCACTGACCTATATGATGAACATGACATGAGAGCAGGCTGTAGGATATCCCTGAATCTTACACATGCTGCATAATTTGCTTTAGAAGCCCACAAAAACTTTAAATTTCCAGAAATGTGTGATGTACATACAAAATTCTGCACCCAGCCTATATAAAATGCTCATTCTTTTTCAGAATAAATGACATATCAACAAAGAATTGGTCGATACTAGGTGGCAAAGAAAGTCTCTAGAAATAGCAAAGAAATGCTAGCTACTTAGATGCCAACTAGGTCTGTTGGCTATAAAAACTTAAACAAATTAAAAACAAACAGACCAAATAATTACCAAGAAAACCTAAAAAAGAAAAACAGTGTACGTGTGTGTCTGTGTTCTACATCAGGATAGGGAAGAGGCAGGCACAACCAGATATTTCAAAATATTATACAGCTTCTACAAGTGAAAGAGTGTGGTTTTGCTGCGTGAAGAAACAGAATAGAATAAAACAAAAAGCTCAGAAAGTGAAAAAAGTATACATAGAAAATTGGTATATGATGAGACGTCACATCTCAAATCAATGTGGGAAAAGATGGCCTTTTTAATAAATGATATTTGGACAACTGGACAGCCAATGGAAAAAAATTAAATTGCATTCATACTTCACATTATATATCAGAATACTGTCAAAATCAGACCTACATATATATATGGTGGTGATATATATATATATATAATATATATATATATCTCTCATATATATAATATATATCTTTTATATATATGTATCATATATATGTGTGTGTGTGTGTGTGTGTGTATATATATATATATATATATATATATATATATATATATATATATGCTTATTTGCTGGTGATATATATAAGCATGTAAAAAGATGCTCCACATCAGATTTCATCAGGGAAATGCAAATTAAACAACAATGATGTATCACTGTATGCCTATTAGAATGGCCAAAATCCAGAACACCAATAACACCAAATGCTGGGGAGGGTGTGGAGCAGTAGGAATGCTCAGTTACTGCTGGCAGGAAGGCAAAATAGTACAGCCACTTTTGAAGACAGTTTGGCAGTTTCTTAAAAAAATAAACATACTCTTACCATACAATTCAGCAATAATGCTCCTTGGTATTTACCCAAGAGTTGAAAACTTATGTCCACACAAAAACCCGCACGCAGATGTTTATGACAGCTTCATTCGTAATTGCCAAAACTTGTAGGCAACCAAAATGTCCTTCACTAGGTGAATCAATAAACAAACTGTGGTATACACAGACAATAGAATAGTATTCAGCGTTAAAAAGCAATGAGCTATCAAGCCATGAAAAGACATAAAGGAACCTTAAATTCATATTAATAAATGAAGAAGCCAAACTGAAAAAGCAACCATACTGCATGATTCCAGCTATATAACATCCTGGAAAAGACAAAACTACAGAGACAGTAAAAAGATCAGGGGTTGGCCAGGCGCGGTGGCCCACGCCTGTAATCCCAGCACTTTGGGAGGCCGAGGCGGGTGGATCACGAGGTCAGGAGTTTCAGACCAGCCTGGCCAACATGGTGAAACCCCATTTCTACTAAAAACACAACAATTTAGCCAGGCATGGTGGCGCACGCCTGTAGTCCCAGCTACACAGGAGGCTGAGGCAGAAGAATCGCTTGAACCCGGGAGGCGGAGGTTGCAGCGAGCCGAGATTGTGCCACTGTACTCCAGCCTAGGTGACAGAGCAAGATTCCATCTCAGCAACAACAACAACAAAAAGATCAGGGGTTGCCAGGGATATAAGGGAAGAAGGAATGAACTGGCAGAAGGCAGATGATGTTTAAGGCAGGGAAAATACTGTATAATGATGAATATGTGTCATTATACCTTTGTTGAAACCGACAGAATGGACAACACCAAGAGTGAACCCTGATGTAAACCATGGACTTTGGGTGATAACGGTGTGTCAGTGTAGGTTCATCAACTGCAACAAATGTACCACGCTGGTAGAGGATGTTGACAACAGGGAAGGCTATGCATGTATGGGGACAAGGAAATCTCTGTACCTTCTTTTTAATTTTGCTGTGAATTTAAAACTGCTACAAAAAATTAAGTCTTTTTTAAGAAAAAGCCCAACACCCCCACAAAAAAAAACCCACATAACTTTTGAAAGAAAACTTGAAGTCTGTTATAAAGTTAGAGAAAAGGCAGATCCAGAAATAATAAAAAATAACTTTGTGTACATAAAAATGTATTTTATAAAAACCCTTGTGCATAGCAAAATAAAACAAAATGCCATCAGCCAAAAGACAAATGATATACTTGGAAAAACAATGTTCGCAACCTATCACAGACAAGGGAATTATAATGCCTAACATATAAAAAGCTCCTAAGGTCCAGGTACGGTGGCTCACACCTGTAATACCAGCACTTTGGGAGGCTAAGGTGGACAGATCATGAGGTCTGGAGGTCGAGACCAGCCTAGCCAATATGGTGAAACCCTGTCTCTACTACAAATACAAAAATTAGCTGGGTGTGGTGGTGCGTGCCTGTAGTCGCAGCTACTCAGGAGGCTGAGGCAGAAGAATAGCTTGAACCCGGGAGGCGGAGGTTGCAGTGAGCCAAGATCATGCCACTGCCCTCCAGCCTGGGCGATAGAGTGAGACTCTGTCTCAAAAACAAAACAAAACAAAACAAAACAAAAAAGCTTCTAAGAAATCTAAAAGAAAAATACCAGCATTCCCACAGAAAAATAGGCAAAGGACATAAACAGGGAGTATACAGAAGAATAAGCAAAAATGGCTCAAAACATGTGAACTGATGCTCAACTTTATTCATAATAAGAGACATAACATTTTTTTTTTCACTGATCAGATTGGCAAAACTCCAAGTTTGACTACATACTCCGTTTATGAGGCTGAGGGGAAATAGCACCTTTGTATGTTACTGGTGAGAAGGCAAAAGGGTATAAAACTCTAAATGAAGGGAGTTAGGTGCTAGCAGAGATGTAGAAGTAGATTTATAAATCAGTACAGAGGTAAACATAACTCACTAGAGAAATGATGGACTCTTCAATAAATGGTACTGATAGAACTGCAACTAACAAATGTGGAAAGGATGATGGGAATAGAAATCATTTAGCAAACACCATAGGAAAGAATGCATGCTAAAATTACAAAGAGAAAAACAGTAACTTCACTGTGGAGAAACGTGGCAGACACCACCTTAGCCAAATGATTGAAGTTAACGTTGCCAATAACAGGATAAATGGGTATTATAGACTTCCTCATACGTTACACTGAGGACACAAATCACATTCTTGCAAACAAATGCATAACAAATTCAACCATGAGAAAATATCAAAAAAATCCAAACTGAGGGACATTCTTCAAAATATCTGGCCAGTACTCTTCAAAACTATCAAGGAAGGTCATAAAAGACAAAGGTGGAACTGAAAAACAGTCACAGATTAAAGAGACATCACTAGTCAATGCAATGTGTAATCCTGAATCGAATCCTGGAGCAGCAAAAGGTTGTTAGTGAGAACAACTAAGAAAATTTGAATAAAGTCTGGAGATTAGATAATAGTACTGAACCACTGCAAACTTTCTGACTTGATGGTTCTACAGTGGTTATGTAAGATGTTAACATTTGGAGAATCTAGATGAAACGTCTATGGGAATTTTTGGCATTGTTTTTGCAATTTTTTTTTTGGTAAGTCTGAAAATAGTTAATTTTTTTGTTTTTAATTTTTTTTGTTTTTCTTGAGACGGAGTCTCCCTCTGTCATACAGGCTGGAGTTCAGTGGCGCTATCTCGGCTTACTGCAACCTCCACCTCCTGGGTTCAAGCAGTTCTCCTGCCTCAGCCTCCCAAGTAGCTAGGACTACAGGTGTGTGCCATCATACCTGGCTAATTTTTGTATTTTTAGTAGAGACAGGGTTTCACCATGTTGGCCAGGCTGGTCTCGAACTCCTGACCTCAAGTGATCTGCCCTCCACAGCCTCCCATAGTGCTGGGATTACAGACATGAGACATTGTGCCCGGCCTGAAATTAGTTTTTTAAAGTTCAAATTGGTTTTAAAATTTCAAAAACAAAAGTCAGTTTTTAGAAAAAAAAAAAGTATTTTTTTATGTGTGTTTTTCAAAGCAGCATGGAAACAACCAGATATCCTCATAGAAAAAAAATAAAATTAGGCTGGGCACAGTTGCTCACGCCTGTAATCCCAACACCCTGGGAGGCTGAGGCGGGCAGATCACTTGAGGTCAGATGTTCGAGACCAGCCTGGCCAACATGGTAAAACCCTGTCTCTATGAAAAATACAAAAATTAGCTGGGTGTGGTGATGCACACTTGTACTCCCAGATACTTGGGAGGCTGAGGCAGGAGAATTGCTTGAACCCAGGAGGTGGAGGTTGCAGTGAGCCAAGATCATGCCACTCCACTCCAGCCTGGGCGACAGAGCAAGAATCTGTCTCGGAAAAAAAAAAAAAAAAAAAATATATATATATATATATATATATATATATATATATATATATGGCCCATTTGCATATCATACACAAAAATTCCAGATAGGTTAACAAAAGTAAAACGCAAACTTTTAGAAGAAAAAAAGAGAAAGGGAGAGAAAGTACCTTTTATGACCTCAGAAGTAGGAAAGGCTTTTTAAATAAGCAAAAAGCAAAACCATAAAGGAAAAGATTGAGTTTGCCTGCATTAAAATTAATATAAAAGTTTTATAAAACAAAAAATAACATAAATAAAAATAAAAAAAAACAAGCCATATACTTAATTGCATATAACCCGCAAGGATTAGTATTCAGAACATAAAGAATTTCCACATTTCCACATTATCAAGAAGGCCAGGCACTGTGGTGCACGCCTGTGGTCTCAGTTATTTGGGAGGCTGAGTTGCGGGGATCACTTGAGCCCCCGAGGTCAAGACTGCAGTGAGACACTCCAGCCTGGGCAACAGAACAAGACCCTGCCTCAGGAAAAAAAAAAAAAAAAAAAAGACAAAACAAAATAATCCAATAGAAAAACAGCAAAGGATTCGGCATTAGGAAACTGAGAGAAGAGAAAACTCAACAGGCCAATAAATGTGAAATGATTCTCAACCTTACAAGTCAGTGAAATGCAGATTTTTGTTGTTGTTAAAGAGTCAGTGTCTCACTATGTTGCCCAGGTTGGTCTCAAACTCCTAGGCTCAAGCAATCCTCTCACCTCAGTCTCTCAAGTAGCTTGGACTACAGGCATGCAATCCTGGCTAATTTATTTTTATTTTTTTAAAGACGGGGTCTTGCTGTTGCCCATGCTGGTCTCAAACTCCTGGCCTCAAGCCAACTTCCTACCTCGGCTTCCTAAGTAGCTGGGATTACAGGTGCAAGCCAGTGTGTCCAGCAGAAATGCAGATTAAAACAAGAAGGTATGTTTTCACTACCATCAAATCAATGAAAATTTTATTTTCTGGCAATACCAGTACTGGAATTGAAGAAGATACGAAGCTATGAGAGTTCTCCCACAGCACCTATGCTACCAGCCATGAGCACAATCACGTGGGAGAGCTTTATCCAAGAAAGCCAAAGATGTCCAAAGCAACTCCACTTCCAGGTGTTACCCTAGAGAAATTCCTACCCACATTCAAAAGTAGAAGGCACACAGAAAGACACATATAAGAATGGTCATCCTTTCACTGGATGTAACAGTCTACTGCAAACAAGAAAGAGTCCATCAACAGGAGAATAAATAAATAAACAGCGATATTCACAAAACATAAAATATATATAGCAGTGAAAATAAGTGTACCAGAGCCACAGGCATCAAGATGAATCTCACCAATGAGTATGAAGGTAAAAAGCAAATTTCAGAATACAACAGCATAACAGCATTTATATCATTATGTTTAATATTTTATCTAAAACATGCAAAAATACTACACCCTACAGACAAACATGTTCGTAGGAAGATGACTGAAATGGACATGGGATTGATAAACAGTAAATTCAGGATTATAGTTCAATCCTAGGAGGAAGGATAAGGAGTAAGGTGAGGGAGGGGGCAGACACGAGAGAGGACGTCCAAACACGGCATAGTGTTAAGATGTGACAAAGCTAGGCGTGGTTCTATAAGCTTTTCTATATATGTGAAATATACAACTTCAAAAGGCATCTGCATCATAAAATGTAGGCCTTTACTCTTAAATGATTCTTCAATTAGCTTTTGCTTAACTTTGGTTTCTTCAGTTTTCTCATGGGGATATTTCTTTTCTCCTTGACTTTATATTGGTATAAAAATGTAAATGGTATCTTTAGACCCCATATGCTAAAATTAGGGCTGCCTTTTTGTTTCCTTAAAAATATCCAAATACTTCCTCCCTCATTATTCATATATTCACTCGCTTCCTTAAGGATTTCTATTCAGAAAAATTTTAACCAAATCCCTCTGGAGTATGCTAGACCCCAGAATATATAAAAGATGTTAAGATGTTTTAAAGAGGTTTGATTTTTAAAACAAAACAATTAAAAAAAATCCAGATCATTTAAGATGCCTTTACTGAAGATTAAACTAACAAAATCCCATTTCCATAATAAATTTAAAGAATAAATACATGTGAAATATACACTTTTAAAAGGCATCTGCATTACAAAATATTTATAAATATTATATATTATATTTATACATTATAATTATATAATGTAATACTTATATAATTACATAATATTATATACCTTATTATAATAAATAATAAAATATTTATAAAGAATAAATATTAGGTTATATATTACTAAGCAATTTGTATGTTAAGAAGTGATATGGCCAGGCGCTGTGGCTCACGCCTCTAATCCCAGCACTTTCGGAGGCCGAGGCAGGTGGATCACCTGAGGTCAGGAGTTCAAGGCCACCCTGGCCAACATGGTGAAACCCCATCTCAACTAAACATACAAAAAAATTAGCTGGGCATGGTGGTGGGTGCCTGTAATCCCAGCTACTTCAGGAGGCTGAGGCAGGAGAATCACTTGAACCTGGGAGGTGGAGGTTGCAGTGAGCCGAGATTATGCCATTGCACTCCAGCCTGGGCAACAAGAGTGAAACTCTGTCTTAAAAAAAAAAAAAAGAAAAAAAGTGATATATAGTCATAAAATGCCCCCACAGTTGAAGCATGGTAAAATGTAATCATCTAGTGTCGGGTGTATGTACAAGAGAGGCACTTTCCCATATCACACTAAAGTATTAAGTGTGATTGCTGCTGAATTTCACCAGGATTAACTGTAATGATTCACTACCTGAAAGATCAACATACTCTAGCCATAGACATGCTACAGAGGTTTGGGCGAAGGCTAAAAAAGACCCCATTCACCTCTTCGCTGAACTTTTCCAAGACTGCGGGTGCTATTGGTTGATAATGTTAACAATGAATCCATTTCTCTGAAATATTAATTTCACAAGGCAAAATAATTTAGTTCTATGGTTCCCTAACCTTGGCTTTTGGTCTTTGAAGCTGAACCGCTGGATGAGTTCAATGCAAATCTACCATCACCATAAGGAGAAAGAACCAAAGCACAGGTATGGTGTGTGGGCCAGCAGCATCTTGGTATAGAAAGGCTGGAGCATTTGTTTTCATTAAGTGCTGCCAAAATGCCTAGATATGCACCCAACAATCTGATATTCCACATTAGGAAGGTTTCAAAAATCCAGCCAAGAGGACCACTTTTATTTCAAATTTAACTTCGAAAGGATGAGCTATCATGTAAAGGCAGAGTTGGCCAGGAACGGTGGCTCATGCCTGTAATCCCAACACTTTGGGAGGCAGAGGCAGGAAGATTGCCTGGGCA
This sequence comes from Homo sapiens, assembly GCF_000001405.40. Lineage (NCBI taxonomy): Eukaryota > Metazoa > Chordata > Mammalia > Primates > Hominidae > Homo > Homo sapiens. Next base: position 115,407,683 of record NC_000011.10, read on the forward strand.
ACATAGTGAGACCCTGTCTCTACAGATAATTTAAAAATTAGCTAGGTATGGTGGTGTGTGCCGTTTGGTCCTAGCAACTTGGGAAGCCAAGGAAGGAGGGTCACCTGAGCCTGGGGGGGTTCGAGGCTGCAGTGAGCCATACCATCGCACTCCAGCTTGGGTGACAGAAGGAAAGTAAGACCCTGTCATTTAAAAAAAAAAAAAAAAAAAAAAAAAAAAAAAAAGGCAGAGTTGAGTTGAGTTTTTGTGTATTGAAGAAAGGTAAGCAATTTTAAATGCCAAAAAAGCTCCTTAATTATCAAATTCCTAAAAAGTCTTCTTGCTCTAAAAGGGCTGGGTGTTGGGGGGTGGTAGTAATTTGCCTGTAGGCTCAGAAACTAAATGACAAGTTTCAAGTTTCAGCCCTAAGCAAATTTTCAGTCAAACAGAGCCGTTTTAAAAAAAAACTCTAAAGGAGGTGGTAAATGTTGGTATTGGCAACAGCTTAAACAAAAGCCCCACTCTTTCTTATTTTTACATGTGAACACTGGAAATGAGAATGGAATGACGTCCCCCTTAAAAAATAGTAACACTCCAATGTATTAACTTTCCTCTGCCTAAAGGAAATGTGTCATTTTTAGTTCTTCAAACAATTTTTCCCCCAAGCACAACAGCTCATTTCTTTATACTACAGCTAGTTGGCTGTCCCTGATCAGTTTAAATCCCTGCACAGTTCAAGATCTGGGACTGAAACCAAAAGGAATAAATCAATGAAGGCCTGGATTTCTATCCCACTATGCAGGCCAGCACTCTTCAAAGATGTGGAGCGGCCAAAAGCTGTGGAGAAGTTCCCAACTGTGTTGGTTACTGACCTAAAATCACATGACATAGGAAGGATATGCCCCCATCCCAATCCTGAGAAATCTCATTTAGTCCTGCTTTTACTATGCCATATTACATTACAAAGGTTCTACATAGCCCCTCCTCCTAGTACTTATTCATAATCAACTCTACTCCAAGAAAATTAGTTAAGACATCCATTTCTTATGTGAAAGGGCTCCTAAATAGTCCAAATCTTGAGCTAAAAGAAGCCAATGTTATTTCATCACACAGAAGCCAGGGGCAGAGGGGGAGATGTTGGCCAGAAAAATACTTATTCCAACAGAAAAGTTACATTTTTGATAGTGTTCCAAAAAGAGAATATTGGCAGGAACCTCAAGATTTTGTGCTTTCTGCTGCTACTGGAATGAAATAGATTTTCGTTTTAATCCGGTAATATGAAATAAACCAAAAGCATACAGATTGGCAAATACCAACTCTAGTTGCACAGTGTCACATGTCACACATCATCAGCCCAAGGAGGTCAAAAAGGGAGCCCAGGCAGCTATAACGTATATGAAGAGATGAACAATGAACATTTTTAAAATCCTGATCTAGTGAGAAGGCATAAAGGAATCCACCTGTGCAGGAGACTTCAAAAGCCAGATAAGAAAGAAGAAAGAGGCTTAAATGGAAAATTCATCAACAAGTCAAGAATATAATAAAGCACAACTCCAATTTCTACAAGAACACTGGCATTTCAGGCACTCAAAGAAGACATCACAACACCTCTCTACATAACACACAAAGACAATGTAAAATCCATGCAGCACAGAGTCACTTTAGCAACTGCCAGGTAGCGCTAATCCTCAAAGGAGATTTCTTAAGAATTCCCGTTCTTCACTTTATCCCTTATTTTTCGTTTTTTTTGTTTTGTTTTGTCTTTCTTTTCTTTCATTGTTAAATATTAGCATACCAAAGAAAGGAATGTTGAGAAACAATCTTCATTCATTCACTCAAGGGGCTGAATCTAGTCCTCTTGAATCCAAGTGGCCCACCAAGATAAAAGACATAGGAATTATGGGTTTTTAATGAAGCAGTAACCCAACTAAGTAACTGGAGAAAAGTTCAGGAAAGGTGCTGAAATCTGACCTGGTGGTCAAAATAATCCACGGAGAATGCATGCAGTTTTAAGGAATCTGGGTTCCTTGACCCTCAAGACGATCTTCCTCAGCAAATGCTTCCATAAGCTTGAAGAAAAAAAAAAAAAAATTCCACTGCCTGCTCCCAGATATATAGCATTAGGGCAGGGATAAATTTCAAGCTGGCAAAAGTCCAAACCCAACAGTTGCAGCTGTAGTAGCTGCCTTGTTTACAAAGCAATTCAGGAAGCTTTTAGAGGGCAGAGTGCACCAGACAGAAGGGGGTCTGTACGCAAAACATGGATGCATCCCAATGCTTTCAGAACAGACAACACATCTGTTCCCAGGTCCCCCTTGGAAACATGCCGCATACAAATCCAAGTCAACCTTTACTGCTCATGTTTTTTCAGGAAAACATATCTACTTAAGCACTCAAATCAAAATTATACACTGTTAGTTATTGGGCCCTTGGGCCATCCCCAACATCCTAACCAGAACACTGAATACAACATGCTGCACAATGTTTTGAGCAGACTCAAATCAACTATGACCTGAACCTCTCTGCCCATTAACGATGCTAAGCCTAAGTGTGTCTTCTATTACCCTTTTAAGACTCTTACAAATTGTGCTTCTTAGCTTCTCTCCGATAACATCTATGTCCTGGACAATTATGTGGGTAAAGGACACATCGGAAAATTAACCTGTGTTATCCTCATTATTCCCTCACACTGAGATTTCAATAACGTAACTTACTTCTATTCCCCTTTAGTCCTCTATAATGTTGTACCCTTGCCATTTTCATTTTCTTGCATTGTTTAATTTAGAATTCCTCTCTAAGAAAAATAAACAAAGTCTAGAGGCAGAATGGGAGGGTGGGGGGAAGAGCAACAGAATAAATGCTGAAAAGGAAGCAGAGGGTGCATTATGTCTGTTTACAGAGCTTTAAAAAATGTGAAATGATGAGATGGACAAGAACATGACATACAGATGACGGCAAAAAAAGCAGAAAGGTGCTCTTCGATGTTTAAAAAAAGGGAAATTTAGCTAAGAAGGAAAGTAACCAAACACATAAGAGACAGAAGAGAAAAAGGTTATTTAACAGATGAGTTTAACATGGAGCTTAACACATTTAATAAACAAACAAACAAATGAGTAAAATCTGTGCATTCCAGGGTGTGGCTGGCATACAGCAGTGTTGCTCGCATACACAGAACCATGACAAACTTTTCTTCTATGGGTTCTCTGGGTGGAGTATTTGATATAGCCACAGTAAAAAACAATCATAATCCATTTGCTGCCATGACCATAAAAAGGATTCTTAAATGAAAAAGCATATATACCCTGGTGACAAACCACCGTAGATTTACAGTGTGAGAAAATATTCAGCATAAAATCCTAACTGTGTCTTTGTGTAAGCAGCACCTATACAATAAATCAGCATAGAGCCCAGCTCTGCCATGACTCTATGTAATTACACATATTAATTACATGTTTAATCACATATATTAATAACACCCAGTCTATAATTACAATGTATTCATGTAAACCTAATCAAGGAAAACTAGAGGATTTGCATAAAACTTGTAATGAAAAATATAACGACTACACTAACAAGATAGGGAGATGAATGCATGTCTGTGACAAACTGTTTGTGTCAAGAAGAACAGAAAGTGATTCTCTTTCCTGAACATTATTTCAGGCCCATTTAACACAATCTGTACCACTCAATGAATGTGCAGTACCCTACACACATCAAATCAGATTTGGATAATGTTCCTGACTTCAGATAAAATTTCATTACTATATTTAGTTATGGAATGATAGGAAAGGCATAAATTTTTAAACTTAATAAAAACTGGAAATATGTTAAGAATTAGGAGAGCCTTACTACAATCTGCCACATGAAATCTAAACAGCAAAAGAAGGCCTACCCAGTAGGGACCCTGTAGAGTCTCTGACTGAATTTCACCCCTAAAATAAACAACTAAGAAAAAAGTACAATTCTTTGTGGCCAAAGAAAGTGGAAATTCTATTTTATTTTTTTTTATTATTTATTTTTTTGAGATGGAGTTTCGCTCTTGTTGCCCAGGTTGGAGTGCAATGGCACAATCTCAGTTATCAACGATTTGGGGCCTCTAATTTCAAATACCCTCACTGGTAAGCTGGAACTCCCTAAGTCAGTGGTTTTATTTCTCCAAATAGGACCAGAGTTTGATAAAAACAAATACAAAGTAAATTAAAACACAGGAAAGGCTTTGAACTCAAATAACTTAAGACTGAAATTCCCTTCATTCTAATTGCCTGGTTTTTATGAAGCACCTCTTGACAAGACTAAAAACAGAAATTTTTACAAAACCACTAATAACAGACTTCAAGATTTTTTTTTACACATAAAGCTTGAAAATATGCTAGTTCACTCTTAGCAATATATGCTTTTTATTCTCAAAACTAAGTTGATGTGAGAAAGCATAGAAACAGCTTTATAATGCGAACTTAAGCAATTAAAAAATGAATCCTGAATCTGCTTTTATAAACAGCTTTATGAAGCAAATTTAAGTATTTTAAAAAATTATTTTGAATCTGCTTTTGAGAACAGAATTTCACTCTGTTGCCCAGGTTGGAGTGCAGTGGCACAATCATGGCTCACTGCAACCTCTACCTCCCTGGTCTCAGGTGATCCTTCCACCTCAACCTCCCAAGTAGCTGGGACTAGAGGCAAGCACCACCATGCCCAGCTAATTTTTTAAAATTTTTTTAGAGATAGGATCTTGCTATGTTGCCCAGGCTAGCCTTGACTAGCCTGGTACTCGGGCTCAAGTGAAACTCTCAGCCTCCTGAAGTGTTGGGATTACAGGCGTGAGCCACTGTGCACAGCCCCTGAATCTGCTTTTTAAAAATGATTCAAAATTGCTTGTCTATATGAAGGAAAACAATGCAATCTTCCAACCAATTCTAAAATAAGGAACTTAGTATAAGACAAATTTTAGCAGTAAGACTGTACTTCTCTCTTTCCCTGAGAGATAATAATCCACAGGAGGGCTGTGCCACTTTTGTGCCGACTACCTCACTGGAGTTACAAATGCAATGTGGTTGTCAATCCAGTGAGGTCTCTAATCATTTACCATTAATCTATCCTAAGCCAATTTAAAACTACAGGTGTTTTACAAGCATCAAGGGTCTTTCCCCACTAAAGACAGCTAATAAACAGCCACGCACCATAATGGAAGAATGCAATATTTTCCACAAGAAATGATATCATTTATCTTTTCCAAAATTTTATTCACACCTCAATTACTGTTCATCTGTCACCATCACTCCTAAAACCTGAAGCAAGTAATCAACTGAAAGATAAATTCTCACTGCAATTTCACTGTATTTACACATGAGAAAAGACATTTAAAAGTACCATTTCATTCAGCCATTAAATTATTTACTTTCAGGTTTCTTCGTAAAAACCTAAAGAAATATCTGGTTTATTTACCCACAGGAGTGGGGCTGGGAATAAAGAGACACAGGAGGGAAGAGAGGGTGTGCATAAGAAGCATTTAATACACTTAAATGGTTAGAAGACCTAAACATATTTGCTCAAAAATATTATTAGTTTTTTATATATCATTCAACAGCAAACTTAGGTTTTTCCTTCAACAAATATTTCTGAGATTATTACTTCGTTGACAACAACAACAGAAGACTTAACATTCTCATGCCAACTTAAAGCAGTTTTCTTCACATTTCCTTCTTCTGCAAAACCCCTATAATATTCATAATAATTCTTAAACAAAAATCAAATCACAATAACTCCTAACATTTATTGAGTGCTTACTATGTGTCTGGCACTGTTCTAGACACTTTGTACATTAAAATCTTGAAAGAACTCTATGAGGAAGATATGATAACTGTCTCCATTATCAACACAAGAAAATTCTAGCATGGAGAGATTACAAGACTTGAAACATGATCACACAGGTAGTAAAGGGTGAAGACAGGACAAAATCCCAGGGAGTGTGGCTCCAGCTCAGTTCTTTTTTTTTTTTTTCTCTGAGACAGAGTCTTGCTCTGTCGCCCAGGCTGGAATGCAGTGGTGCAATCTTGGCTCACTGCAACCTCTGCTTCCAGGGTTTAAGTGATTCTCCTGCCTCAGCCTGTGGAGTAGCTGGGATTACAGGCACACGCCACCATGCCCAGCTAATTTTTGTATTTTTAGTAGAAATGGGGTTTCACCATGTTGGCCAGGCTGGCCTCAAACTCCTGGCTTCATGATCCACCCGCCTCGGACTCCCAAAGTGCTGGGATTACAGGTGTGAGCCACCACACCCGGCTCCAGTTCAGTTCTTAACCATTATGCTAAAATTAATCTCAAGCTGATTTCCACCATCAGTCTCATGATATCACACTCATAAGGAATAATTCCTTATGCAAATACTGCTTAAATAAGTATATACACACACACACAAAGCATACAATTGTTAATCTGTTAACTAAGGCAAATGCTGCCTTAAAATGAAGCCCTCTTCTAGAACCATTTGCTTATTTTTTGTTACATCAATTATATTTAGCCCAATGGACTTTTATTTTCATGAAAGTAGATAATTGCGGAGTAGAAAAAAAACACCCAACACTTCAACTATGTAAAGAACATCAATATGATATTTTTACTAATTCAGGGAGCCCTAGTTATCTTAATATTCATCATTTAAGCCCCCATAGTTAGAAGGCCAAAGTCATCATAAAAGTAACACAGAAACCACTTAAAAAATTAATCCCCACCCAAATTAACACAACAGTCTATCTCTGTCCACAGAGTTATATTCTTTGTAGGTCTCTGGACGATTCTATACCACATATACAAAGAAAACAGACTGCAATATAGAAGTGCAACTCTTAAAAAAAAATAATAAATAATAAATTTGTAAATCTCATCAAAGGAACAGAATTTGGTAAAATCAATGAAAGTGATGATAAGACAGCTTGAATAACAAGCCAAATCATGAGCCAAAGAGTTTCTAGTAAAGTTAGACCAAAGAACCACTAGAACGGAAAAGTCACAAGAATAAATTCAGGCTAAACACTTACAATAAAGGGAAGGACACTGTGGCATTTGTCATCCAACTTGTCAGAAAAATTGCCCTGGAAAACAATCAACACTTCATTCTTGCTCATTCTAAGAATTGGCACATAGATGCAATTATAGTTTAAATGTTGTTAAATATAAAAGGTATTCCTCATTATTAGTTTCACTTCCACAATGAAGTTCAAGCAAATCTCTTTTTCTCTATTTACTGTGAAATTCCGGTGCCTGATTTAAGTAGATTCACTTAGGTGACCTTTTCTAGGCATCAATTATCCCCTAATAAGGAGGATCAGCATTTTAAAAGGATCTACGACTTTAGACTTGGATGAGGAAGAACTAGCATATATATCTTCTAGCAGAGTGGTCTAATGAGGGAAGAGTTTTGAGCTTGAAAAATTGGTTTCAAATCCCAGTTAAAATATGGAGTGGTTGCAGTGACTTTGGGAAAATCTCTTAACCTCTGACAGTTTTCATACCTGGAAAGTGAACTATTCCCTACCTCATAGTACTATTATGAGATAACACATGAGAGCAAACGAAGTAACACATATGAGAGCAATTTCTAATCTATAAATGGCTAACCAAATGTTGGCTATTCTTAAATTCATCACCCTTTCTCTATATAACTGACAGTTAATTTCACCAAGTGGTCATCATTCATATATTATATACTGATTATTTGTTGCACCTGTTAGATCCTATGGCCGGTAGCTAAAACCTAAAAAAAGAGATGTTTTAAAGAGTCTGCTTGAGTTACAAGTTTTCAAAAGTTAAGAGAAGACATATGCAAGGCAAATAAGGAATATGACAGAACAGTTATAAAGACAAGGAACGATTAAAATTTTTAAAAAGACTGATTCTGGACAGGCCCAGTGGCTCACATCTGTAATCCCAGCACTTTGGGAGGCCAAGGCACGTGGATCACCTGAGGTCAGGAGTTCGAGACCAGCCTGGCCAACATGCAAAACCCAGTCTCTATTAAAAATACAACATTTAGCCAGACATGGTGATGTGCACCTGTAGTTCCAGCTACTCAAGGGGCTGAGGCAGGAGAATCACTTGAACCTGGGAGGCAGAGCTGAGATTGCTCCACTGCACTCCAGCTCAGGCAACAGAGTGAGACTGTCTCCAAAAAAAAAAAAAAAAAAAAAAAAAAAAAGACTTTGATTCTAAGTGGGATAATCAAAGTAGCCTTCCTGGAAGAAGCTGCATGAAAGAAAAGGCCAAGGTGATCTTAGGGTAGAAAGACCTTATATCTGCCTCACTGTAGTTGGTGCATCCTACTCCTTTTGTGTTCATACAAAAGGAAAACCGAAAACAAACAATGGTAAGAAAACACCACAAGGCTTGTGAAAACTTCAATTCATTATTATCTACTGTACCAGCTGCCATGTCTGGCATGCAGTTTAAATACTGTAGTGGCATAGCTCTTCCGCTGATAATGCCAAGTCAAACCATTAATATACAACTCCACAGAAGACACTGACAGAAAATTTTAGCTCCAGGTCATGCATTTATGAAAAGATAATCAAAGACATATTTTTGTGAAAAGCAGGAATCATATTCAAAGCTGAGTATCTTTGGCCAATTGTCCGCTGCTTTCTTATATTAAATCTCCAGAGTGAAAAAAATATGAAACAATATATTTCTATTTTAGCCCATCAGAATCACTAAACCCTGATATGAAGTGAACTGTTCAGATTGTAAACATGGAATGAATAAATCTGCTGGGTAACAGTAAACTCAAGTAGCACAAATCACATCTAGTATTCTTGTAGACTCTCCTTATCAGTATTTAAGCAGCACAGACAGAACAAGCACAGATAAAGCACACTACACTATTTAAATTCATCTGGCATCCTGGTATCCTAGTATTCTGTCCTACACAAACCTAGATGGCTTATTTTCAGACTCAGCATACAGTCACAGTACTAACTTGTTGAGTTTACCATCCAAGACTGTAGCCTCAAACCCCCTTCATGCTGGTCAGTTGTAAGGATTAAATACACACACACACACACACACACACACACACACACACAGATAGATATTGTACTCACAGTGTAAAAACTCAGGCATGCAACAAGACATGACCAGCTAGTAAAAAAGGAAAATTAGAAAATGCTCTAAATAATATTTTGACTTTTTCAAACTATTGATATAATTATTGTTTAGACTGAATCGAATCAGCCACAGGGCACTGAATTTAATTGACAGTAGAGATTAAAAAGAGGGAACAGTCTCTAAACCAATACAGTAAAAGCATTTTCAGTAAGTTGAGGGGCTTTTGAGATGAATATTTATTAAATGTAAACAGAGATTTTATGATAATTCAATATGGAAGTATAGGTGTGTTTAAGAAACACAGGAGAGGAGGAGACATTTAGGAAGAAATGTGGGCCAATATATACCTTTCTTTAACCATCCAAGGGAAAATAGATTTCAACTCACTTGAAAACTGTCTGGCTGGGGACTACACAATTTCCCACAGTAGCTCATTAAACTGTTATATCACCTTGACAGTCAATTCCTGCAAAGTTAAATGCAAATCAAAACATTTTTAATTGAATCATGCATTACATGACTAAGGGAGCTCACCGTTTACGGGAAACTTGTGGTGAATCTTTACAAACTAATTCATGACTATGCTAAAGTACCTAACTAAGTAGTCCTCCTTATCCTCAGTGGATAACTTCCAAGACCCCCAGTGGATGCCTGAAACTCCGGATATACCAAACTCCATATATCCTACGTCTTTTCCTATACATCATACCTAAGATAAAGCTTAACTTACAAATGAGGCACAATAAGAGACTGACAACAATAACCAATCATAAAACAGAATAAGTAAAATGAAGGTGACTTGAGCATAAGCACTGAAATACCTCACAGTCAACTTCATAACCAAGACGGCTAGTGAGAGACCACCAGGCAGGTGGCGTACACGGTGTGGAGATGCTGGACAAGGGGATGATTCACAACCCAGTGGGACAGAGTGGGATGGCTTGAGATTTCATTATGCTCCTCAGAACAGCGAGCCATTTAAAATTTATAAATTGTTTATTTCTGGAATTTTCTATTTAATCTTTTTGGATCATGTTTGCCATGGGTAACTGAAACCAACAAAAGTGAAACCATGGGCAAGCGGGGGCTACTGCAGATCATGCCTGATAGATTTAATTCAAATTTTAACATACAAGTCACCCTAAAGCAAACGACACCTGTAGTGAAGATGCATTTATCCTTATTATATTATAGTGTGGATCTGATTACCTCACATTATGGTTTGGGTCTGACTATATAACATCTAATTCAGATGCGGATAAGAAGCAATGTTAATGAATAACAAAATAATTCAACTTGACGTGAAGAAAAATTTTGCTCTCCTTCCTCTTTTACCTTTTGCACATTAAAAGATGTCTTTCTTCAACAAAGTGTGATCTTACAGTAAGAGAGAGAACATTTGCCTTGCCCATCCTGGAATGCAAAAGTCACTTGTGGCTCAATGGTTATGCTCTATATATTTTGATAATCCGAAAAAGAAAATGAAACTTCTTTAATAGTATAGCCCGAGGGTATAAGGGGAGTGGAACACGCAAGTGGTTAAGATTATTACACTTAACAAGAACGGCCAGTCTACTAGTCTACTGCTTCATGTAACCTATTTACAGTCAAGATGGCTATATTTAGAAAAATCCTATAGTACATGAGAACTGAGAGATAAATATCAAACTACTACCCTTACAGGCTTCCAAAAAAATTCTATTAGCCTCAGGAAAGCATAAGCCATTGGGGGTTTGCTTCAGCTAAGCTCTACAGCAGAATCTGGACCAGAAATACTATTTCACATTATATATTTAAAAAAAATTCGTGCTGCAAATTGCATTCAGTGTAACACTTTAAACTGTTCCATATTTGAGGTCAGAGTTTATACATATTAATGTCAAAGAGCCTATAGCCCAAACCCCAATGTTTGTCACTACCTGAAAAATTAAATTAAATATACCACATTAAAGGACCAACCAAATCCTATCTCCATTACACCCAAGCCAAGAGTGAGGCCTTGACAATAGAATTGAAGAGATTAGGGTTTAATTTACACAGAATGACTGCAATAAAACAATGCAAATGTGAGACTTTACAAGAGCAAGTACTTAAAGCACGTCAAGACAAATATTTACATAAACTATATAACATCATAGTCTACTAAAGATAAAAGATTCAAGAGCCCATTGAATCATAATTTAGAATACAAATATTACAGAAGAAAGGAAAAGGAATCTGAACTGTTAATTGGGTCCCATAAATGAATGCACACTGAAGGTTTTTTTGAAGACAGGTGATGATCAATAAGGGGAGAAAATGTAAATGTATTCACAAAAACTAAAATGGGTCTCTAATTTTGCTATGCTCTGCTACAGAAGCATATGCTACTTCCCAGAAAGACCACTTAGAAGTTTTTATACTTAGAATTTCCTTCCTCTTTCAACCCATCTTTATGCTGTTCACAATTACACAGTTTTTGCTTTTCTCTAGTTCCTAATAACTTCTAACCATTTGCTTCTAATAGACTGCCCCTTTGTTTGGGTCACCTCTCCACATTCCCTTCTCACAACAGTGTTCAATCCATCATACTCTGAAGTACACAAGTAACTTTAGAAAACATTTCTTCCTTTTCCCCTCTTCTTCAATCCCAGTAGAAGATTCTTTAAAAATCCAAAAAGTTTGTTTGTGACCCTTTTGATGCCCCTCCCCTGCCTTTAAGAAACACACCATAAAGAGACATAATCCTTTTGAGTCTTTAAGTTCAAACTACATTTAACAATTATTACAAATTACAATTATCAGATATTTCCAGTTTGCAAAAGTCTCCCAGTTGGTGAAAGCTCTGTTTTCAGGTTCATAAAGCCAATACCCCATCTTGTCTTTTAAAGTAGGAAATTAACTGAATTCTCTAAAGTATTAAGAAATCTTTGACCGTGAACCCGAAAATGAGCCCCTGAGACTCAATAATCTGATTAGTTAAACTGGGTGAACACGATGACAGAATGGACCTTAAATGGGAAAATCCAGAGTTGGGAACAGATGCTAAAATCAGGAAGTGGCTGATGTCCAAACCCAAAGTCAGTGGCCTTTCTACAGAAATTAATCAACGGGACACATTTTTGTCCTTAGCCACTTTCATCTTGACTGTGCCCAAGCTCTGAATGTTTATCTGCATAATGAGTTGATTTCTTGATCAATAAATTCAGTTCGAGCCTTCTCATGACCTGGTCCAGAACCTCATGCTCTCCTCCATTGTTAACTTGAGACACATGTGAGATTATTTCTCAACCAGGTGTGTATACCTGGGGTGCTTTTTAAAATATGCACATGCCCAGGGTCCCACAACTACTGAATTAGACTCTCCAGGCAAAAGCCCCTAGAAGCAGGCATATTTCTTAAGCTCCTTTTCTCCTTAAGCTCCTCTGAAACATACCACTGGTTAAGAACCAATGACTTAGAATTTAGAACAATGTGTATAGTGTAACAAGGAAAGACGTGTCCACACAGGAGATCACCACACAAGCAAGGGGACAAGTTATAGCAGAAAACTTGGAATTGACTTGCTCCTGATCATTGTGAACTTCCTCCTGCTCCTCAGCTGGTTAAAAGCTGTCAGCCAAAGCTGGCATCCCGGGGTGTCACAGGTGTATTGATAATTGACTCAGTCTGTTTTGTTTACAATTTTCTGCCCAACAAATTGCATGTTTCTGCAGATGTCTAACAAATTCAGGACATTTAATTCCTCAGCTGCCACCATCCTGCTGTTTCCACCCTCCTCATCCATTGGTTACGATGGTGTCCAAAGACACATTCACCAGCATTAGAAAAGGTCATTAAAAAGCTCTTACAACCATCTGTACCCAGATGGACAGGTCTCCAGCCAAAACAGGAGAGGTTCCTACTCAAAGAGGCCCAGAGGACCTGACTACATGCAGTGCCGCAGTTGGTTTTTTAATTATTGTTTGTGGGTCCTGAATTATTTACATTTGAGCTGTAAATCTTAATGACCCATGCCGTGATCTTCTTGGCTTACTGATGATGAACAAAGCCAAGGCTGTTTCGTTCTCCTGATTCAATGCTGCTGTAGGATGAGGGCCAAAGAAAAGTGCATCTTCCTAAATCGTCTTACACTGGTTCTTGGAACAAATCATTCTTGCTTGGATCCTTGGCTAGGTCATTTGCCATACACTTACCAGTTAATTCCCTACTGCTTTCATACTCTATCATCCAGTGGAGCATTTTCTATGCAAATGACTCACTTGTGCAGGGATGTTTTTTAATGCCTTTTTCCTTGACCTTTGCATTGCATACAGAAAAAATTTAACTTAATGTTAAAACAAACTGCAATTATTTTCTACAGTGGGTCTATAACATGTTGCACATTATTCAATTTGGTGGCACCAGCTTTCAGAACAAAGGGTTTGAAGACCAGAATGCGCCCTGGCAAAGTTTGGCAAGATCTTTGAAACTAAAACCAAAAGCACAGAAACAGAGAGTCAAACGGCCTTGCTAAAACAATCTTGCCCAGAGAAATCAAAGCAAGCCAGTGTTTCAGCTAACCTTAACCAAATGAATGAGGGAAGAAATGATTCTTTTGCTTACAACTACTTGACAAGTGGGAGATGTCTCTCTTAACTACTGACCTTCAAAGCACTAGGAAAAATGAATTCTGAATTCTCGACCTGTCGCATCTCAACACAGCAGCTCAGCCACACCTTTTCACAGTAGCTGCAGTGCTTCACTACACTATTTCTGCCTGCCCTTCAGAACTCAAAGCAGACGCGCTCACCAGCGGTGCCAAACTGTTAGACTCATCAAGTTTATGAACACTGCATACAAAATGCAAACATTTTCTTCCATTTGGGCAAACATTGGCACAGGAAACTTTCTTTCCAATGTTAACAGCAGGGAGCTTAAATAAAAGTTCAGTTTCTAGAAGGGTGGGGGAGAGAAAAAGCTAATTCTAAAAATATGTCATCAGCAGCATGCCATTGCCAGAGAAAATTGTACATGTTTCTCTCAAGCACAGTTCACTCAAATGAACTTGACAGCTTTGGAGATCACTTAAAAGAAAGGAAATTTGTTGCATGAGGCCTGCCAGATATAAAAGGGATCACGTCTCAACAGATAAGACTTGATAGATTCCCATCTTAAATATTTCGGTACGATGATTACATAAACTCAAAATTAGGGCTTTGTCACAGATCCGCACACAGGCTTATGCCCTAAGGGTATGCTTCCAGCCCATTCATGGGACTTGTCCTTGAATCTAGCAATTAACTTTAAAATCTTGCTACTGTCATCAGGTCCCCAGAAAATAAATTAAAGGACATCTGAGCAAACAAGTAAAATTACGCAGCTGAACTTAAAATCAGCAGCTTGCTTCTTGTCCACAGGTGTGTCCAGGCAAGATAAACGAGTTTAACTGGGTTACAAATTACAGGTGTCAGTGCCTTCTCTCAAATCCACCAAATGCTGGAAAATGCCGCTCTCAGACAGACTATTTCCTAAAAGGGGACTATTCAGGATAGTTTTCCATTTAAACATAATACTCAAGTTGCTGAAAAAATACTGTAAAAATCAGGTGTGAATATGTTCGTTTGACCCGAAGCTGCAGCTCTCAAACATCTGATTAAAAGGAAAAACAGGCAGGCATTACAACTCCCCAGAAAGCCACAAAAATAAAAGGCTCCATCTTCAAGAAGATGATCTCCAATTACAACACTATGCTGGTTTGAAGAAATGCCTGATGCAGCGGTGAGCTGTAACATACCAATCAGAAAGCTTTCCCATCTCAACAGGGACAACATGGCCACTAAACTACCAAGTCAGTTGTAGAAGCTGAACACATCTATTTGTTATCTCATCCTCTTAGCCATAACCTACATTTCTGGATCCTGGTCTAAATTGAATAGACCCTTTTACAAGTGCAACTCTTTGGAACAGCACAGATAGTTCGCTGTGCCCTTTGAAAACATAAGAGAAAAACTATAAGCTGATCTTTAACATTAAATATTTAATGTGTTTTTAACACATCAGTCCTTTCGATTTAATTCTAGACTTGATGCACCTGTCAGGAAACTGACTGCTATGATTTTATTGAAACTGTACATTTTTCTGACACTCAGAAACGGAAGATTTTCAAGATTCTGTTTGTCAGAAAACCCCAAGCGAAGTTCAGTTTAACTGTTTTTAAAATATATACTTGGAAAACACTTTCTCCTACAACAAAAAATGAAAAGAAAGTTACTGAACACAGTAAAATATAAACCTAGAAAACGCTACGGTCTGTTTTTTTTTTTAATGTTTGTGCATTTTTAATAGAGCAAAGACAAAAGTCGAGGCCTTAGTGCCAACTGGATAAAATTTAAATGAGTTTTGATTTACATACCCATCAACCTTCAACATTCGAGTGAACACCTGAAGAGGACAATTGTAATGTTAGTTTGATGCTGGAAATCCTACATTTCCATTAAGTGACAAAATCACAGAACATGCATACATGATGTGACCGTATTTACAAACCACAGTAATTTTGTTATTTGAGTTTCCCCCCTCCAGAAAGATAATCCTCAACTAAGTGCTTTTAACATTCATCTCTATGGCTTGTACTTGCCCCAGGAGAAACTTAAAACACCCGTTACTTAACAAGAAGAAATGGAAAAGAACCATTTAGACCTAACAAAACCCAGAACTAACTTTCTCCTTACTATGCATGGTGACAGAGAAAGCTGCAAAGAGGGCACATAATTTACATTAATACATTATAAGCATTTCCAGGAGGGGCAACAATTTTAAAAATACACTGTTATCTATCCCCCCACCTTTTTTAAATTTGAAAGAGAATATGCTTTCTTTATCCTTGCATCATAGTTCTTATTTTATCAAGAGTCTGATGGTAACCTCACTTTGAACCTTATTAGGTAATATTGATTTAAGTAGAGGGGAACTCTTGAAGTTTTTACTCATCTGAAATGCAGAACACATACATGTTTTACCAAAAGGTTTACTATGCATATTAATCTTTTATGCATTTTATTTCTCCAAGCGTGAAAAGAAACAAGTTGAAGTAATAGAGGTTGCCAGGTGTTGGTGGCACCCATTCCACTGTAATGACAGCCATGACTTAAGGTTTTGTCTCGCTCTACTCTTCCTATGAATTGCAAATCTTCAGGTTGCCACAGCAACTCTATATACTGACAGGTAAGCTTCAGGAAGCATCCTGGTCATCGTTTCCATCTTGTTTGCTCTGCCTCATAGCACTTCAAACTCCCTGTTGAATGGGAGTACCAGGGGATGGTTCCCCTTATTCTAGTGCACTGTCCAGTTGCAGCAATTAATCATTCCTGCTTCTTGAGCTGACATATCGAGGTGGGGAAACGACATCCTAAATGAGCAGAGCTGATTACCTGGGAAAGCAATTCTTCAAGATAGCACAGCTAACTAATAGCTCCATCTGCTACACATAAACACATTCCAAAGCCCCAGAAGTAACGTCAGAATACAGCTAACAGAGTCGGGTCCTGTATGCCAGATTTCTGTGTGTCATCACAGGTCTCTGACAAGCACAGAAAGTACTTGAACTTTTCTTCATCTCTAGGATAACAGGTGCTATATCATGTTAGGATCACAGGCCACCCACAGAGGATATTTTGGTAGAATTCTCAGTTTGACCTTGTTGTTTTTAATGTAGTGAAGTTAGACTTCCATATGAAGCTACATATACTATACATAAAGAAGTAGTAAGACAAACCTGTAGGAAAACACACTTTTCTTTTTTTGTTGTTTTGTTTTTTGGGTTTTTTTGAGATGGAGTCTCGCACTGTCTCCCAGGCTGGAGTGCAGTGGCGAGATCTCTGTTCACTGCAACCTCTGCCTCCCAAGTTCAACAATTCTCCAGCCTCAGCCTCCCAAGTATCTGAGATTACAGATGTGCACCACCATGCCCAGCTAATTTTTGCATTTTTGTAGAGAGGGGGTTTCGACATGTTGGCCAGGCTTGTTTTGAACTCCTGACCTCAAATGATCTGCCCACCTCGGCCTCCCAAAGTGCTGGGATTTCAGGCATGAGCTACCACGCCCAGCCAGAAAACACACTTTTCTATATATACAAACAACAACAACAACAAAACCCATGATCCAGTAAGGATAAGAAGATTTTCTATTCCCATCAAAATATGCATCAGTATATAGTATAAAATATGTGCAGATTGTTTTAATGTGACTAGACAAAAAGAGAACCTTTAAAGATCATGACAATGCACCCCGATTCTGTAAATTAAACAAACTTAAGAAGACTGTGGTTAGAATTCAATAAGCTCAGCAGATAAAGACAATTTGGCTACAAGAAACAGGGCCGTACTAAGCTATTATTATAGATGAAACGATAAATGGCTCCCTGAATGTTTTTAAAAATCTAAATAACTGGCTGCTTCTTAAGTCACCACTACAGATTCTGTCCGCTCTTTTATTAATAAGTCTTTGATAATATAAATCAAACTCTAACATCTCAATGTTGAGTGCTTAAGGAGGCTGCGAGTTTCTATTTTCCTAACCAAAGTATTGCCATTTTACAGTAGCAGCATTTAACAGTGCTTCTGTATCAAATGAGAACAGGCTCCAGTTCTTTCCACATTAGCTGTGATTTTAATAACATGCCAAGCCAAACAGGCTAGCGTAATAAGTTTCATTGCACCCACTTCAACAACAGATAAGCACCTCATTTTCATACAGTTTCCACTTGTTGCTAGGTAACCGCATCGTAACGAGACATCTCTAGGCATTATGCAGAATGCATCCTCTTCACCCAAATTTAATGTGCTTTGGGCATTAAATACTGTTATTTTAACTACACCTATCACTCAAACAGTTTAAGCTTTGGGTTAGATTGCAACATAGGTTTGTGGGATTGTTGCTTCTGAGGGGATTTTGATGTGCGGAGTTTCTAAAAGATAAGCCACAATAATATGTACCTCTCTTCCAAACCCACTGCATTATCCAATGAATTAATAGCTTGACACTTCATAGAAAGACAAAGTAAACCCTCTCAAAAGATGTCCACACTATGCCCTCTTAACAGTAGACAATGTCAATTAAAAACTTCCTTACTGCTTTACGTGACCATGAAGGGAACTTTGTAAGCAGGGGTCTGTGTGGAGTTGGCCTTCACCTGTGGGCTTCAAACAGAAACCCTTTAACTAGGCGCATCTAGGCCAAAGCGGGAACCCCATCTGTCAGCCAAACAAACCAGCTTTCTGCTGGAGGAAGGGAACGCTCTGCGGGAACAGATGCAGCCCGACCTAAGACACTGAAGGACTCAGGTGACAAGGAGGCAGGAGGGCTACCTGCAGGAAAGGCAGCAGACACTGACATTTTAAAAAGAAAATAAATCTTAGCAGCAGCACCAGGCATCTCCCAAACACGAATTTTCTTTTGAGCTTCAGGAATGTTTTATCCTACATGATTAGTGGATGCTAGAAAAATGTTATATCGCCTCTTGCCAGTGGGTTAAAATGATCTCTCTCACAGATGATATAAAATTGAAGAAACTAATTACAATTAGTAGTAGTAACAAGACACAGGACCAGACTCTGACCCCCGGCCCCTTTTTCACAGAGACTTTTGATTTCAGTCGCTTCCATGTCACCCAGAGTAGGGCTGCCCCATCTCTTCAGAGGGTAGGGGAAGTGGGGTGCACACTGTAGCTTGACCACTGGCCTTAACTAAGTCTTAGCCTGTAAAGAAAGCCTTTCCCCTTTTATTTTTACCCCTGTGCTCTGAGAAGCAAGAGTTCAAAGGATTTTGCCTCCAGATCCTCTTGTAGGTGTACTTAGCGCAGAAACACCTGTGGCTGGAGAATCACCCTTTACTCTCTTTCCGCTAAGACAAGGTCACTCACTGCATCCTCTGCTGCACCAGTTGAGTTTCATCCATAATACTCTCTTCTTCACCCACCCTCCCCTGCTTCCCCCTTTACCCCCTCTGGGCCCCTCCA
Source organism: Homo sapiens (assembly GCF_000001405.40). Taxonomy (NCBI): domain Eukaryota; kingdom Metazoa; phylum Chordata; class Mammalia; order Primates; family Hominidae; genus Homo; species Homo sapiens. Next base: position 115,426,734 of record NC_000011.10, read on the forward strand.
CAGCTTGGATGGTTTAGCTCATTTTGGTTCTTTTTAAAATTTGGATAATTTCCGTTAAAATGACAGGACTGGGTCTCTGCCATTCACAGGGATGAACTAAGATGAAGCAGGAAGAGGCATGTGATGGGTAAGACAAGAGCCAGGGACAGGTTGCTGTGTTTCCTGGCATGTATATTAACAAATTTCACTTAATCTGTTCTAAAACTCCATGAAAGGTGCAGATAGGAATGCCACAGGAATACAGGAGGATATAATGAAACGATCTTTAGTTTTGTTCCATAGGAGAACATTACTTGGTTCAACTCTGTTCATTAAAAAAAGCAAAAACCTAGTTCCCGAAACAAAGTTTAAAATGACCAGCAGCCAAGCATAGCAGATATAAATTAAAATTTACAATGTGCACCCTCTATGGCCCAGCAATGCCATTTCTGGGTGTGTATCCTAAAGAAACTCTCACACATGTGCACATGGAGACACGCAGAAGAATCTTCACTGAAGAACAGTTTACATGAGGAAAAATCTTCAAACAACCCATATGTCTATCAATTGGGGAACAGCTAAACAAACAGAGGTATATGTGTGCTGAAGAAAAAACAAGGCAGCATTTAAATGGAACAAGCAAAATCAGCACGTAGCAACATGGCCAGGCTTCTAGGACACTGCTGGCTGAAGACAGCAGGTGTAGAATGATGAGGACAGAATGATACTACGTATGCTGTCCCATAGGGTTTCTATGGATTTTACGTTTATGCCTCTATCTAGAAGTAGAGATGATAGATAGATGGATAGATGATAGATGACAGATAAGATGATAGATATGGGGGCAAACATAGAAGAATACAGAAGTTAGCTAACATGGATAAGGGGTCATCAGTGGAGACTTTAGCATTATCTAAAACATTTTGTAAAGGGGAATATATTCATGTATTAATCGACAAACAGAAATTAAAGAAAAAGAAAATATATTAATAATGAAGTACAATGTAATTAAAGGGCCAGGCACGGTGGCTCACGCCTGTAATCCCAGCACTTTGGGAGGCCTAGGTGGGTGGATCACAAGGTCAGGAAATAAAGACCATCCTGGCTAACACGTGAAAGCCCATCTCTACTAAAAATACAAAAACTTAGCCAGGCGTGGTGGCACACGCCTGCAGTCCCAGCTGCTCCAGAGGCTAAGGTAAGAGAATCCTTAAGCCCATGAGGCGGAGCTTGCAGTGAATCAAGATCATGCCACTGCACTCCAGCCTGGGCGACAGAGCAAGACTCCATCTCAAAAAAAAAAAAAAAAAAAAAAAAAAGAATGTAATTAAAGGGGATGTCCACAACTAAAGAAAATATGTCTGAGTCTTCCAAATGTTGGCAAAGGGCTATTAGATGAACCTGTTCTACCTCCTCCAAAAGAGATAATTTTGAAAAGCATTGCAAAGACAAAGGTACAAATATTTATGAAAAAACGTATCATTAGATTGTAATCTTATATAGGTTTAAAATATCTAGACATTTCTGGGTTGCTATCTAGATATTTATGGGTTCCTTTAGAAAAAAGTCAACTTTACCAATGTAACTACCCTACTACCATGTGGCAATACATCCACTAAATGGAAAAATAATAATAAAATCATAATTCTTATAATGCCCTCAGGATAATTGGCCATGGGAGGAAATATATAAATGGGACTCATTTATATAAAAAAGAATTCATTAAGAAAGGCAAGAGTCCTTGCATCTGGTGAATTTTTTTTTAAGAGTTTGGAATGATGCCTAGAAGTCATCAGATTTGTTGCTCATGAACCCCCATCTGTCATAGCTTGCATCTAAACTATATATAGCTCTTATTCCCCAAATCAATATGTTGTGTGTTCATGTAACCTAGCATCCAGTCTAGAAGCCTTGCAATTGTCTATAAGCTCCTCAATTCTTATTTTCACTATTTCTTGCCTTGTTATAATTCTTAATATACCACTGACAGAATGTAGAGATATCATTTTAAAGGTTTCACTCAATAAAGCTTAGCTATAGAGAAAAAAAACTAGCAGTGTGTGTGTGCGTGTGTGTGTGTGTGTGTACGTGTGTGCGCATATGAGCAGACTAGGAAATCCAGAAAGGATAAAATTATAAAACATCGTACTATGTTGCAATAAAAAGGTTACTGCCTCAAAGGATTTCACAGGAAAATATTTTGGACAAGATAGTTTCAGTAACATCTCACGTTTGAGGCCCAGTACGTGGCAAGCCCAACTCTCCAGAGTGCCAGAGAACCTACAAGGGAGTATCTAAGTCACTCAAATGTCTTGGTTCCATGTAAGTGCTACTGAAGTCATGGGAAAGGATGACGAGCTGTCACCATTTACTCTATTAACATACTTTTCACACACTTCTAATAATCTTGGTTACCTTGATTTCCAAACTACAATAAAATCAAAATAAATTTTTAAAAAGGGAAAAAGCAGAGAGCAAAGAAACAGAAAAAAATGATTTATTAAAAATTGCTGAGAACTAAAAAAAATAGCACTCTCTGAATGCAGAATGAACAAAACAACAAACCCATATAACAGTCTATATGCAACATATATTATTATTCTAAAAGATCCTGGCTGGGCGCGGTGGCTCATGCCTGTAATCCCAGCACTTTGGCAGGCTGAGGCGGGTGGGGATCCCCTGAGCTCGAGACGAGTCTGAACAACACAGTGAAACCCCATTTCTACTACAAAAATACAAAAAATTATCTGGGCGTTGCGGTGGGCACCTGTAATCCCAACTACTCAGGAGGCTGAGGCAGGAGAATTGCTTGAGTCTGGGAAGCCGAGGTTGAGTTGAGATCGTGCCATTGCGCTCCAGCCTGGGCACAAGAGCAGAAAAAAAAAAAAAAATAGAAGCCGAAGTCATTTATTTAAGTAACATTGAAATCAAACATTGTTTTTCAAAGGCAGAGAATTGTGTATTATATTTTAGAATAATTTTCTTCAAACAGTATGCACTAAGCTCTGCTGAGCTCTACTGAGCTAACAATGCCATGAGGTTACAAAAAATAATAAAAAATTAGAAGTAGATAATGTGATTTTAGGTGGTCCTAGTAATAGTAGTGTCCAAAGCAGGGATGTCCATGAGAAAACTCAGTGTGGTTTGTTCCCTGCTTACATCCCCCAGACCCGGAGCAGTGTCTGGCATGTACTCCTCTTGAAAGGATGAGTGTTACAAATAAGATGAGGGCGTGAGGGGGGATGAAATTTATGTATCAGCAAACTGGAAAAAGAAATGAACCCAGGATTTCTCCACATTCTACAATCCTATAGTGCAAATTAAATGTCAAAAAAAAAATCATACCAAATAGGGTAACCTTTGGAAAAATAACTTGTAAGGAACCCCGCAAATGAAACATTATGAAAAGAAGGTAATGTCAAGTAAATTTAGAAAGAGGAGAAGATACAAAAAAGTAATGTCTTTAAATGCATGACTTATTCATAAGGCTCTATAGCTTCCACATCTTGTCTCTTCACTTTCTCATTCTCCTCCAGCCATTTCCCTCCAGCTAAAGGTGGAGGAACTATCCTATAGAGATAGCTAACGCTGGGCGTTTAGAGATCCTGACAATCTTTATTTATTTAAGATTTACCTCAAAACTTCATTTGTTACTTTGAAAGGTTTTCTTCCTATAATGTGTTTCAAAAATAAATTCCATCAACATTAAATCACATCTTCTTGAATTATAAACCTATCAAGCTTGGAGAATTAGCCTTAAGCTGCCAACATCAAAGCAAAAGAGTCCTGCCTTAGTGAGAACCACCTACCTGATTTATAGCTCTGTCCACTGCATTCAGAATCAGGCTAAGTAAAAAACAAAGGGGTTATCAAATTTCAGTAATTAATATGAGTAAACATGAGTTGAGCTAACAAAAGCAATTACTTGGAGTTTTAGTACTATTATCTCAATATTTCATGTTTTGCCTTTTTCAATGGAAAGCAGAGATTAAAAATGAATGCCGCAGGACCAGAGATTTGGTCATTTCATTCAATAGTTACCATCCACCTGTATAGCACGGTTGACAGCTAATTTAATACTCTCCTCCAGATAAAATAAATTACTCTGACTTAGTTTATAAGGAATAAAAGACTCTCTAGTATTTTAACTCATTTTCGATATGAGAAAAATCACTTAAATTTTCTGAATTAAAATCGACAGAGAAGGTAGGAGGCAGCAAATGTTTGTTTCCGATATTGTCTTTACATTTTGCTGATATTGCTGGAAATATTTTAGTTTGATATTATCTTCTGGCTTGGAACTGCTTCTTTTTGCACTTCTTATTAGAGTTGCAACTGAGTACTTTCACCACCTTAATTACATTAAAAGGAGAAAAAAGGGTAAGAACTACAATGTCCTTCCTAAATGGCACAAAAAAAGTACCAGAAAAACTGGAAAACAGATTGACAACTACTGTAAAATATATGCAAAGTTTAACTTTGAAGACGCAAAATAAGGATTATTTCGTGTTATTTAATGTCGGTATGTCATTTATATGGCCTCATAACTATATTATCCTTATCTTCTTCTTAACGGCCCATACCCAGCCCATCACCAAGCTTGTAGATTTAACCTCCTAAATAACACTTTTCAATTCCACCTACCTCTCCATGCCTACGCTCAAACCCACCACCACCCTAATACAAGCCACTGTTACCTCTTGTCCAGACAGTAGTTCTTTGTACCTGTCTGCAGCCACTCAAGCCCCTCTACAAGGTAACCACAGTGATTTTTTTCCAGAAAACATCTAGGGTCATGTTACCCCTCATGAATTGCTTCAGACCCTCAAAGGCTTCTTATAACTCTTAGAACAAGGCCCCCAGTCCTTCACACAACCTGAAGGGCTTTAAGCAGTCTGAACCTTCCTACCTCTTCTCTCCTCTCTGCCCAGATCTCTGACTCCAGCTAATGGCTTTCTTTCAATTCCTTTAAGGCACCCTGTTCCCTCTGGAAAGTTCTTCCTGTCTTTTTCAACCTGGTCACACCAGCCCTTCATATCTCAGCTCAATCTTCACTTCCTCCACGAAGCCCTCCCTGGCCTACCTGATCAGATCAAATGCTTTTGGTGCATGATTTCATTGTACCATGGGCTTCTCCTCCATGACACTTGTATCATTTACAATTGTATATTTGTGTGACTGTTTGGTTAATAAATATTATACCATATATATATATAAAACCATATATATAATATATATAATACCATATTTTGAGACAGATTCATGCTCTGTCACCAGACAGGAGGGCAGTGGCGTGATCTCGGCTCACTGCAACCTCTGCCCCTCCTGAGTTTAAGTGATTCTCCCACCTCAGCCTCCCTAGTAGCTGGGACTACAGGTGCACGCCACCACACCTGGCTAATTTTTGTATTTTTAGTAGAGATGGGGTTTCACCATGTTGGCCAGGATGGTCTCGATCTCCTGACCTCATGATCTGCCTGCCTAGGCCTCCCAAAGTGCTGGGATTACAGGCGTGAGCCACCACACCCGGCCCTAAATATATTTAATAACTGATCCCTGACCATAAGGAGCATGAGGGCCAAGTCTGCTTTCGCTCACCATTGTCCCTTTCTCCCCATCCCACAAGTCTTTCCCTCCCCAATGCCCAGCATCTAGCACATACTAAATAAACAAAAATCTCTTGAATTAATGAACTTATGCATTATAATTATCCATGTGGGATCAGCATTCCTTAGTGTTCTATGAGGTCAAGGATTCTCCCTTTTGCCCACTTGGCATCTCAGCATCTAGCCTACAGCCTGGCTGTAGACTGCTGATCAATAAGTGTTTAATGAACACCTAAGAATAATAAACAGAATTTTTTAAAATATAAAAGTAGTAGCTCTGCCCATCACTTGGAATAATTAAGAATTTCAATATTTGTATTGCTCAGGAGAATCAATTACCCAAACTTCCTGCACGGTTGTTATATGAGAAGGGATTTATTGAAATGGTGGTTCTGATAGCCTACGGGTATTACACATCCACCTACTTAAAACTGCTCCCTTTAGACAAATGCAACATACCCAGCTCACGCATGACAAACGAAAATCTGTCCACACAAATTTGTATTTAAACAAGAGTCTATCGGCTTACAAAGAAAAAGAAATTAACTTAACTTTTATGCACTTCTGAGAGTTTGTTTTCCTCTCGGATTCACAGAGCACAGTTACTCAAATGATCAAGGCCTATCTTCCTAGTCACAACCAGGTGAACAAAAGGAATGCTCGTATTTAAATAGCATTCCAAATCATGGTTACCAACATCCAACTTGTCAAGTTCAAGATCCCTTTAATAGATGTGTAAGTCACAAAGTCTTAAAATACAGCCACACAGCTGTTTGGAGTTTTGGTGGTGGGGGAAGACACAGACCACCCCCCCACCCAAACATCACACACACACTATGAGACTTCCTCTGCTGATTGCTGTACAGTGACTTTTCTTCTTCTTCTTCTACAAAGCCATGCAGATAATATTTCAACAATAACCACACATTTCTCCCTGTGGTATAGACACATACAAAATGCATTAGGAAAAATGCCAATAACTGAAATGCTTTTCTCAGTAGCTCTATTCAAGTGAGTGTCTCACAGGTGCCACAGAAGTGCACAGCTTTCTGAATTTGGTTCCAAAGGGAGCTCAAAGTCAATAAGCCTCCTTAGCTATCATCCAGCATGACTAAATCACTCCAAGGGCAAACCTTTTTGAGTTATGTGACCATTTCTTTCAGGGAGTTTTACCGAAAACGGCATGCCATAAACCAATTTAATTCAAGGTAACCCAAGCTGCTGGATGAAAAGGAGCCCAAGAAAGGAACAGAAGGAAGCAAACGCACATGTTTTGAGTTACACAGGATCCTCAATCACATACAGAAATGAGCACAAACAGACCAAGAAGGTTCCCAGGACCTATATAAGGTATCACTTCAAATATAATCCCCACTTCCCATATTAGAATAAACTTGCCATTATGTTGGGATTTCTGCCTTTTAAAGTGGAAGAGCTGAGGAAATTCTTTGCGAAAGAGCATTACACTGTGCAAACACGTCGGCTGGTTCAATGATGTTCAGAGGACATTTTAGGATGCCTTTTATGTTGTTCTCTTGTGAGCCTTGGACAGGAGGACAAGGGAATTCTCCACTCAGAAAATACTCAATTATTTTAATAGGATTACATTTTAGATTGACAATGTTTCAAATAGCCCCCTGAATTTATTAACCTGCCAGCACTTCAAATAAGTAATTTTAATGCTAAGATCTTTTAAGTTTATGTAAATGATTGGCAGTAAGTCAAAAAAATTTCCTCTAGTCTTCTGAAACATGACACTCTGGCCGTCAAGTGGAAGTTCATGAGCTTCATGAGCTCAGTAGTAAGGACTTTCACACTGGCTTCCCCATGTCTATGACTTGCCACATTTTTAACTGCATGAGTTTCTCTGATCTTTTATTTTTTTATCACTCCTCTTTGGTTCCCAAAAGCATATTCTGGCTTGATTAAGACACAGGTTGATTACAAGATCCAACTGAAACTCTAACGAAGGTATCATACTCTTTGGTCCCTAATGCTTTAATACTACTTCACCCCAACCCTCCCCTTTTGCTACAGACAAAACAGTAATACATATATAGGACCTACCATATGCAAGGCACCAAGCTAAGTGCAGTTAATCAGCCAACTGACTTACATTGCCCGACGCTGACTACACACCTCACAGCGTCAGACAGACTGGGTTGAAATCTAGTCTCTGCCATTTATTATGCTATCTTCAACAAGTTTCTTAACCCACCAGGACTGGTTTCTTTTATAAAACAGAGATGAGAACAGTTCTCACTTCATAGAAATCTTGTGAGGACTAAGGGAGATAATCTGGGTACAGCCCTTACCCCAGCGTCAGGGTGTAGTAGGCATTCAGCAAGGACTTGGTCACCATCAGCCCTTCCTGTGGCTGGTTTTCACCTCTCCCCCTTGCCACTCTTCAGGCCACTGAGAATTCGTACCGCAGCCCCAAATAAAATGGAATGAACTATACTCTCTGTAGGAGTTTTCCTGGAGAGTTGAATTCTGACAATTGTATCAGTTCTCTAAGTATTTTATTTTATTATTATTATTATTATTTTTTTTTTTTTTTGAGACAGAGTCTCACTCTGTCACCCAGGCTAGAGCGCAATGGTGCAATCTTGGCTCAACACAACTTCCGCTTCCTGGGTTCAAGCGATTCTCCTGCCTTAGCCTCCAGAGTAGCTGGGATTACAGGCGTGTACCACCATGCCCAGCTAATTTTAGTATTTTTAGTAGAGACAGGGTTTCTCCATGTTGGCCAAGCTGGTCTTGAACTCCTGACCTCAGGTGATCCGCCCACCTCGGCCCCCGAAAGTGATGTGATTACAGACGTGAGCCACTGTGCCTGGCCCTCTTAGGATTATTGTAAATGTTTCACTTTCTCACACAGTTACTACCAAATTTAATTATGATATGGTAAAGCTTCCAATTAAGCAACAATATGGCTTAGAAAGCATAGACAGTAAAGGGTCTGGAACTGGGGTTGGCAAACTATGGCCTACAGGTCAAAGCCAGCCCAAAAGCTAGGAATGGTTTTCACATTTTTTAATGCTTGATCAAAATCAAAAGAATAATATTTCATGACACATAAAAATTATATTAAATTCAAATTTTCAGTGTCCATAATAAAAGTTGTATTGGGGCTGGGCGTGGTGGCTCACTCCTGTAATCCCAGCACTTTGGGAGGCCGAGGCAGGCAGATCACTTGAGGTCAGGAGTTCGAGACCAGCCTGACCAACATGGTGAAACCCCCTCTCTACTAAAAATACAAAAATTAGCTGGGCGTGACAGCTGGTGCCTATAGTCCCAGCTACTCAGGAGGCTGAGGCAGAAGAAGCGTTTGAACCTGGGAGGTGGAGGTTGCAGTGAGCCAAGTGCACCACTGCACTCTAGCCTGGGCCATAGAGTGAGACTCCGTCTCAAAAAATAAATAAAATAAAATAAGTTGTACTGGAACAGAGCCAAGCTTTTATGTATTTCCTATGGCTGTTTTTGCATTACAACAACCGACCTGAGTGATTTTGCTGGAGATTATATGGCCTACAAGACCTAAAATATTTACTATCTGGCCCTTTGAAGAAAAAGTTTGCCAGTATCTGGCCTAGATCAATGTTTTTTGGCTTGGAAAAAGCTTAGCACACGACGGTAAACATCTAAGAAACCTACAAAATCTCTGCAAAACTACACATGGTATTACTTGAGTATCTCTACAAAGACACTCTGCAAGAGAGCTTACACTAACCTACGCCATGGTGACAGGGGCTTTAATTGACAAAGATAACTACTGTTCTATTGCATCTTACTCACTGACCCACTTCACCCTGTTAAAATAAATTAGAATATATAAATACACACATACATACATATTCCCCACATAAAGTAATGCTCACTTTATGTCCAACATAGAATGTAAAGAAGCAAAAGGATCCCAAGTTCTCCATTTTTTTCTAATTCTGGTATCTTTTATAGATTTTTATGTAAGATTTTATTTTTATTTAAGAAAAATCTAGAGGTTTTTCCAAAAGTGTTCCTGAAAACACAATTCACCTTCTTGAGTTTCTTTGCTGCTTTGCTCTCAGATAATAATTGCAATTCTCATATTCAACTCCCCCTCCTAATTTACTGGATTTTGTTTTGGGGGGACCCACCTGGCATTCTCTTCCTGACTCTCTGCTCTATGTTCCACGTTCCCTTGTCATGAACTGTGATTCTTTTGTACGAAAATACAGCTGAGGTAATAACAATTACAACAAAATATGTGGTTTACTCTGTCCACTTAATTCTCAGTGGACAGGTTAGCTTCTCTCTCCCATGATTTGGCAATTTATGCACTTAGCTATCAGGAGAATCAACTAAGAGAATGAGGGCAGACACATGCAAATTCATCCTCTGTTGTACCTCAATGGTATGGTATGAGAGCTGTGCCTTCTATGTGTATAAGTTTCTGAAAGGGTGGGGCTTTGACATACTAATCTGCAATCCTCTTCCACTTGTAACATAGTCTGGAATGCAGCAATAGTGTATTTAATTTTTGTTGAAAAAAGGCATCTTCCAGTGGTCAGTAAATAAATGAAAGCTGCTACAGAAGGTACTTAATCTGATTTGAACTCTGTTCATTTTACTGATGAAGCTGACAAGAGTAAAGTGAACAAAGTTCTGTGAAAAGCATTGGCAATACAGATAGGAAAGAACAACAGAATCCAAGGAATTCTTTTTGTAAGTGAGTAAAACGTCTGTTAGAGAAATCTGAGCAGCATCAAGAATTATATAGACTAATATACACAAAATCCAGCAGAGTAATAAGTTCTAAGAGAACTTACATGCTTGGATGAAATGTTTCTTCTCACTTAGAGATATTTCTACTACAAAAGATAGGGTAATGGTAAGAAATGCAAGACCTGCCCCAGAGGTGGAATAAAAAACTCTTATCACATTATTGAATACATAATTCTGAGCTTGTTCAATCCTTTCTTGGTCTGAAAAGGAAAGGCTTTTTCTTTTCCTGTTTTAAGGAGAAAACGGGGAAGACAGCTGGGCCTAGATAGACAAGACATGAGTCCAATTCTCTCTGGACTTAAGAAACTAACACCATTTAAAATTACACTTCCAAACCACATCAGCCAAAAACTGCCAGTTGTTTCCCTCTGATTAATTTGGGATATTTCTACAAAAACAAATCAGCGCAGGAAGACATTTTCTCACTATGGCATGCTATCCTAATCTCATCCAAAAGACATTAGGTAACCAACAGTTTCACAGAAGCAGGAGAAACGGGAAGATACCAAAGCGATGGGCAAATCAACATCCCTTAAATTATCTTTCATCACAAAACATTTGACTCCCAAATCTTCACCAGACCAAAATTAAAATTCCAAAGTTGGACTACAGAGGAACTAAAAAAATAACATGCTTCTTGCTGGTTTGCTTTTCTTCGTGACCATTTTCCTACCACAGATTTTATTTATTACCATAAAAATGATACTTGTAACAGGAAGTTATGGTGTAGACTTTACACCCAGCTCATTATCAAGGCAGAGGAAAGGGGAGAATTTGAGGAAGTGTTTCTATTCTCAACCAAAAGAGGTACATATGTAATAGAGAAAGAACTACAAAATCAGGGAAACTCAGCTAACAATACGTAGCTTTAAGGCTCCACATGAAAGAAAACAGAACTCCAGGAGCACCGTGTAACGCCTGATTGCTGAGCGAATGTATTTTAGCATACTAGTTGTCACAGCAAGTCAGTGGGATTTGAAAGCACATTTCTGTTTTGACATCTGGCCCATAACAAAATTACTATTGATCTGTTGTGAGCTTCCAGCAAAACAGTATAACCTAGTCTCAGAACAAAGAGTCATCCACTAAATAACAGGCAATAATCATCCTATATCTGTGCCTTTAGTTCAAAATCACCACTTTGCTTGTGTTCTGCTTGGTCCATTTTGGGATAAGCATTCTATTCCTGAATAGGGTTTCCAGATCTTTTTTTATTTTTAATGAATCTTACCAGCCCAGGATTAATTCTGTCTTTCAGTAGCCTGGTGGCAGCAGCAGTATAATGCTGACATCTACCTTGTGCGCACACTTCGGTTTGCTGCTGATTCTGGAAACTGACAGGACAAGCATTATTTTCCAACAGATGTTCTACAGGCAGTGGAAGGCAACGATGAAACAAATCAGACAGTCAGAGCTGTTCACAGAGCTTTGGGAAATGTAAAAAAAAATAGAAGAAAGAAAAACCATTGGCCTCTTGTCTAACTTATTTTCATAGCTCTAGAAAAATTTATAGGCAAGTGCCACTCACAAATGACACAGCTTTCATTAAAATGATCATTTAGAATTTTTAGTAGGCTACATTTTCTAATGATACTAATAAACTGTTAGAGAACTTTTACATAATATGGTTTGATCAAAAAAAAAGGTCCATTTATAGAATGCTTTAGTTGGATATTGATTATATGTTGTCCCAACTGGTAAGTATCCACCTCATTTCAGGCCTTGGCCATATGCATCCTCAAATATATCACTGCCTCCTTTTCAGAACAAAGCTATATTAACCGAGAAGCTATCTGATGGTTTCTTTTGCCTGCATCAGTCAAAAAAAAGACAAACAATATAGATCAAGTGCATCTGTTCTCTAGACTGCATTGATTTGTTGCATATGTGGTTAAATCCTGTCAAGCAATCTTAAAGGTGAAGCATTATCATCAGAGAACCCACTCTGGGAGGGGTGCACTGGGTCTTCTACCTGCCACGCACAGCAGCTACAAAACTTCACCCAAACCAAAAAGACTTTTGAAACATGCGATCTGAGCCCCCAGACCTACTTCCAGCAAAGGGCTTTTAGTAAAATGATGTCATAAGTAAAGGCTAACCAGGTATCCATTACCACCAAAGAGAAAACTGGCCCAAAATGTAAAAGGGTAAGTGGAGGCAAAGATAATATTATGGACATACAGAAGAAATTCCTGTTCCTAAACGTTTCATGTCATGGCATTTCAAGAAGAGCCTAGATAGGTGTCCATCTCAGATGGTTTGGGTATAGTCTTGACTGCAGGGAGGAGGTATACTAGCTATCCCACCCTGTTTTAGCAACTGTTTTATTACTTCAAACATCTTTGCCTCCTAGTTCCTCTATCCTGCCCTTGTTGGCCCATGAATCACCAATTTGCATAGATGAGTACACTGAAGCATTGCAAGTATTTTCTCATGGCCTCAAAGGACGTGTGCTGTTGACAGACTGCAGCTGAAAAGGACCAATTACTTAACTAATGTTTTGCAGAGATGTCCACATGCTGACCACAGCAATATTGAAGGCATAAATTATTATGCAAAGTCATGAATGTACATCCATTTCAGAGTTATCTACGGGAAATTGTCAGGTCGACTTTAGTGACAAAGCACAGCCAAGTGGTGTTTTGAGAGAGAGAATCCATAACACTCCAGTAGCACAGAAGGTCTTTTAATAATATCTGCACTGAGAACATGAACAATTGCTCATTTTTCCTGGTTTATTTTTTCCCATCAAAACATTGGAGTAGGGCTCAGAATTTCTAAAGTAAATCAGACTTTTAATAAATTCTGTTATGCTTTTATTATATGCTAATAAATTTCTTTTTAAAATCTGTTCCCTGAATTAACAGCTCCATAAATTCAGCTCTACAAGTGGCAGAAACCAGAAAGTACAGCAAACATTTATCCAGGATTTGCCAGGGCAGGCTTGATTTCAAATATTCTACCCGTTTATACTCATAAATTACTTAAATGTCCCAGAAATTCATATATTTTAATGTCCAAACTGTATCTTTAAAATTTCCATCCACACATGGTCTTGGCAAAAAATTAGTTGGCATAATCATCTTTTTGGCATTATCTTTTGTGCTCTAATTTTGGCTCAGAATACATAATCACTGTATGGATACGCTAAACAGCAAACATTTCATCTCCTGACAGAGGCTTTCCCTATCCTTACTTACCACACGTGATAAACTGTAATTGTTTCATTGCCTGTATTCCCACTCGATGCTAAGCTCTTGAACAGGGATCCTATCTGTCTTGTGAACCATTATTTCCCAATCTCCAGCATTGTGCATAGCACATGATAGATGGTCACTAAATACTTCCGGAAATATTTGAATGAGAAAATCAATCAAATTCAAAGAAAGAAATTATAACCTGGAGTTTACCAGATAGATCTCAAAGTCATTAAACAAATGCAATAAGATGCTTTACTACTTCAGAGATAAGAACTGTTCCTCCTCATATATAAGCATTCATGTATTAAGTACACACAGACAGCTAAGGGGAGTTTGGAGGAAACACCACTGAATCCACAGAGGGAGGCATTAGATTCAACAGGACCCACAGGCCACCATTTGAATAATCACCCAACTTATCCTTGTTCTTGACATTTTCCTTCTGAGTATCTGAGAAAACTGTGGATACTCAGTCGCTTTGGCTTTCATTCATTTTTATTTTTATTTTTTTAAGATAGGGTCTCACTCCATTGCCCACGCTAGCGTACACTGGCATGAACGTGAGTCACTGCAGCCTCAACCTCCTTGGCTCAAGCAATCCTCCCGCCTTGGCCTCCAGTGTAGCTGGGACCACAGGTGCACATCACCACACCTAACTAATTTTTTTAATAGTGTGTGGAGACGGGACCTCATTATGTCACCCAGGCTGGTCTCAAACTCCTGGGTTCAGGTGATCCTACCACCTCTTCTTCAAGTACAGAAACCTATGTCAAGTTTAGTTCAAGATTTTATCAATCACTGATTTTAGCAATATGGACATGGTGTTTTTTCTTCTGGGAAAAAAAAAAAAAGTAAAACTAATGACGAGGGCCAAAGGAGTGAAGTCCTGCCTGCTCATGCTTGTACCTATAGGCTTAGAAATCATATACATGCTGGCTGAGGGCTTCTCCCATTCCATGAAAAGGGTGGGGTGTGTTGTATCTCACAGAAATGATGGGACACACCAATGAAAATGATGACTCAATAGCCTTGAAGTTTTAACCATTCAAATACAAAATGTGTAAAGTTTGCAGAGATATTGAATATAAGACAAACACAGATTTCAAAAACAAAAAACCAGAATGCTGTTTCACCTCTACCCAAGACATTTAATAATGATAACTGTAACTCCTATGTGGAACTGCAAAAACACTGAAGAAAAGATTAAGCTCACTGCTTGGAAACAGTAGGTGGTTTTCTATCATGAAATAAAGATACATTGAGGAATTTTTGTGTGAGAAATTTATCACTATGCTATTAAATTTGTGAATATGATCAAACTTTATAGAAAATGAGCAAGGTACTGACTTACTCACGCCAATCACTTGGATGCTACAGGCTAATATCCAGATAGAAATATGGACTCTGAAATCAATGAGAAGTTGTTCTGGGACACCTCTAGCCCCTTCCGTTATTTTACAATTCCCCAAACCCTGCATCAGGCAACTCTTGACAGCCCTGAGAGTTTCAACTGATCTTAAGTTCAATGGTCAATGTGTAATCAGGCATCCTAACAGCTATACCTATAGGAAAAACAAACAAGCAAAAACAAACAAAAAAAACCCATGATAGTTCTATTTTAAGCTGATGAGAACAATACACATTCAATAATGTATATTATTGAGGACTGGGCATTGTACTAGGCACCCAAAATTCTATGATGCATTACGATCTGATCCCTACCTTCACAGAATTCAGTTCAGCATGGAGCCAAGTGAACACCAAGGAAATGTAATATGGTATATAAAAAGTACAGAAAGATAAAAGGCATGTGCTAAGTGGTGGGAGAGAGGGCCAGGTTGAGTCAAGGGCATGCACAGTCAAGGATGTCACACTAGATGGATGGTGACAAACAAGGATTAGACCCTGGGAAGCAAGGCAAGGGACCAATGAGTGAACATCACAGAGAATAATAAATACAATCATAATATATGAAAAAGCATTCTAATATTACAGCTACCCAAAATGAAAGGGCTCACTCTAAAGCTTTGGGATGTTGTACTATACTGAGTCCAATCCCTAAGGTCCCTTCTAACTCTGCAATTCTATGACTGACCAATCCCAAATCCCAACACTCCACCCCCAACAAAATGACACAAGAGAAGTTCTCATTTATGTCACAAGCGAATAGACAGAAAATCATCATCTCTCCATCAGTGCAGGTACATTAGCCAAATCCGAGAGCTCTTCTCCCATTGGAAGACCTAATGTAGCCTTAAAAGTAGATACCTACCACAAAGAATGATTTATGACAGATCGGCAATTACGTGTGTTTATTTCATTGAGTTTACTCCTCCTATCACTCCTGGGAAAGAAACTAGGAAAACCATTTGCAAACTGCTAGGGTTTTTTGCTGTTTGCCAAGCTAGACTATATATTAATATTCCCAGTAAAGAGCTTGACTAAAAGTAACTCTTGATATTATAACAACTCTTACAAAAGGCTATTTGCTGCTTCTGAAACAGGAGACTACAGTCATTAATAAGGATAAGCGCAGCTGTTCAGTCCACCACCCCTGAGGACAAGATACATGATTTAACACCTTTTACTTAACAAGGTTCCCAGCCAAAAGAATCCATTTTCATCAGTATGTTTATAAGCTTACTTGCATATTCTAATGGCAACAGTACCAGATGACAGTTTTATAAGTAGATACAAGAGGGTATCATTTCTCCTCTAAGCATATGCCAAGGCATACATCTGAAGAAAATGTTGCCTTATTGTTTATAATGTACTTCAGTACCTCTTTCATTGAAAATTAAGTTTATTCTGAAGCTAAAGTCGAGTAAATACAAATATTCTTGGGCTGGGAGCCAAAGGCTCCTGTGAATTACTAATTAGGTGAATGAAGGGGAAAGGATTTGAACACCAAGGGAGAAAAAAAAATCTGTACATAGATCTACACAGCTAATAGACCTCATCCATTAACCAGCTTCTCCAAAACCAAAACAACCGATCTTCTGACCATCATTCTCACCACCACTCTCTGTGTTAATTATACATCAAAAATAAATCAGTGACATTTTTTGATAATAAAAGTAATGGCAGATTGTACAATAAGCAGAAAGACCCAAAGCTGTGTAGCCTGGGGAGAAAAAAGGGCTTGGAACCCAGAAGTCAATGGTTCCAATCACAGCATTGCCTCTCTCTGGAGTTCTTAATATCATTAGTAACCTTTGATCTCAATTTCTCCCACCTGGAAAATTCAAAGGCTACCCACTGCATGTAAAATTTTTCTATATGGAATAAATAAAACTACACACATAATTGTAAAGGGTTTTAGTGTTCTCAGAAGAGACTAGACTTCAATATTGTTAAATAATTTTTAATTACAAATAGTCCCAAAAGGAAATTTTAAAAAGCATTGAATCAGTCATTCGAAAAACATTTTTTGCATACCCAGTATGTGCCAAGCAGTCTGCTAAATTTGTGGATGCAAAGATAACTCAGCCAAATAGAAAGGTATCCACAGTACCAAGATTTCAAATTACTGGGGAACATGAAGATGAAGTCCGGCAAATTACAACATGACCTATTAGAAGAACGGACAAACTGCTATGGGAGCACGACTTTTGGGGATACCCAACTTTTTCAGTATCACTTTAAGGCAGGAGACAAAAGGTGGTTGGTCGGGTCTTTTTGTGTGTCCTATATTTCTAATAAATCACATTCTGAAATCCAAATTAACATAGTCTGTAATCAACATTAGGACCACTAATATAACTTCAGTTGGAATTAAAGAAATACGGCTCCATGCAATTCTAGTAATCAAAAAAAACATAAAAGAAGAAAATGAGTATAGCTTCCAGAGAAAACCAAAGTAAATCCCAACCAACACTCAGCGATAAAAAGAAAAAAGGAATTCATTTGGAAAAATGCATTCCAGAAGAAATCAGTAAAGAGTTAATAAAGCCTTCTGCAAACTTAAGAGAAAAATATCTCTATAAAAACGTACATGTAATAAGGCTACAGATCATTGGTTAGCTGCCAGAAAAATGATGGAATATGGTATAGTTTACTTATTTCTTTTTAATGGCTCCAACATTCCACCTGAAAAATTGGTCCTGGAGCTGTATAATTGGGGATAAAAATTAAATGACAGTTTCCATTTGTCATGATGAAAGCTGATCACTTGTGTTTTTTCATTTATCCACACTGACTAAAGTGGTTCCTTACGTCTACCAAGCCAATCTTTTTCCGAACAGTGAAAATAATGTTGTTACTAAACTAAAGGGAGAAATGGAATCATCTGTTGGCATCTGAACATACACTTCATTCAGGTTCCATAGTTCTCTGTTCTGTATGTCCACACGACTAGAGGTAGGGGCTAGAGGACAACTTCTGGGAAGTCAATAATGTAATCTGAGACTAGGCCATTGGTCCCATTTTCTTATTTACAAATATTGTGAAATTAAATCGCTAATTTTTCACATTACTAGTAGAAAATCAATTCGCCTCTCTTCCTCATGTTTAAAAGTCAGCTTAAATAGCAAAGGTCAGTAAGCAGATTAGGAACACTAGAGGGAGAAATCAACCATAGCTTCTACGTAAGGAAGATGGGATGTACAAAGCTAAAGTTTGTTGTTGCTGTGACATATTTGCAGGGGGCAGGCACGTGGAGGGGTGAGGAGAGGCTATGTGTGAAGCACAGTAGGGGACTAATGACTATAACATAGTGACAAACACAGTTTTAATCTCAAAACATAAAAAATATGTGTTTGGCTTTTGCTCATCCTGATCTCAGAACGTATTTGGAAGGGGGAAAGCAATTCTCAAAAATGTATTTAAATGACTAAAAATAGATTTATGTCAACCTGTCCTGAAGTATATGCCTTCCCTTTCATTCTAGACTCAGGCTGATTTGGGTTTGACTGGGTTTTCATCAATAACCTCTGTCTAGTAAAGTGTCTCAAAACTAGAGTTGAACTAAGCAATATAACATAGCAGTGATAAGCAGTCGGCTTGGGGACAGACCACTACTTCCCCACTTACAGCTCAGGACCGTGGGCCAGTTACTTAACTGGCTCGTGCCTCAGTTTCTTATATAGACAATAGAGGTAATGAGAAGGCTCTGAATATTAAAGAAATTAGTAAGTATGAATTGCCTGGAATAATGACTAGCACATAGTAAATCCATAATAATGTTATACTATCACTATTATACCATGCAATCATTGTTTAAAAAAAAAAAATCAAAGAACCGTGTAGCCCGAAAGTTACTAACAAGAAATTTAAGGGGCCAGGTTCAGTGGCTCAGGCCTGTAATTCCAGCACTTTGGGAGATTGAGGCGAATGGATTACCTGAGGCCAGGAGTTTGAGACCAGCCTGGTCAACATGGCAACACCCTGTCTCAACAAAAAATTTAAAAATTAGCTGGGCGTGGTAGTGTGCACCTGTAGTCCCAGCTACTTGAGAGGCTGAGGTAGAAGAATCACCTGAGCACGGGAAGGCCGAGGCTGCAGTGAGCCGAGATTGTGCCACCGCACTCCAGCCTGGGTGATGAAGTGAGACCTGTCAAAAAAGAAAAAACGAGAGAGAGAGGTAATACAATTATAACAATGTACTGCTTTAAGACAGAAGAATATGTGCAATCCAAACTTATCAAATAGATAAACTCCAGGGTGATTATTTACATAAAAAGTATTTACTTTATAAAGATTCAACTTGGAAAGGACTTTCCTTCAGTTCAAAAGGGTGATATTACTAAGTGCCTGTTAGATATCTAGTACTACCAGTAATTTAAGGATGACTAAGACAGAGTCCCTGCCTTCAAGGAGCTTACAATTTCATGGGGAATAATAATATCTATCATTTATAGAACACCTACTATGTGCTAGCAAGTGTACAAAGTGCTTTACATATTATTATCATTTTCCTTACTCCTCATCAGAATACAGGGGTCAGGCATTGTTGTTCTTATTTCACAAAGGAAAAGGCTAAGACACAGAAAAATAAATTACTCACCTAAGGCCTCATAACTACTAAGTTCTGAGGTGCTAAGATTCCAACCCTTTTGGGTCTGAGTCCACAGTCACATTCTCACTAGCACATCACACTGCCTTCCATTTATTTGTAATCCAGCAACTACTTGCCAGGGACAGGATCAGCAACTGAAGGCTCACGTGTTTGGAACTGCTGCCAAAAGATGTTAAACTAGAAATAGGCACTGAGTGTTTTTAAGATGAGAGGAGCTTTATAAAGGCCATTCCCCTTTATAGATTAAAGAATGGATAAAAGAACTAAGTCCCAGAGAGGTTAAGTAACTCACCCAAAGTCAAGTGATAAAGGAGTTCTAAAAGTTATAGTGTAAATCAGTATGAAAATGACACTTCTTTTACAAAAATTTGAGGTATGAATCTATTACTCAAAAGTGAGATAAACCTATGTAGCCTAAAAGGGCCACTGCTCTTTCGAAAGAGCAAGGCTGTACCCTCAGCCTCGACTAGGAGACAACCAAGGGTTGCATGTCCTGGAGGGGTATCCCTGAGGAGAGAAGCTAGGTTGAGAAAAAGTAACATTTCAAATAAAAAACCAGGATCCATCATCGTCTGCCCCTACCCTCCAGGGAACCCAATTTGAGACCCCTGGGAGCTGCCAAATGAGCAAACAGGTATGAATCCTGAACTGTAACTGATAATAACACAGCTAAGGTACAGCTAGAAAAAAAGAGGTTTCAGGGACTCCACTAAAGTAGGTACAAACTATTCCTTTAAGTTTCAGAATCTGATATATGGTACAAACATAACAGGTACTCACCTGCATAACTCCCCTCATCTGTAGGACCAGCTGGAAGTGAACTAAATAATGAATAAATAGTGATCTCTAGTATAATACCTAGACAAGAACATATGGCACAACTGCCAGTTTCTAGACTTGTTAGTATCTGTATTCCAAAAAGGCTGATGGAAAGACATGGGCCTTAGAAAATAGCAAATCTAATTTTGAAATGTGAACCTGCCATTTATTAAGTATATGACCCTGAACAAGTCACTTAATCTCTGTAAGCTTAAAGAAATCTTTTCACCTGTAAAATGGGATATATAATCCCATTTCACTACTTCTAGTCTCTTTAGGATTAAAAAAGCAGCAGCAAAGACTTCTGTGCCCATCATCAGTTTATTGCCTCTCAGCTTCAAAATCACCCTTTTTGTCTGCTCTGTGAAAATGGATCTGGGCCCTTCAAATGTTTTTCCTTTACCCTCGGACACAAGGTTAATCTTTATCAGTAGATGGTGCTGGAGGCACTGAAGCTTCTCTAGCATCCATCTACAGGTACACACAGAACTGAGCTTCTCTAGCATCCATCTCCAGGTACACACAGATTCCCCAGTGCCTGGATCCTGCAGAGCAGAGCAGCCAGGAGCAAACGGTGGCTGGTAGCTTTGCTGGCACCCTCCTCAGACAATTTTGTATCAGAGTGCCTCCAAAGAGACACCTTCTCATGAATGGTTTTCCCCAGCATATTAGAGGGTGGAATTCCAGCAAGTTTCACAGCACCACAGCAACTTCTCTGCCACAGTGAGCCATAGCTGTGTCCTCTCCAATACTACCTGGATCTCAGCTTGGGAAAGGTGTTCTTTCTTAGGTGCTCTTTCTTAGCACAGGGTAATGGTTGCTCATTAGATCTGCTGTTTCTACATTCTTTACAATTCTCTTTACTTCTTACTAGCAAGTCCCTCATTATTCCAATACCTTGTTACAGTTAACGAGTCACAGTAAGCTTTCCCTATTCAAATTACTGTGTGGTTCCTCTCTCGACTGCACACAGATTAATACAGTTTTCTAGACCAGTGCCTGGCATACAGTATTCCATAAACAGCACATATCATAAGAATAACTATAAATGATTGAGTACCTCTCATCCCTATTCTTAAAAGGCAATTGTTTCCCTTTCTCATTCTGTTTTGATTAGAATATGGGCGTATTTTGACTATCAAAATTCCTATATGGTATAAGTAGAATATGAATAAGTTAGGGAAAAGTGTGAATAAGTTAGTTCCAATAGTTTCTGCTATAAATCTGATTAGAAAAAAAATGAGGGCTGCCTCAGAATTAACTGTCTCCTTATTCAACACACAGCTTAGAAAATTCTTTCTGCAACTTGCTTGTCTGACCTAAAGACAATGCCACAATGTGTGAAAATGCCTGCTTTTTCTTGCCAAGGATATTCCCAAAATGATCTAAAGAATCAAATTGATTAATATATAAAACATTAAAAAATTAAGTAGTAACCATTTTTTCTCATTTTTCAACTCATAAACTGCAATATTTTGAAAAATTATAGAAAACAGAACATTTCCCAGCCAAGAATAACCCATTAATGTGTGTTGGGGGGTAGGAGGGGGTGGGGTGGGGTGGAGCGCCACTCCCAAGAAAAGAAAAAGAATGGGGTTACTAGCAATATCACAAAGTCAACATGTATTTCCTCCTCTTGCAAATGTACCAGCTTAATTCTTGGGTAAAGGAGTATAAAAATACATTATTGAAGGTGTCATGTATTATTGGCACATATTGTGAAATAAAATTACTATAAAAATATAGAAGATCTCAAATGTATTAAGTTTCTACTTCAAATTCTTTATTTCAATCCTCAGGATTATTCTTCCCATGAAAGAAAAGCTATCACCTTAGACACAATCCCATGTCATCTGTATTTTTACTTCTGTCTGAAAGTCTCGCCTAATTACCAATTTAACAAGGAGCAGAGACCAAGAGGGAAAAAATATCTCATCATCTTTTATGCAGGCACCTTGTCCAATTTCAAGAGCTAACCCCCATCTTAAAACGCCCCAAAATAGATATTGCAAGCCACCAGCGGACCCCAACATAAAGCAAGACTCCTCATTAAAAGTTGGAATGGAACCTGCCAGGTATGCCTGCAGGGATGCTCAACAATAGCGGTTTATATCCCATGCCTTTTTCAACCTAGATTAAATTACTGACAAAATGGACAGACTACCCAAAACTGTGAGCAATACATTTTGCCAATGAAAATAATGATTGTGCTTGGTATAGCACAGATGCTCTCTGCTCAACTTGTCAGCATTTTCAGCTAAGAGGCTCAATGGTCTTACCAGACAACCCTTTCCCTGCCAAAACCAATAAGCCACCTTCATTTCTTAAGCCCCCTCAGGGCTTTGAATTACTATCCATTTTGCACTTAAGGTCAGTCCTGTAAAACTGTGTTTTCCCCCTAGAAGAGTCATAATCAGAAGCAGCTCCAGCCTAACACCAGCCTACTTAAAACTCAGATGGAGAAAATTCAAGAATATGTAAGCTTCTTGTAATTTTCCCCTGTCAGTTTTTCAAATTTGCATTCTTAAAAGTTGCATCTACTGCTTTAGAAGGCAAGGTGCATTTCCCGACAATGCCACCGAAAATGCTTTCGGTGTTTTATACGAAAACATGTATTTCCCTAAGCCAATGTCTAACAGAGGAATATTTCAAAACAGCTAAACTTTATAGTTCCAAACATTCTAGAGAGTTCAACAGTCTCATTATATATTATAGTGACATACACATGTGCACACACATCCCTTAAGTATGCATTTTGCTAGATTTTATTTTT
The DNA here is from genome assembly GCF_000001405.40 of Homo sapiens. Lineage (NCBI taxonomy): Eukaryota > Metazoa > Chordata > Mammalia > Primates > Hominidae > Homo > Homo sapiens. Next base: position 115,449,894 of record NC_000011.10, read on the forward strand.
CATTTTATGCCAGGGAAAACACAATTATGCCATATCTCTTTATAGGAAATAAAACCTTTCCAAGAAAAACAAACCTGGCCATTTTTTTTTTCATTCATTCATTCCATTCATTCACTCATGGAATAACTCCTCACTCTAAAAACCTGCTAAAAACGCTGAATGGAAAAAAAGCTGCTTTCACCCCTCCCTATGTCTTTCCATACAACATGAGAATCAGGCATAGTGATTCTGTTTGACCCAGCAAGTTCAACCACCAAAAATAAGGTCCTTTGCCTTAAGGAGGGGTGTGACAGGTGCTAGTTTCAAGAAATAACTTTCAGCCTTCAGTGGAAGATACTGACAAGAGCACCAATCATAAAATACTGGTCCGCACAGGCCCATCTTTCTGTTTCCTTCACTTGCATCCAAATCCAAGTTTCCAGGCCCAGTCACTCCTACTTATCTTTCTACTTCCAGGCCTCCCACAGTTTTTAACTTCATTCATAGCCTTTATTCCTAGTTCTAAAACTGTGCTTCTATCTTAGTAATATGGTAGGAGGAAACCTGCTAAATGCATCCTTGATGCTGATGTGATCTTTCCAGTTATTGAACGTTTCATTGAATTTTACACTATACAACTTCAAATGCGGAAAGCAGCCAATTCATTTTGTTAACTGTTGTTCAGTATAGATAGCCAGCTCCATAACTATACACTTTGATTTGGTACATGAGAAAACGTATTTTTCATTACATCCCTTATCCTCCTAATGACATTTCCAAACAGGATTTTAAGAACTGTGAAGCAGAAATAAAATTATGCTCAAGTTCCAAAGTGATCTCATGGAATGGAAAATGGCTATCATTGCCAGTGAGTATTAACAGGATTCAAAGCTTGCAAGTTTCTAGTTCAGAAACATTTCTCAAATAACGATCATCTTTCAAATGCTCCTTACGTTACCAATCACAACAGAAATTCTATAAAAGAACTTAAGGGACTATGGTGAGATCTTTCCCCCACAACCCCAATTCCTTTATCCTGTATCCAGAGCTCACCATCAGCTTTGGTGTACCTCCTTCCTTTTTAATCATCAATCAAGGCTAACATTTCAGTTATCTGAATTTACACAAAAACCTAAAGGAGCCATTACATTGCTTCTGTAAAGCTCATTCTGTGGTGACTTTTAAATAGCTTTAAGAATAATCTGGAAATAAAAATACTGCTGTAGCAAGTTTTATGTCTTCTACACACATATGCTAGAGCAATTTCCTTCTCCCAGAGATAGAAGGGAGGAAAATGTCTAAACTTCATAATAAGCAGCCAATTATAGTCAACTGTCATCTTGGTTGTATTAATTATCTGCCTTGCCTAAGTTATCAAGACCTGAAAGAAGCCTAACAGCCACTTATTTTATATTACGATTGTTCCACTATGGAAAGGGCTGTAATTTTTTTGAGGGTCTTTCTGCATTGATACAGGTATGTAAGAATTCAGCACAATCCCAGGGTTTTACCACGTGTAGCCATTTGAAGATACCCGTTAAAGCCACAAGGCTAATTTCCCCTTCTTGATTATCCTACATTTGCTGAGGGCTCACAAAGTAGGAGGTCCCAGGCGAAAAAGGACATAGGTAGCAATTTGTGCACAAGTCCTAAACTTCAGTAAGTTGTATGAAACAAAAACATTATGACATTATTAAAGTAGCAGCAGCAACTACTGTTATTCATTCAAACATCCCCTACAGACCACTTAACAGGTATAGTGTAGTCATTGGCTTCAGTTTAAGACATGAGCAATCCCCACAGAGATTGTTCTTGAAGTAGAGACACCATGACCATGGAAATGGGGGAAACAGTTTTCCTTGCTAATTTAGGCATATAAGAGGAGGTTCCTAACCAGCCTGGGCTTCTTTCCTAACTACAGGGAAACAATCAGAGGAGTCAATATGTATAAAACACCGGTGGAATTAGGATTACACTCAGGAAACCATCAAAAGCCAGTCCCCTAGAGAGTCCTGGAAAGAGTCAGGAGAGCATCTGGGGCTGGAGGGGAAAAAAAAAAACTTTTTGGAAATTTCCTCAAGGCAAGAATGGAGGACCCAAAGCTGGCTGTAACTTCTGGAAGAGAAACCGAGGGAGAACTATTCAAGGAATGAATATGGATTAACTTACAAGATATGTCCTCCCAGGTCTAGAAGGTACTCCATTTACTTGTTAACTATCTTGACCACGTTAATTTCTTTTTTAAAATTTCTAAGGTTTGGCGGGGCCAGCGGGGTGGGGTGGTGGGGTGGGGGGGTGGGGGGGCTGGGAATCATCCACAAAGACAAGCTCACTTACACAAGAAATAAAGTGAAAATCACTGGTTTTGACACCCACTTGTTCAGATGACCCAAGATTTCCTCTGATTATGTGAACCAGACTTTTGTTCCAGTCTCCTAGCCCAGAACCTATAAAATCCATTTGAATTACAGCTCACCAACTGCACTTTAACCCGGAAACTAGAGGTGAAAGTCAAGTGCTTTATCTACTCAGACAAGCAGCTTCTCCCCAGATCAGAAGCGTTTTAATGAAATGAGACTTAAGTGAATTGTTGACATAGGCATTAAAAGTTGTCATTTAATATCAACAGTATGTTTGATTTGTACACAGTTATGAAATGTCATTCGGACCAGAGAGTTATATTGAGGTTTACCACATTATAGGGATGGATTTCCAGAGGGAAGTGAGCTGATCTGTCTCAAAATAAAATGTGTTTACATTAACACTTGGGGGAAACAGGCAGCCCTGCAAACATAGATGGAGAGATAAAAATAAGACCAGCACAAAACTCAACTTGGAAGAATAATAGAATAAAATATAATCTCTAGGCTCTGTGCATATGTAATATTTTACTATACTTTTTTTCCACCTTTTAAGAGATAAAGTACAAAGTTTACATTGGTGAGAAATATCACTTCTGGGTAAAATCTATTATACTTTGGTCTCCAAAATAATTTTTAAGGAGAAAGGGTGGGAGTGATTGACATGGGGATGGAAGAAAATACTCAGGAGGTATCATTGCTTTCTTGAAAGAAAAGCCAAACCTATAAGCATGTAATGCTTTGCAGTATAAATATATATAATTAGATAAATTTTATCTAACTAACCAGGTAGATAAAATTACATTACTAGTTAGTCTAGGTGTGATAGAAACATTCTGGCCTCATAGAAAAGGAAGCACTCGACCAGGTGCAGTGGCTCATGCCTACAATCCTAGCACTTTGGGAGACTGAGGCAGGCAGACCGCTTGAGCCCAGGGGTATGAGACCAACCTAGGCAACATGATAAAACTCCATCTCTACAAAATTTACAAAAATTAGTCGGGTGTGGTGGTGCATGCCTGTAGTCTTAGCTACTTGGGAGATGGATTGCTTGAGCCTGGGAGCTCATGGCTGCAGTGAGCCAAGATCAAGGCTGCAGTCCAGCTTGAGTGACAAGAGTGAAACCCTATACCCCCCTCGCCCCCAAAAAAAACCAAAAAAAAAAAACAAGAAAAGAAAAGAAACAGCAGCACTTATCACGGGCTATGTGCCTTGAACTGTTTTCTCCAGAAGTGGCTATGAGTTAGGCCAAATAACTTACTTGTTGTCATTGTTTTTGTTTTTGAGACAGAGTCTTGCTCTGTCACCCAGGCTGGAGTGCAGTGACAGGATCTCGGCTCACTAAAACCTCCACCTCCCAGGATCAAGTGATTCTCCTGCCTCGGCCTCCAGAGTAGCTGGAACTACAGGCATGCCCCAACACACCCAGCTAATTTTTGTATTTTTAGTAGACACGGGGTTTTACCATGTTGGCCAGGCTGGGCTCAAACTCTTGAGCTCAAGTGATCTGCCCACCTCGCCCTCCCAAAACTTACTTTCTTATCACAAATCCAAGTCAAAGAGGTAGAGCCTCATCAAGTATTTCCTGCCATGCTACAACCTAAAAAATGAAATTTAAACACTGTAATAATTCCTTAGTGTCAAGATTAACTGACTCAGCTAAACAAGCACTGGCACTTTTGGGAATGGATTCACTTATAAGATATATCCTTCTAGGTCTAGAAGGTCCTCCATTTGCTTTATGCCTTATCATTTGACATGAGAATAGAGATGAAAGAGAAGTTCATTCATTGGTCATTTTTTCTAAAATGTTCTTTAAAAAAAAAATAAAACAAAACAAAAAAAAAACAAAGCCTTGCCTCTTCATGGATTTGGAAGCAAAATTAACAAAGGTCTCTCTTTTGGAGAGTCTAAGTCTAAGCAATTAAAGTTGACTCTAAGGAAAACTTGAAGGGAGCTCTTGCAGCATAAAAAAAAAGTGATGAGCTTTTGTTTACAACAGATCTTAATTCTTTATCTTTCACTTGAGGAAGCTGTAAGGTCTTTGGCACTTGGCTAAAAATAGCAGAAGTAAAACAGGTGACAAAGATGAATAGCTCCCAGAGACACAATTCAAAGCAGAGGAATTTAAGAAAAACTTCAGTAGTGCCTGCAAAAGATACTTTCCTGCCAGGTAAATCAAAATGGAAGTAAATTCCTCCTCTTGGGACAGAATCACAATTTGCCAGACAGACATTTCTCTTTCAACATTTCATGTTTACTGTAGGGCTAAATTTTTGAAAATACGTTCATCCTCTTAAAAGCTGGTTTTGCTATAGGGTCAAAAGAGTTTCATTGTAATCTCATAAAATGTGAAGATCCTACATCATATCAAGTTCCAAATTCTTTGAAAGCTACTGGCAAAATGGCAAACCAAATGGACTTAACATACATACCTGCTGTCTCTGACTAAAGGCCAGGATTCTCCCATCCATGGGCAAGGTCCTATCTTCTCTTGGTGCAGCCAATAAGGCTTTGGTCTTTCCAAGAGTTCATTTTAGGTCAGGCAAACAGGATTTGGTCAAAGATCAATTCTTCAGTCAATTTCATCCTAAAAGATGTGCCTCGTACAGGAGCTTATATTGTATATCTGTCCATCTATCTTAAGGGACAAGTGTGGCACCCTATCTTCTGGTATTTTAGAAAGAAATCATTTCCCTTTCTCTCCCAGTTTCCTTGCCAGCCCATAAAATAAGAACTTTCACCTTCTTGGAAGTGCTGGAGAGGAAATTTCTAAACCTTCCTTCAATCCATAATGATAGAGTGAATAACTTCTCTAATAGGTGAGACTGGAAAAAGCCTCAAAGGAGTGGCAGTGAATCCTTTCTAGACTCTTTATCAGATACATTCTTTTCTTTTTTCAGATTCTTGTTATTAACATGGCAAGTCCTTGTTGGATCTCATCAGCTACTAGCTTGAGGTTTCCTTCGTTTCCAACCAATTGCAAAATCAAAACAGAAACTTAAAAGACCGCATAAAAGATGCTTTAAAAATCACGTGCAACTCCCACTGAAAAATTCATGTATTTCTTTGGATGTCTTCAGTGAGTTTTGGGAAAAAAAGAAAAAAAAGTGGAGGGTGGTGGCAAAAGTATCTCTAAGAAAAGAGGTACTTCAAAGGCAAAAAAAAAATCATATATATATATAGAGAGAGAGAGAAATATTGGTCTCTGGTAGAAAATGCCCATATATATCTCTAAATAGTAATGTACTAAGAACTCAAAATGTAGATGAAGCCCCTGGAATGTTCAGTGACAATTGCAACTGTGGAAAAGATTCCAGTAGAGTCAAGTTTCTTAAGAAATTCTCTGAATATGCCAGGAAAGTCACACATGTTCTGTGGCCAGAGTAGCCAACACTCACACCTGATGAGCCTTGTCCCTAACTAAACAAAACAACTTTAAAATAACTTCCCTACAAAAAACAAAAAGAGACAGTCCCTTCAAAAGCTCCTCCCCCTAAGAGGAAAGAACCTGTTAATTTGCTATGTGGCCAACATGGTGAAGTACTTCACAAATCGCTGGTTCATTAGCATTTCTATCCACAACTTTGTATTCAAAGATCAAGTTGACAGCAGCGTGTTGCGTGCTCTGCATTCTTATTTGGAAATGCCAATAACTGGCGGGATCCAGAAGCAACTCCAGGGTTCAAATAAGTTCCCTCTGAGAAGTGGAGCCTTTCATGCTGAACATCCTACAACTGGCATAGTGGCACAGTTCTAAAGAGCAAAAAGAATGGAAGTTGATGTCCTGAGGTGATTAGTTTCTCTCCTGAGCACTTAACTTTTTAAAATTAATGATGGTAAAGGAGCCATAATCTTAATAGTTTCCAGCAAGGATCCAACATGTTTGAATCAAGTATAGTAAAACAAATGTGGGCCCTTAAAGATAATACACCCAAAGATGCATTATTGCCATTAAAGGAGATAAACAGTAAGAACTGGGTAGATGAGGCAATTACTTGCATACTTACCAGATATGAATATACATAAAAGTATGTGACTTAACCATTCTGTAAGACATTTTAAAAGACACTGATACAAAAAAAAAACTGCATATAAAGTAAAATTAGGAGGTAACATTTAGATTCTACATACTTGATAGGGTCAGGGAGGAGAATAACTACACTTTAATTTTTTTTTAATTACAGTCACAAGTGACATATATACAGAGGCTAAAGTACAACCTCAATTTGATTTTATATAATTTTATCTTAAGTCAGATGAGTTTGAGTAAAAATGTTTAAGTAAAAAGAACATTATAAAAGTCTCATTAAATTATCATTAAAGGCTTAGCACTTGTATATATAGATAAGACATAGGACTAGTTGAATGTTACAGTAGAAAGAGCACTGGATAGGAAATGCAAAAAACCTGGACTTTAATCCTGGCTCTTCCACTAGCTGTGTGATTTTGGGTAAATCACTAAAATCCCTTATAAAATAGAGACAGTAATCCCTGTCTGCCACATAGGATTTTTGCAAGGATCAAGTGAAATAATGTATGTCATGTGTATTATAAACCTCAAAAACACCATATCAATGTAATATTTCCAATTATATTAATGTTAAGATTAGGGACACTGGAACATTAACAGGTTCCCAAATAACCAAGCACTTTCTAGATTTCAAACCTACTGTTGATCATGCTGTTCCCTCTGCTTAAAATGCTTTGCCACTGCCAGACTATCAGCTCAGTAAGGACAGGAACCTCTGTCTTATCCACCTGTTAATTCCTGATTGTTAACATAGTACCTAAGTGCAGACTTCATAGTTACCACATACTGAGTGCCTACTAATTGCCAGGTACTATATATTAAGGGCTTCTACATACATTTCCTTAATCTCCTCCACAACCCTAAGAGGTGGCTTACAAAAGAGAAAACTGATCCTCAGAAAGGGTAAATAACTTTGCAACGGTGACAGAGCCACATAAGTGGCAGAGTCAGAATCCAAATCCAGTCTTTCAAATTCCAAAACTGTATTCTTTCCACTCTGCTGTTTTCCTCTGCACATTAGAGGTGCTCGATAAGTCGAATCTGGTAAAAGTGTGCATTTTAACCATAATATACATAAAAAGACATTACTCAAAGTATTTGGATACAATCTAAAATTTCAAACTTGACTTTTAAAATCCATGGACTTAGCCAGGGTAAGAACTCCAAAAGATGTTGCTGGATTTGCAGATATATCAAAATACAAATGAGAAATTCATTCTTAGTTAGCCAGCACAAAATGGGACTGAAAATTCTGAGTGAGGGGTAGGAGAGAAAACCCAGAACCTTTTGTCTTGCCAGCAAATCCTTAAATAATTCAGCTCCCATTTATTTAAATAATTAAGCAATTGCAACTTTATTTAAAGAGCACTTACATGAATCTAAATGTCTAGGCTGCCAAGAAAAGTGGAACAGACTTTAAAACCTCCCCCCTATACCTCCTTTCTGAGCAGAAAACCAGCCTAAGGAGTTTCAGCCTGATAGGTAATTGTTTTGTAAAATTAAAAGTCACAGAAAATTGGAGTTTAGAATGGGAAAATGTCATCTCAACCGTAACACTAATAAAAACGGCTAATGAATAAGTGCATTCTGGCAAGAATATATAAAAACTGCAAAGCCCAATGTGGACAGTATGGAATACAGAAGGAATACATGTGAGTAAACATAAAATGAGGGATTATCCTTATTTGTGAAGAATCCATTCCAGCAGGAAATTGAACTAGAGACCTTTTGCATCCAAGAGCAGCATGACTACCTGTGGCGTTTACAGAAAATATTTATGGGTGTACTCTTCTCTTTCCCCTGTGGGTCTCAGCTGTGGAAGCAATAAGCTGATGTTTGGGGGATACTAAAGTCTCTCTCTCTCTCTCTCTCTCTCTAATTACACTGAGCTCTGATTAATTTTCAAAAGTATAAATGCTCATATGTAGTGAGGAACAACGTAACTATAATTATAAAGGCTTTAAAACAATGAGCTATGCTTTACCAATATGTTCTACAGCAAGCAGCAAAAGTGAAAAGCAACTGAGATCATCACATCCCAGCTTTGTTAGGTGTGTGATCTTCAAACAAGAAAATGTAATCTATCCAATGCTCAGTTTCCTCATCAGTAAAATGAGGATAATAGTAGACACTAGAATAGGGGTGAGAATTAGATAAGACAATAAATGTAAAATGTTTACTTAGCAGGGTGCTTGGCAGGCAGTAGGTATTCCTAAATGTTAGCTGTAATTATTATTATTATTATTATTATTATTATTATTATTATTACATTATACCCTGCCCCTAGTCCATGCAAGCATTTTATCTTGCAAGCTAGACAAAAGTCCCTGGAATCCACTGGAAAGTCCTATATAAGGGGAGAGTGTTTTCCCCCCATCCACATTTAGCATTGATCTCATTTCTAGGGGTTCAGTAACCACATACCTCTTCAGGAATACCACTTCTGTGGCTTGTAATCTAATGCATGTACCAATAACATCCCACCAGACATAATTTCCATTAACAGGTCCTCCAGAATCAGATAAAAGACTAGCCCAGATATCAAACTCAACTGATATTTCCATTTACATATTTCTAAGTTAAGGCATACATCCTCACAAAGATCTAATAGATTTTTTAAATTAATCAAAGCCCTTCAAAGTTAGAACAGAGTAGATACCCCTTTTCACTTCATCTTTGCATACAACGCATAGCAAGGCTTCACAATTCGGTTAATCACTCATCATGTAAACAAAGAAACCTCTCGAGAGCCAAAGAGCAACATGTGCATGGATTCATGATGCATAAGGGTTTTTAAAACAGGAACAATGCAATCTATTCACCAGAGAAGAGTACACTGTGCCAATTAAATATGTTGGGTTCCATAATTATAACTGCAATAATGAATGGAAAGGAGTGTTATTGCTGCACAATGCACTTCTGTATTCCGGTCAGTGATCTGTCTCTGGTCTGATTCCTTCAGATTTTCCTCTGATTAGATCTTACTGCAGATTACTCTCTACTATCAGTGTATTACGTGTGTTCTCCCCACCCAACAAAAGGCCTAACTTTCACAAATAACTAAGGTGAAAATATTCTATTCCCTTGATAGAGTTTTATACTTTTTAAACATTGAATTTATAGCTACAATGTCACAATTACATTTTCCAAAGAGAAATGAAAAAGCTATGAATAAATTTTCACTCAGACCTGCCTTTCTCTCAAGAAAAGAAATGTAGAGATCTTCACCCATCCCCTTTGCTTCCCAGAGAGAGAGAGAGAAAGAAAAGAAAGAGAGAAGAAAGTGAAAAAAAGAGAGAGAGCATACTCTGAGCAAAGATAAGGAGGCTCTTACTTCCCTGCTGGCAGTCCAGTCTAATGGTGGCATGGACCAGTTGATTCTTTCCACCACTAGTGAACCTGAAGAGACTAAATTGGAAGGATTGAAAAGACTTTCACACACAAAGTTAATTCAAAATGGTTTAGTCACTACTTGCAACCATCTCAGAAATCTGAAGAATTTCATTCTGGACCATATGTGCATATGGTTTTCTCTTATCCTCACACACTTATGCTTCAGTGGGTTCAATAAATTTTAAAAATAAATTACCTCCTACTACTTCACCATAACACTCAGACTTTCTGGCCTTTCCATACTCAGGCCAGACTACTTCTGTGTGTTTATATATAATTTGTTTAAGCTTCTATTAAACCCTCTACTGATTTCCCACAAACAGGATTTAAATTTTGGAACTGAAAATGTACTTAGGTGCTTTGGAACCTGCAAAGCAGATCTGAACACCTAGCACCCTTTTTTTCTAGTTGGCAGGTAGACTCACAAAAAAGATTCTGTTTCTAGAGAAAGCCCCCCTACCTTCCAAACCCCCTCTCCTGAGGTTTAGGCTATCGTAAGCTTCTCAGTCTTACTTCTGGGCAGCAATTGCTGCCGCACAGCTAGTCTACACAAGGGTTGAAGGACACCGCACACCCACCCTTTTAATTTCAGTTTGCTCTCTAACGCAAACCTTTTCCCTTTGGCCATGGGTATTGGTTCACACAACGTGAACAGCTCTTAAAATCAGTCCCAAAGGCCAGGCTTTTCAGGTGCTAGAAGTATGTCACACAATACAATATTTACAAATAGCCCAAAACAATACAACTCAACTACACACAGCTTTACTAGCTTGACAAAATCCTCTCCCACAAGTAACCAAGGGCTATAGAAATACTTGGGCCAAAAACCATGCATTAACCTTTCGCTACTGGATTTACATAATTTTCTCTGAAGATCTCTAAATGCACTGTCACCAGAATTGTTTTAAGTGGCAATAAATAATGGAACTAGAAATGATAATAACAGCCCTAATAATAACAAAAGTTATTTATTGAGTAATTAACATGGTGAAGCATCATACTTTCTTTCTCTAATGTACCTCTTATTCTCCCTTTTCTCAGCTCTGGTGACAGTACTGCCATGATTCTGGCCTGGGTCACTGGAGGTAAAAGTAACTTTATACTGCCTATGCACTAGAAAGAAAGAAAAAAAAAAACACAAGGAAGCACTTATATCAACTGGACACTGGCTCAATGTTTTCCATTTTTCTTTTTCCTGAAATCCATATACAGCCACAGCCTTGTTCCTTTCAAGTACGGATTAATTTATTTCAGGTTCTGGGCCTATGAACCCATGCTAATTTGCATGGCTAAATAGAAAGGCTCCAAAAACAATTAGCAAAAGATCTTTAGTAGGAAGAGATCTTCTAAGCCTGCTAACCAACCTGAAGTAAAATTTCAGTGTAGGCATTCATTCATTCAATACAGATTTACTGGGTTCCTAACGTGTACCTGGTACTGTGCAATGGAAATGGAAACACACACACACACACACATACTTGTATTATATAATAAGTATATATATAATAAAGCTCCCAATCTGTCAATATTTGTGGTTTAGTAGGGTGATTTAAAACTCTAAACATAATTGGATAGTATACATCTCACAAAAAATAATAATGTAGTTGAGATAAAGCAAAGGTTGTCAGGGAAGGTGTCATCTTCATATAGGAAGGTAAAGGGTAAATAATATCTCAAAGAATGGATATGGGAGAAGATAAAAGCTGAACAAAATTCTTAAAGGTGAGAAACTGCAAACTGTGGAGAATCGCAAGTTAGGAAAACAGGTGAGCAGCTAACGGGGAATGGTATAGACCACAGCCATGAGGGAATAAGAAACTGACCCTGAGCAAAGCAAAAGGAAGTCCGGATGTAGGCAATGTTTTATTACCAAGGTCAGGAAGATCTGGCAACTACTTGCACATGAAGCATGAAAAGAAGATGAAGATGTCTGCAGAGATTTAGGTTCAGGGGCTGCCTAGGTGAACGGCGGTGAGCTATGAAAGGAAAAAGAAATGAATATGGATGAACCTGTTGAGGGACTTGCTTTTTGGTGATGGCCATAGGGGCAGCCTTTCTAATTTGGGGTTTTGTATTTTGAGTATATTTGTATATTTGCTTGGGAAGTGAGATAGTGAATAGTTGGAGGTAAGCTCTTTTTTAAACAGGGAAGTTTGAGAGGGCAGGGGGACTCCCAGGGGTAGCAGGAACAGCAGGTAGTTGACAATGCAGTTCAGGAATTTAAAAAAAGAAAAGAAAAAAGTTGGGCTGTAGGGAAAAGCAACACTTGAAGTTGTGAGAGGGAATAAGATCTAGAACACCAAAGAGAACCCATGGAAAAAGGGAAGCAAATAACCGAGGACAAAACACTGGGAAACATTTAGCCGGTAGAGGGAGAAAAAAGAGCTAGCCCAAGTGCTGCCAAATAATGCTATCCAAAGAGGTACAGGCAGTGCTGCAGAACAAATGGAGGAATTTTTAAATGGAAACAGAAGTTAATGGTGCCAAATACTGTGGGGCGGGCAAAGAAGATAATGCTTAACTAAGGGCCACTGATGCTTGGTGACCTTCGAAAGTTTCATTTCAGTACAGCGGAGGCAGCGGCAATTAAATCGTGATCTATTTCAGAAAGCTGACTGCTTCCGCCGGACAAATGAATGGCTGAAAAGCAGCCCAGGAAGAGGCGAGAGTTAAACCGGAAAGGAACCGCCTTGCATATCACCTGCACTACATACAGGGCTAAATGTGAGCACCTCGGGTTATCTGTGAGTTCTCCCACTCGACAGAGTGACGCTCCTTTGGCTGAATCACCCAATCTGGCTTGCAGGCCACCGTGACCTGTGCTCAGTAAGGTGTACCGACATCATCAGCGGCCTCTGCTGACAAGTGCCGCATCTCATCTCACACAGAATTAAAACAGATAACACCAGAGCAGAGCCCCATGAACCTATTAAATATTCCACAAATAATTTATTTTTGATGTGGAGGAGGAGGAGGGAGGAAAGTAAGGGACATTAGAAAAACATGATTATGTTGAAAAGTATCTGAATATCAACGAGGTAAGGGTTATAATCACAACAAGACTTAATTGTTCTGTCCAGGCAGAGGCTGGGAGCCTATTTCCCTGACTTTCAAGGCAGGAAGGTTTAAGAGAGGCCCTTCCAGTTTGCGTGGCAGTCTATATGGCTAGCACCTAGACCATCCTCTTTTAAAAGGTCCACACATAAGAAAGGCAGTGGGATCAAGAATAGAAAGGGGAGAAAGAAGGAAAGGGGATGAAGCAGGATGAAGAGGGATGAAGTAGTAGGTGCCCACTAGGGAAGGGGATGGTGACTGGGAAGAAAGGGGAGAAATAAATTGAGCTAGAGCTCATGGGCTCCTGTAAAATAGGCACTTGGAGATAGCTGGCAGGAGTAGCTTTACTTCAGCATGGTCTCTACCCCTTTAAGAATCTAGTTTTAACACAGACTCTCCCCAAAAAAATGCATGCAAAATATTGCATGTTATTTCTGGGGACTCACCAACCTCCTGAAGGCTATTGATTGATCCTATGGACCCCACTCTGGAAGCCCTCTGCTTTAACTCATCAAACTTATTTTTTCAGCACTTAGACACCTCTGACCACAGCCCTTGAAACAATTCTATCCCCACCTCAGTTTACTAATGTCTTTCCTCCAGAAAAAAGAACAGCTCAGACTAGCTACCAATGTCAACATTTGTTAAAACATATAATATTTTTATATCCTGATTTAAATAATTTCTTAGGTGCCATTCACCTCTGGTTTAAAGAAAAAATCAATTCAAAGCAAAAACTGATGTCACTGTGAGTTCTTTTCACCTAGACACAGCAGACAACAAAACAACCTCAAAAGAGAATGAGATATATATGTACATTCCTGTTTCAGAATTGTATTATAGGAAACAATACAGATTTGCCTTCCTTTCCTTTGTAAAAATCCAGGTATCTGACATTTCACTGCCATTGGGTTCTCCTATGAAAGGTTATGTTTTCATAATGGAAAAATTCTCACTGACCCAGTGGGGTTTCTACTTCCTTACTCATCAATTACAATCATCTGCAAATTTCAGCTTGCTTTAGTGAAGTACAGCTAAGTGTTTTAACGCTCCCAACCTGCAAAGGAGATAAGACCAGTAAAATGTCACATCCATTTTGTTATCTTTCAATCTACACCTGGAGCCTGAAAACAAAAAGCTTTTTTTTTTTGGGCCGGGGGCGGGGTGCAGCCAAATTTTCTATAGAAATAGATCCTCAGCTTTCCAGCTGCCAGGTGCAAATTAATTTTTCTCCCAATTTTGGCCCAATTGCCACTTGCAAGAAATGCTATATTATCCCATAGGCCTTTAAGTCCCTGAGATGAAACATCTTCAATTCAGACCTTCCAGTCTTGTTTGCTGAAGTCTGCTGACAGAGACTGGAGACAATCTGCATCTATTCCCTTTTCCTTTACATTGAACCAATTAGCAATGTTAAATATTTAACACATTAGTCTTATTTCACTGAACAAAACAATCCACAAGCAGCCTAGGTAGTGGCAGTTCAAGACAGGAAATGGATCAGATGTGGAGAAAACCGAAGGAAGGGAAAAGTATGTTATAGGTGCGTGTGTATTTTAAAAAATATAAAAGTCTATTCACAGTTCACTAAAGATGGATTGCTTGTTTCTTTCCTTCTACTGACAGGTCCTGAATCTTTATGGAGAACATTAAATTAAAGCGCATAATAGGTTTATGTAGTGTACTGCACGTTGGAGACATTAGTCATGTCCCTTAAGCATTTTTCTCATTTTCTAAGCCTGACTTAAGCTCCATTTCCCCATTGATGAGGGAAGGCCAGACTAACCCACAATCCACATCTGCAGTCTGGTGTGCCATTTTTTATATTTGTCAACAGAGGCTGTGTCCTAAACTCAAAGACCTCATAGATTATTATATTTCTGGCATGGTTTACAGAAACCAGTGTAAAGCTAATAGGGTCATTCAAGTGGAACTTTTTTGTTTTTCACTCTTCCCTCTTCAAAACACACTGTGGCATTAAGGGGGAATAAAAAGAGAAAAAGAAAACAATTTACAGTTGTCTTGCAGAACCCTGACTGAATAGATGAGTAGGGCAATTTCTTCTCAACCACATAGGCCAAATTTATATGTAATACAGCCAGAAGCTTTGAACCAACAATACCAGATCACTTAAAAGATGTTGCTCAGTTATTCTAGAACATTCTATGCCAGTATCAGCATCCTTTATCGATCTCCTAATCTGGTACCATGTTTTCAAGAAATTTCCAGGAGGCACTCCTATCTACTGGGCATCAAGTTTACAGCATTGTTGGGCTGACCCAGAGGAATGCTATTTAAAATATACACAACCTGTACAACCACTTATCTGGGCATCTAGGCAAATCTGATGCTAATGAGGAAGCTGAAAAGAACAGGTTGCTTGCCATGTACCTAGATTTCATTAGCATTATACAGACTCCTGCATCATATTATTTTTATTGTGAAATAATTAGAGCCGTTGATCTCTGCCTATGAGTGCTACTACCTCAGCATACTACATCCGGGCTTGAAGAAAAAGACATTTTGATAACAGTCAAAGAGAAAAACAAGATTACTGCAGCAAGATTACCCAATAACTTACTGCATGAATTTGGGCTAGTCTCATTATATCCTAGATCCAAAAAGCTCCATATGATGAACTTACTGGTTCTAGATAGCTCTGTTCTGAGTGACATGAGAGGTGTTTAGTAAACTTACAATCAGTAGAAATAAGATGTCTAGTTAATGTCTTGGCATATGACACCCACAACCTTTCCCCAGGTATTAAAAGAAGGAAATAAATGTATTTAGGTTACAATAGCTAACACTAATAGAGCCCTTACCAAGTACCTTCTACCATGAAAAGCATATAGATATAAAGATAGTCCCATGACCTCATGAGATAGATATTATTATCCCCATTTTACAGACAAGAAAACGAAGGTTCAGGCAGGTTAGGTTACTTGCACAAAGTCGCACAGTCGATATCAGAAAAAGACAGATTTTAATCCTGAAGAGACTTACTTCAGAATCTGCCTCCCTTAGATTTTTTTTCCCCAAGCATTCAATTTTGATGAAACAGCCTCTATAACTTTTTACAGGCAGGAAAAGTAGAACCAGTGTTGTAAGTTTTAACCTGGGAATTTGGAATGCCTTTGCCTAGGTTTTTCTTAATGTTTTGATGAGCACCACTGGCTTTAATTCTATAATAGAATTCTGCTAAAATGGATAACAAGTAATTTACAGACTTCTAGTTCAGAGTGAGCAACAAACATGACTTCCATGTATTCAACCCATAATGGATTATAAGACTCCAGCAATGTGACTATGATTTTCAGAGAATGTTCATTTAGCCATACAGGTAATTAGTAATTTGTTATTTAGTTTCTGGTAAAGACATGATGAGCCAAAAAAGCTATGAAAAAAAAACTTCCACCATTTCCCCCACCCTGTGGCACCCCAAAATCAAAACTGCAATGACTTGTAGCATCGTAAGTCTGCAACAGTTCCTGTCCACCAGAGTGAATGAAGGCAGAACTAGTTTGACATTTCCTGCTGGCTGTGATTAGAGCATCTTTTAATGAAGCTCACTTCAAATCATTTTAAATCCATTTGCTCATGTCAACATCAATGTACTCAGCATTATCTACCAATTAGTAAACCGGAAAATATTCTTTAGATAATCTGAAATCTCAGTAAAATATTCAGCATGCCATTCATTTACTACAAACTGCCCTGTAAAAACAAATTAGCAAAACCAGCTGTCACAGGACAACATAAACATCCATTAATACAACCCAACTACTTCAGTCGCTGGCTAAGGTTTTTCAGGAAAGAGAAAACATGGTGGAAATATAAATCAACAAGACTTTCAAATGTTTAGCACGTGTCTTCAGAATAACATGTTGCACCAATATTAAGGTGTGCATTTACCTTCCCCATGTGTGAGATCAAATTTGGACGAGGAAGAAAAGGGTTAAATGAAACACTCTTCAAAATTCTTTCAATTAGGATCTCGAGTTTTTGTGCTGCAATAAGTCTAGAAGGCCAAAAGAGTTCTAACATTTGTCATGCTTCATAAGGATCAGAAATATCAAAGAGCATGAAAGCTGACCAAATATGAATATGATTATGATTATGCAAAGGAAAATCAATTGAATCGTAGGTCTCAGATTTTGCACAACCCACTTATATACACTGCGGAAAGCACCACCCGAACTTACAGGAAACCTGTGAGTACATCACTTACCAGCCAACATTGACTCGTCCTTTCCACAAATCAGCCTGACAAAATTCTATAATTTAAATATGGCAATATTTCAATAGCCACCTTCCACTTAGGACCCTTTCAGTATTTTTCATTTTAATGCATTAGTTATAAATAAACTGCGGCAGCACCTGTTAAGAGGGATTAAAAATGCTTTTATATTATGAGAGACCGGGTGAGAGCTTGTTCTCTGATGAAGACACTCATGATATGCACAAGACGTCTGTAGTGGAGGAGCAGTATTCTTCAACAATGATTTCGATTTAAGAATCTAAATTAGGCTTCAGTCACTGATGACTACTTCTACCTTCTAAACGATAGGGAACACTTCAGAGTGGGTACCTAACACAAAAACTGCCAATCATGAACTGGAATGAGCTCGAATACGCAAACCCAACTGATTGAAGATAGAAAGGCTTGAAGGTGCAAGGCTGCTCTTTCCTCAGAAGAGCTATGATCCCAAAATGATGGATTAAAGTACCAGAACCAGTACACAAGATGACCACAACAGTTTCACAAAATATTTCCTAAATGCTCATGGGGCCACCCAACTATGAAGCTGTTCAATTTCCAGGACATTTCCATTCTGAGATGCACTAGGCATATTAAGGCATAAAGAAATAAATACACTTGAAAACAGGTGGCGTGTCCCTCAGCCCCTCCTCAAAGGCTGTGTTGAGCATGGAAAAGAGAGAAGCCGTAACAGGGACCACTTAGGCTAAGACCATTGTAATTTTAAAATTGTCTCAAAGGAGAAAAGAAATCTACAATACTCTCATCCTATTCTGAGTGAATGAGTTTACAGGGTTTTCTCCTTACTCTTCAGCAAGCCAAGGCAAACGCCTAAGGACCTTTAAACAAAAGAAAAAAAATCCAAAGAACTTTAAAAATTTTTTAAATCACATACCCAGTCACATCCATACATCCTCTGGAGAGAAGTCATAAAGTTGTCTAAAGTTTACATTTCTCTTCTTAACATTAATTATTAAGAAAAGCATTTCATCTTGATTATAGCCACCAATAAAAGTGAATATATTCTATAAGTACAAAATTTCATAACCAGGTGCTACACTCAGCTTACGGTTTGCATATAGAAAAAGATGTAATAAAACAAAAGCATTCTGTATCTGGTATCTACAAGAAAGATAAGTAAACTGTAATGATAATTTACAATTTTGCACATTTTAATTTCCTACTTCCAGTGTTTACCAAAATTTTATTTAACAGTAAAATAGATTTTGTGAAATAGATACATGTTCATTGGGGGAAAAAATCAAGACACAGAAAATTACAAAGAAGAAAAACTGTGAGCATCACAATCTCAGTCTTATATTCCCAGCACCACGTTACATGAGATGAGACGGGTGCACTGGAAAGAAAAAAGCTTGAAGATAGTAGATTTGAAGCCTTCTCCAAAATAATGAAGACTCTCCTAGAACAGGTGAGTTGTGAAATCCAGAAGAAAAGAACAGACAAAACTTCATGAATAGGATATTTGTTAAAATCCTAAAAGACTTCAATTTTAAAGAAAGGAATTAACAACAGTTTCATGAAAATGGCCAAGGTACCTTATGTCTTACAGGGGTGTGTCTGTGTGAGTGCTGTGCATGTGTTTTTTAAGAAAGGCAAAAGGGTCTATGGATAATGGAAGGGGGACAGCACCTTACTGTAGTTTTGTGGGTTTTGAGTTTTTAGAAAGAGAAATCATACAGGCATGCTCCAAATTTTCATTTATCCCAAGGTTAGTAAATGAACATAAGTCTACAGGAAAACCCAGACTAGGGCATGATACCTGTATTAGTCTGTTCTCATGCTAATAATAAAGACATACCTGAGACTAGGTAATTTATAAAGAAAAAGAGGTATAATGGACTAACAGCTCCACATGGCCAGGGAGGCCTCACAATCATGGCAGAAGGCAAAGGAGGAGCAAAGTTACGTCCTACATGCAGCAGGCAAGAGGGCATGTGCAGGCAAACTCCCCTTTATAAAACCATCAGATGTCATGAGATTTATTCACTATTAAAAGAACAGTACAGAAAAAAACCCACCCCCATGATTAAATTACCTCCCACCGGGTCCCTCCCACAACACGTGGAAATTATGAGAGCTACAGTTCAAGATGAGATTTAGGTGGGGACACAGCCACACCACATCAATACCTAAGATGCAAAATATACATTCTGCACTATTGAACTCTTATAGAAGCTCTGATTTCTACTTCTCTAATTATAAATATGGCTAAGTATACTCACCTTTCATATAAAGCACTTCAGCCACTCCTCTATAAAAAATAATAATAGCTGACATTTACCTACTTACCTAGCACCTTCTATGTCCCAGGCATTGTTCTAATAGTTTTACATATATTAACTCATTTTAATACAACAACTCTATGAGGTGGATGCCATTATCCTTCCCCATTTTATAAATGGAAAGACTGAGGCTCAAAGAGATTGAACAACCTGACTGAGATCATGTAGAAAGGAAGTGGCAGAATCAAGGTGTGAAACCAGGTGGTCAGTCTCTTGTTCCACATAAATAAGCTGTGGGAGGCAGTGCTTTAGGATGACATGAAACTGTAAATTGTCTACATGCATTAAACCGTTTCAAACTACTCTGCTACTTGGTTCTTTATTTAGTTTTTATTCTTTTCCTAATCATGAGGAAGTGAAACTTTTACATAACCATACTATCCTCAACTTCTGGGCTTTTTTTTTTTTTTTTTTTCGAGACAGAGTCTCTCTCTGTTGCCCAAGCTGGAGTGCAGTGGCACTATCTCAGCTCACTGTAACCTCCGCCTCCCAGGTTCAAGAGATTCTCCTGCCTCAGCCTCCCGAGAAGCTGGGATTACAGGCACCCGCCACCATGCCCAGCTAATTTTTGTATTTTTAGTAGAGACGGGCTTTCGCCATGTTGGCCAGGCTGGTCTTGAACTCCTGACCTCAGGTCATCCCACCCGCCTCGGCCTCCCAAATTGCTGGGATTACAGGTATGCGCCACCGTGCCCAGCCCTGGGGCTTTTATTTTACCTTCTGCTTCCATGACCTTGGTCATTAAGCAGAGCAGCAATTTTCTAATCAGCAAAATAAAAAAATAGTAATGCCTACTTTTTACTCTTATCAGCAAAATAAAAATAATAGTAATGCCTACACTGTGAGATATGATACAATGCATGTTAAAGTATTCTGTAAACTACAACATGCCAGACAAACGTTAGCTGCTATTATAATGATTAAACTTTTCATAATGTCATCTTCTCTCCTTCTCCATGTTAGACCACTGGACAGTTCCATTAATTAGGTGTGTTAGGAAAAGAATAAAAACTAAATAAAGAACCAAGTAGCAGAGTAGTTTGAAACTGTCTTCAATAATACTGATTAAACTAGCCATTGGCAATGAAACAACATTCTTGGGAGGGCATTGTGTCAAAAAGCCCATTTAACCAGCCTAATTTATTCTACTGGAAAAAAACCTTTCAGATACTATTAGAAAGTAAGCTATCATCCATTAAAACTAAAGTTGAATGGAAAATTTTTAAGAAATGCAATAGATTTGTCAAAAAGTCAAGTAATATTTCTTACCATTCATTAACAATTATAAAGCACTAAAACTTGAAGCCCTGTACAAATTAGGACATTTGCACAGACCAGAACCATGAAATGCCATATATATATATCATTCAATACATTTACTAAGGGCCTACTATGCAGCAAATAGAACTGCTTTTGTGGAATGATTTTTTTCTTTAAGTGTGCTGTCCTGGTAGAGTTAATAAAAGCTACCATTTATAGAGCACCTAATGTAGGACAGGGATTGTACAAGGACATTACCTACCAAATCTCACTTAATCCTTGCAATATAACAATCATATGAAGTAGACAGTATTATCCCAATTTTTTATCAGGAAACTAAGGTCAAACAATGGGAATCAATCACTGGAAGAAGTGAAGGACCCCGAAGTCAAAACTGGTCCCCCTCTCTGCAGTACGTGCTCCCTTTCCTCGTGTCAGCAGAGGTGCCCCAGACTTTTTAACCAGGACACCCTCCAACATCAGAGGAGAGGGAATTAATGAATACCCTGAGTAGCCTAAGACATAGCCAAAAGCTGCCCTAGCACAAACATCTTCATTCTTGGCTATTCATGTACATTTTCCTTTCTACTCAGGGACATATTTGCTGTGTTGACAGTTAAATTTTTTTTTCTCCGACCTATTAGTGAAATTGACAGACCAAAAATTTGTACCAAATATAGCCTGTGCCATTTTGGGGGAACACATGTCTGTCAAAAGGACAGAACATACATACAGCAGTCAACCAAAGTCCTTACAGAAAAACATGATCAACAAGGAGAAAAGAGCAGAATATAAACCAAGCACCTATTGCTCAAACAGTGAACTGAGACTGCCTCGAGGAAGTGAATTTTGGGACTGACATTTTAAATGAGGAATTAGAAGTGACTAAGAAAAGGAGATGCAGGTATTCAAAATGAAAAAGCTCACAGAGGCTGAGCAATGGAAGTGGGCTGAAGAGAGGTAGGGCTACTCAGCCTTTCACACTGAGTATGTGAATCTGGGTTTACACAGTACACTGGTTCTCAAACATTAGCTGGTGTCAGAATGACCCCAAAGGCTTGTTACACACAGATTTCTAGGCTCCACCCCCAGAGTTTCTGACTCAGCAGGTCTGGAGTGGGGCATTCTAACATGTTCCCAGATTCTGTTGACGCTGCTGGCCTGGGCACAATATGGGCTGAGATCGGAGGAGAGATGGAGTTTGTTGACTGGAGTGAACTGGAGGGTTTCAAACGTGAGATGGCAGTGAGCTATACTTTAGCTTTCAATCTGCAGAGATAGTGGGGGAGAAGGAAGACACCATGGATGGAATGAATAGCAAGACCAGTGGTCATAAAACAAGAAAGATTGGGTTGGGCATGCAAAGAGTTCATGTACAGAAGCTAGCAGGCATTAAAAAGGTGAACGTAAATCAAGGGAGGAAGAAGAGGGCAAGGGGCCATGGCAGGCACTGCAAGGGGAAAGAGGAGCTAGGTCCAAACCAACCAGGCACAGACAATCAGCAGAAATTGACTACAGATTTGACCACACCAGGGTCCCAGAAAGAGAGAGTCAAAAATGATTCTGAGGTTCCAAAGAGCAAGTCTATCTTCAAGAAAATAAAGGGGAAACTGAGAATGGTTGCTTATTTGTGAGGATGAGGAGAAACGGAACTCAGTTTTGTGTATAAGTTACCAATATCAAAAGGTCATCCTAGTAATTGTATCCTATAGCTAAGTAGATGTCAGAGCCCAGGGAGGGAAATTAAGTTTAACAGTGGATCACAACACAGATATGGGTTTGGAGTCATTTGCCTTTGGAAGAAAGTTGGATCTGTGACAGTAAATGGGTTCTCAGAAGGAAGAGCATATATTAGAACAGAGTACCCAGGCTGAAATCACTAAAGATGCCCCTCAAAAAACATATATATGTATATAGGGGGGGGTGTGTGTGTGAGAGAGAGTGCACATGCACGTGCACATGCATGCCTAGTTATTAACAAATCAATGTACAGGCTTAGTTTGTAATAATCAGAAATTAACTAAATATGACATTCTTCAAAATTCTCCGGTTTGCCAATATTGAAATGTTAATTTATTATTCACTGCCACAGTAGTGTCACTCTGTAACCTCTTACCAAGTTCCTTGCATGAGCCCTCTGGATGCAAATCACTCTTAGCCCATCTGTGTTCTCACATGCACAAACCCTAACATCCTTTCCTTGCTGTACAAGGAACATATATTTATGTTGCTCTATTTAAAATAAAGAAAAATGATATACAGCTACCTTGGATTTAGAAAAGAATATTATACCTTGTTAAAGATATTGAAAATTAATTATGTCTGGTAATTAATGGCCTAGAAAGCGAAAAAAAACCTTAGATTTCTTATTTCAGATAATTTTCTGTGATCTACTTGTCATATGTACTCTTCCAAAACCATACTGTTCAGTTTCTTAAAACCAAACATTTCAACCAGAAGCAAAATAACTAAGGTAAGAACAGGTGCTAACATAGCTTCTCAGCACAAGTTTCATAGTCAGAAAACTCGCCCTAGTTTAAGTATTAATGCAATCATTTGCTAGCTGAATCATCTTAGGCAAGGTACTTAATTTGACTAAGACTCCTTTTCCTCATCAGTAATCTGAGGTTTAAAAAGTAAGCAGGCCGGGCATGATGGCTCACGTGTATAATCCCAACACTTTGGGAGGCCAAGGCAGAAGGATCGCTTGAGGGCAGGAGTTTGACACCAGCCTGGGGAACATAGCAAGGCCCCCTATCTACAAAATTTTAAAAAATTCGCCAGGCGTGGTGGCACACACATGTAGTCCCAGCTACTCGGGAGGCAAAGGCGGGAGGTTCACTTGGGCCCAGGAGTTCAAGGTTGCAGTGAGCCATTATGCCGCCACTGCACTCCAGCCTGGATGACACAGTGAGATCCTGTCTCAAAAAGAAAAGTAACTACCTCAATTGGCAGAAAGATAGACAAGCTTTAATCAGAAAGAATCCAAATACAGAACTACACAAATATGGTCAATTGACTTCTGACACAGGTGCAAAGTCAGTTAAAAGGAGTAAGAATAGTCTTTTCAACAAATGCTTCTGAAACAAATGAACATTTATAGGCAGAAAAGACAAATTTCAATGTATACCTAATACTTTATACAAAAAGTAACTCAAGATAAATCACAGACCAAAAAGCAAAATCTCAAACTATAAAACTTTTAGGAAAAAAAACAAGACAAAATCTTCATGACTTTGGGTTAGACAATAAGTTCTTAGTTACCTCATCAAAAACACAACCCATAAAATATAAAATTAATAAACTGGACTTTATAAAAATTAAGAACCAGCAAAAGACACTATTAAGAGACTGAAAAGAAAACCTACAGTCTATGAGAAAACGTATGCAAATCATATATCTCATGAAAGGCTTATACCCAGTACTCTCAATACTTGACAATAAGAAAATGGCCTAGTTTTTAAAAAATAGGCAAAATATGGACGGGCACAGTGGCTCACACCTGTAATCCAGCACTTTGCGAGGCCGAGGTGGGCGGATCATGGGGTCAGGAGATCAAGACCATCCTGGCTAATATGGTAAAACCCGGTCTCTACTAAAAATACAAAAAATACAGGCGTGGTGGTGGGCGCCTGTAGTCCCAGCTACTCTGGAGGCTGAGGCAGGAGAATGGCGTGAACCTAGGAGGCAGAGCTTGCAGTGAGCTGAGATAGCGCCACTGCACTCCAGCCTGGGTGACAGAGCAAGACTCCATCTCAAAAAAAAAAAAAAAAAAAAAAAAAAAATTAGGCAAAATATCTGAATAGACACTTCACCAAGATATTCATATCGCAAATAAGCATGTGAAAACTTGCTCAACATCAGTAGTCATTTATTGCAGCACTATTCACAATAGCAAAGACTTGGAACCAACCCAAATGTCCTTCAATGATAGACTGGATTAAGAAAATGTGGCACATATACACCATGGAATACTATGCAGCCATAAAGAAGGATGAGTTCATGTCCTTTATAGGGACATGAATGAAGCTGGAAACCATCATTCTCAGCAAACTATCACAAGGACAAAAAACCAAACACCGCATGCTCTCACTCATAGAAGGGAATTGAACAATGAGAACACTTGGACACAGGAAGGGGAACATCACACACCAGGGCCAGTCGTGGGGTGGGGGGAGGGGGGAGGGATAGCATTAAGAGATATACCTAATGTAAATGACGAGTTAATGGGTGCAGCACACCAACATGGCACATGTATACATATGTAACAAACCTGCACGTTGTGCACATGTACCC
The DNA here is from genome assembly GCF_000001405.40 of Homo sapiens. Taxonomy (NCBI): domain Eukaryota; kingdom Metazoa; phylum Chordata; class Mammalia; order Primates; family Hominidae; genus Homo; species Homo sapiens. Next base: position 115,474,830 of record NC_000011.10, read on the forward strand.
TAAAACTTAAAGTATAATAATTAAAAAAACCATAATGAGATATCTCTACATACTTACTAGAATGACTACAACTAAACACACACACATATACTGACAATATAGTGTTGACAAGGATTTAGAGAAACTGGAATCCCTATATATTGTGGTGGGAAAACAAAATGGTACAGTCACTCTAGAAAATAGTTTGGCAGTTTCTTAAACATGTATAGTTGTCCCTCAGTATTCATGAGAGACTGGGTCCAGGACCCCTTCTCACACCCAAATCCTCAGATGCTCGAGTCGCTTATATAAAATGGTATACTATTTGCATAGAACCTGCCCATACTCTCCTGTATACTTTAAATCTCTAGATTACTTATAATACCTAATAGAACGTAAATGCTATATAGTTGTTATACTATATTTTTTATTTGTATCATTTTTTATTGTTGTATATTTTAATTTTATTTTTTTTCCTCTCTACCTTAGGCTAAGAATTTTTATTTTTTCAAATATTTTCTATCTGAAGCTGGTTGAATACACAGATGCAGAACCTTTGGATATGGAGAGCCACCTGTACTTATCAAATGACCTGGCAATCTACTTCTAGGCATTTAGCCAATAGAAATGAAAACTTATGGCTCACAAAAAAACCTGCACCCAGATACATAGCCACATTACTCGTATCGCCAAAAACTGTCAACAGCCTAAATGTCCTTCTGTGAATGAAGGGATAGACTATAGTACATCCATACACCAGTGGAATACTACTTGGCAATAAAAAGAAATGAACAACTGATAGATAGGTACATAGAGTAACACTGATGAATTTCAGATGCAATATATTAAGTAAAAGAAGCTACATTCAAAAATTGCATCCAGTATGATTCCACGTATATGACATTCCAGAAAAAGCAAAACTATAGCAACGGCAAACAGATCAATACGGCTGCCAAAGGTTAGCAGTTGGAAGGAGGTTTGACTAGAGAGAGACACCATGAGGGGATCCGGGTGAGTGAGGAAACTGTATATTGACTGTGGTAATCATACCACTGTAAAGTAGATATACAATTCTATGCATGTGTCAAAATTCACAGAACTCTACCCAAAAAAAGTAAATTTCAGTTTATGTAAATTTAAAAATAAATCCTTAAAGGTGTAAATTAAAATTACTGCTAGCAAAAAGGTTCACTCTTATAAAATAGTAGTGGGAACTCAATGAAATGATGAATGTAACTTGCTCATAGTAAGCACTTAGCAAAATTTTTAATTATTATGGTATTACCAAAGTCTCAGTATTTAATATGCAATTCACATTCAAATTAAATCAATATATTTATCAAGAACCAATTATGTCCTGGCACAGAGTTGGCTTCTACAATATATACAAGCCATATATAGTATCTGTACTCTCAAGAGTCTCAAGAATATAACTTATATTCTAATTTTATAATATAAAAACAAAGGTTAAAATTCAGTTATAAAATTATCTTGGTCAAAGTCAATACTAAAGTATCTAAACTAAAAGATGACCAAGACCAGATAATCCACGATCATTTCCATGTGGTTTGTAACTATACTAGAATGATTGGTGATTTGTTTGTTTGATTGTTTGTTTGTTTGTTTTTCCTCTGAGGCAGGTTTATCTTAACTTAGAGGTGGAAACCCTTTGTTACTTAGTCCAGTGTTACAATGGGTTTGCATGCTCTCTGCATGCATCAGGAGATGGCAGCAGGAGGGGGCCAGGAGCACGCTGCGTGGTAGGAGAACATGATCCTAGAATTAAACATTCTGTAGGGCATAATTTACACTAAGAAAATGCAGACCTTATTAGCATCACCGGATACACAAACAGACTACTCAACATTTACACAATGATAAGAGAATCAGGGTGATAAAGACTTCCTAGTTAAAAACTCTCCTGGAAGAACGATAACTTAGAAATCAACAACCGTATATATCTCATAATGAGGTACTTAACTTTGTCATCCTACTATGCCAGCAAACAAGCCATGGGGCACACATAATAACTGAGAGTTAACAGCATGCTGACGTCCACTGAAAGAGACAGATGACACTCAAGAAATACATAACATCCAAGCCCTTTGGTAATTTTATTTATTATAATCTGCCACCTTCATATCAATGATTTTCAAATGGTAAATCTTAAAATAAATATAATGGGCCACATCCAGCATTTCTTTAAAAAAAAGAAAAGAAATAGACTAGAACTGAAGAGTACAGAACAGAGTCGGGCAGGATAGGGCAGGATAGCATAGGGTAGACAGGATAGGATGGTGCACAGATTAAGGTGGACAGGATATAGTGGATAGGTTTGGATTGATAGGAAAGGGAAAGGAAAGGAAATATGAGAGCACAATGAAGAAAAAAATCAAGGTACACAGAATGCAGTAAAGGATAAATACACCATATAAATTTATTGTGCATACAGTTGCATGGATCATGGAAAAAAAAATTAAACACTGCCTTAAATCTTATCCAAGGTATAATAACATCTTAACCAAAACCTCTTTAAAGGCTATTTCCATTCTCTTCCCAAGGACAAGAATCCAATGGTTATTTCTAAGAAGAGGAATTGCCTATCCAGCTTCATGTAACCAAAGCAGACAGGAAGAAAATTAAAAATGTAAGCCTGTTTTCTAAACTTGCATTAAGTCAACAGATCCATAAAATATATCCACAATGTCAACACTGTGACCTAAAGTCTACCTCACTTTGTAGCTTTCTCCTAACAGATATCATCACTGTATTGAAACAGTAAACTTCACAGCAAGGGTCTGGAATAGTGATTTCTGCTCCACTCTGTGTGCTAACAAACTAAGCTTATACATTGAAAATGGCAATAAACGGCCAGACCATGTGCATTTTCTTCCTAATCCTATTTGCATTGATGACTCCTCTGCAAAAAAACAAACTGGCTGCACTGGAGAAGTGTCTTCTCCAGATTGCTGCTGCAGCTGGGGTCCAGGCAGAGCCTGGGACCAAACACACACAAACACAAGAAAACTTTACATTCAGTGCAATGGAGGCAGAATCTAGAAAATTGCATCCAGATGAAATCCTGCAGAATACAGATTCCATTCTATTCTTGTCCTTGGGAAAAGGGTGGAAACATGCTTTTAAAGAGGTTTTGGATAAGAGGTTCAATTCTACTCAAAATTAATTGCCTAGGAATTAAGTCAAAAAGGTAATAAGTTAATGCATTCCTGATCATTAATCAGAAAGTATCCTTTGTTCAAATTCTACATTAAAATATTCCAGTTTTAAGAAATTTCACGTATCCCAATAATCATTCAAATACTTTTAAACTATAAATTATACATAAAATTCCTAAATCTTCTGGTATTGTATATGGAGATCATATAATTTTAAAATAAAACAAATCTAGTAATCAGGCCAGCAATAATGCTTTAAACAAAAGACAAAGTCCATCAAAGCATACTCAATAGCAACTAAAATGTAAATAAAACAGGTTACCTTGCAAAGTGATAATCTAAAGTAAAGGATATATTCAGAAAATAACTGAAAATGTGAAGAAAAAAAGGGGTAAATATCTAGAAAAGGCTTAAAAATCTGTATGATGTTTCAAAAGACATAAATATAAATACCTCTTTAAACTCCTATGTATCTAGACAAAAACAAAGAGTAAATAAACGATTACTGCAAAGCCTAATGTATTTACATACCACACCCATTTCAACTGATCTTTTTAGACCCTTTAAATACAGCTTTGTATCTTCTCTCTTTCTCTAATTACCAAGGTAACCCAAATTCACTACAGAAATTTTAAACAATATGCAAAGTTAACTCAGAAAGTAAAAGTCCTTCATAATCTCACTCTCTAGAGATAGCCATTGTTAAGAGCTTTCTGTTGATTCTTCACATTTTAAATGAATATGCCAATTAGATAGTATGCATTATAGATTAATTATATATAAAATACTTACACAGTGTTCTACAGTATGCTTTTCTTCACCTACTGATACACCCTGGAAGTCTTCTCTTGTCAGTAGATATAGATCTACATCACTCTTTTTAATGGCTACCAAGTATTCCATTGTATGGACAGATCATAATTTATTTAACCAGTCCCTTACTGATGGACATTTGGATTGCTTCCAATTTTTTGCTATTAAAATCTATGCAGCAGTTACATCTTTCTACGTATATATTTGTGCACTTGTAAAACTATGTCTGTAGACTGAAGTGATTTTGTTTGGGGGTAAAAGAATACAATAAACGTATAAAAAATTATTCACTTAGCTTTAATTCACACTACCATAAATCATCTAGAAGTGGCAATTGCTCTAATTGCTTAATTATTTTGATTTTTATCTTTAAGACTTTTTTGAGAATAATTTATTCTACTCAAAATTAATTGCATAGGAATTAAGTCAAAATGTAATGTTAACATATTCCTGATCATTGATCAGAAAGTATCTTATGTTCAAATTCTACATTAAAATATTCCAGTTTTAAGAAATTTCATGTATCCCCAAAATGATTCAAATACTTTTAAATCCCACTTTAGACTTGGAAATTCATCTTAAATAGATTCACTGTAATCACAGTTTCCTATTTGTCTTCCAAAAAAAGAAAAACACACAAGGATCCCCATCACACATAGAGCTTCAGAACCCAACCCAAAAAAACGTACAAAATTGTCCCTCCTAAATGAGTACATAAGAAATTCAAATACAAAAAGTCATGACATTTGGAGTCTGATTTCCAATAAATAACCCTGGACACATTTCATGGCAAACAAAATACTTGCTGAGAAATATAGTTACCAGGGCAACCATAACTGTCCTTTTATGTTTTATTTATCAATTGTGTTGCTGAACTATTCTCATTCTTGGAAACAAAGGGGAAAAATGTATTATAAACAGTGATAATTAATTAAGGTTCCCCTGCTCCAAACTAAATCACTCCTACCAAATCTGTGTTTATCCAAAAGACATTCTATTTTCTGCTTCTTAGTTCTTGTCTAGGCTAAGGACATGGATGGTAGATCCCAAAGAAGCATTCACAAGTTAACAATATTAACCTTAACACTCTAGATGGAGAGACTATTAATATAATCATCAATTCTCAACAGACAACAGGAGAGATATGGAAATTCTTTGCTGTGGCATCATCACCTAGTAAATCCTCTTGAAATATGGAATGAAAGAATTTTAAAATGTGTGAATAAATCTACTTATCTTTAAAATTATAAAGTTTGTAAGAACAGAAATTCCAAACATTTCAGCATTTAAGTTTTACCTTTTTACAGGTCCCAAATAATATTCTCATCTAATCCAGTATCATCTCCACTTAAGAAAAGATACCTAAGTCTATTTATTTTTAGCATCCTAGAATACTGTTATACCTGCTTGAACTCCACAAAGAAGAAAAACAAAACAAAACAAAAAACTGGAAGAGAAAGAAAATGGTGTAGAATTCCCAGTGTACAAAATGGGAAATTAAGAGCATTTATAATGAGTGGGATTTACTAATAATCCTTATCAAGGAGGTAGCAAGGGAACAACAAAGAAAACCCTGAGCTGCAAGTCAGGCCTGGTCTTAGCCCTGGCCTTGGATCCACTTGAATAAGTCATTCACTTTTCTGAGCTGGTCTCCTCATTTACAAGATGAGGGAGTTCTGTGTGCTCTCTAAAGTCCCCTTCAGCTCTAAATTTCCATGATACATTGACCTGCCTTCCCTCTGAAAGGGAAGGAAGATATCAAGGACATCTCAGACTGGTCTCTGGGAAGAGTGACATTTCAGTCTGCTGCTCAGACAAGGATAATCAGCACACAAGGGGCCTTGGGTCACTGCAACGTAATGTTTCCAGCCTCAGCTGGTTGCTTCCTAGAATTTCTGAGTTCTCCTGGAGGGAGAACATTTCAAACCTTCCCAGTTTCTCACCCTGCACAGCTCCATCTCACCATCAACAGGTTTAGCATGGGATCCTACTTTCCCAAGAAGGTTCTCCCTCCCTCCAGGCCTCAGCCCTGCAGGGTGCAATCTTATCTACATCCACCCTCCTTCTTAAAGCCTTGCCCATTATCTCCACCTCAGAAGAAAACAATGGTCTCTTGCCCCCACCCCTCTCAGCAAATGCCTCCTCCTGAGCCTCATCATGGCCCTTGATGGTCAGTGATCAACTCTCACTTTCCTATTTTTCATCTCCCTCTGTAATATCTCTTATTTTATGATATATATAAACCTTCTCACACCTCCCTAATTCAAAAAAATACATACTTTAAAATTTCTCTAAGTTCTACACCTCCTTATTTCCAGTCCCCTTCTCCCTCACCCTACCTTTACCAGTCAAGCCTCTTCAAACATGTGTCTACAGCATGCTTCCTATTCTGCACTTCCATTTGCTCCACGCATTGCCATCTGGTTCCCACACTCACTGCTGCACTAAAATTGTAAGGTAGAGGTCCCCTATGAATACCTAAGTTCTATAGCCATGGTGGCCTCCCTTATCTTATCTGAATTCCCTGTAGCATTTGACACTGTGGCTCACTCACCTTCTTAGATGCCAAAACAAAAGGCTTTCCTGGCTTTCCTCAAAGTCTCTTGACAGCCCCTTCTTCACTCCTCTCACTAGTTCATCTTCTTCTGCCTACCTTTAATTGTTGACGTTCCTGACATTCTGTCCTTAGCTTCTCTTCCTCTTCCATATACATTCTTCTTAGGAGATCTCATCCATGGCCATGTCTCCAAATGAGTGCCACAGAGTGCTGCTAGGTATCTTCACCTGAATGTGCCTCCAGCTCAACTTCTGCAGGGTCAAGCACATCCTCTTTAATCCCAACACTGTCTGCTTTCTAAATTTCCTGTCTTAGTTACTACACCCATCACCTACTTAGGCAGCCAAGCCAGAACCTGACCATTAACCTAGACTCCTCCTCTTCCCACTCTCTTGATCAGTTATGAAATTCTACTTTCCTAAACATATCCTGAAACCAACTTCCTCCCAAGCTGCCTAGCAACTACCTGGGTTCTGGCCCTCAAAATTTCAGCTGGCCTTCCACAGCTGCTCCCTAACTGCTCTCCTACCTGAGTCTCTAATCCTCCAGATTCGTCCTGCACCCTCCCGCTCCCCTCATTGACACTCTCCATGGAATAAAACCCAGACTTCTCTTTATTACCAAGTTGGTCCTGTATGATTTGACAATTGTGTACCCTCTCCAGCTTCATATTTTGGTGCTCCTTCAAAGGCTATTCCCCTCAGCCATAGCAAACTATCTGCAGTTCCCAGAATCCCCCATGCTTTTGTCTTTCCGCCCATTATCTCTCTACCTGGAAAAACTCCTCTAATACCGTCTCTATCTGGCTATCTCCTACCTACCTTTCAAGGCTCAACTCAAGAGACCCCCTAGAAGTCTTTCCTGACTCTAAGTCTCCATAGTGAGTTAGACATTCCTCTTCTATGCTTCCACAGCACTCCTGAACTATATCTATTATGGTTCTTGGCACATGGTATTGTTATTTTTACTGTGTCCTGCAAAAACATCTAAAATATAAGTTCCTTGATGGAAGAGAGCCTATATAATTCATCTTTGTAAACCTAGTGCTTATCAGTGTCTAGCACATAGTAAGTGATACACACACACAAACACATACACACACAGACATGCATGCATTTTCTCAAAAGGATGAGGACAAAATTTAGTCACATTAATTTTAACTCTTAAACAGTACTTCCTGAAGCTTCTCTATATTCACTGTAGCCCAGAGCCTTCTTGAGTTGAATCACAAGATGATTTCATTTGTCATTGGAAGTAGAGGTATTTATAAACGTGTTTCTCTTATAAGATGGTTAATTCTGTTTGGAAAATGTTTGCTGTGCACTAGACATCATGGAGTCCCCTAAAGAGTTAGCTCCTTTAAGGAGCTGACAATCTCACAGAATCTGGAAGATATACGCCAAGAAAAAGGTTGTAGTGAGGTTTTGGCATATATGCATTTCTGTGCATTAATATTTTTAAAAATATAATAAAACGAATAGGACTACACATGAAAATTTTGTTTTCAAAGAAAATACTCATTCCTTATATTAAGATTTGGAAGTTAATTCAAATGTCCTTCTGCCATCTCTCAGTTTTGTTAGTTATTAGGCTTTAAATCACTGTCATTGGGCAAGCAGTGAACACGGAATAATTATTTCATACTTTTCCCTCTCCTTCTCTATCATCTTTAAATCCACAATATCTCAATCCAACTGATGTCAGTAAATCCAGTCTGTCCCAACTTTTCTCTAAAACTCTTAAAACTATTTGAATGAGGTGTTGAGCAGCTGTCAGTTATGGATTTGAAAATAAAGACGAGTCTGAAAATTATACGTTCAGTATAAAAAGATTAGGTGAAGCAATTCAGAACGTTTAAGAACTTTAAATCAAGTTAAAAGCAGTTACTATGGCCAGACCTCATGAAGCTCTGCTTAAGAGTTGCATTAACCTGGCAGTCAAAACTATTTAAAATGAATAATGTTTTTTTCACATTTCACTCACTTTCAGCATCACACACACACAAAAATAACAATGTGAATTGGCATACGGCAGTAGAGTCATGTAACAGTAACCTTCAAGATTTACCTTCCTAAGGACAAAGCTAGAGCTATTAATCTATGCACTAGATGAGCTACACCCATCTAAGGCCAAAAGGGGTAATTCTTCAAATGAGGAAAGGACTATTAAGATATTCCAAAGGCTTTTAGACATGAAAAGCAAGAGGAGAGTCAAGAAAAATTCACAAGCCCACAATAGCTCAGTCCAATGTTCAATATAAACCTACTAAATTTGGAGTGAATATCAATATAACTCAACCCTCTTCCAACCTCCTCTCACTAGTTAAAAATACCGATGAGCATGAGAATTTGGCTTTTTAAATGTTTTTTAGTCTAGAGCTATGCAGCCCTATATGGTAGCCGATAAACACACATGGCTACTGACCTATAAATTAATTAAGATTAAAAATTCAGCCCCTTAGTCACACTAGCCACATTTCAAGTACTAAATAGTCACACGTGACTAGTGGTTACTATACTGAACAGCACAGATATGGACTATTTCCATCATCACAAAAGTTCTATTAGACAGCACTGGAGGCATAGCCAGAAAAAGGATGCCAAACTAGCCAGCCCAGGTTCCAGAGCTCTACTGATCAACTGAGCACTTTTTGGTCATCCTACCCATAGGAGACCAGTCATCTCCTAAAGGTAACATGCAAAATGTCCACAAGGATGTGTCCTTTACATAAAGGAGTTAAGAAAATGCAGACTACAACTCAGCATGTTTCCACATTAGGCCTGAGCTACACTCTCTCAACTGTAAATCAAAAGGCTCCCACACATCAATTTCATTCATGACCCCCTACTAACTAATATGGGCTAAGGAACCATGCACAGTCTTTCTGGATGTCGTACAGCATGCTGAAAACCAGGGGGCAAACATTAATCTACCTAAAGAATAGGAGTTGCCATTAAGCTGACCTAGATTCTTCCTGCCATCCGGAAAGTGCTCCCTGTGCTACACTAGGATTTGTTTTTGCTCTCTGGTGGTACTTGTTAAAAGCTGCACATGTCCAGAAAAACAGCTTCCATCTATCCTCCCTCCATGCTTAAGCCTGCCAAAGCTGCCATTGGTCATGTGAAATACAAGGATAGTCGTGAGGTTTATTAAGTTTCTCTGTATCCAACAACTTCAAGTATCTTAATTAAACATTTTAAATAATATGGACAGGCTGAACTGGCTCTTTCTAGTTCCCTATACCATGGTAAAGACACAATTTGGCGTACTGGTATGCTACAGTGAGAAATGGACTCCAATATAAAAACCTGGGCCGGGCGCGGTGGCTCATGCCTGTAATCCCAGCACTTTGGGAGGCCGAGGCGGGCGGATCACAAGGTCAGGAGATTGAGACCATCCTGGCTAACACGGTGAAACCCCATCTCTACTAAAAATACAAAAAATTAGCCGGGCGTGGTGGCGGGCGCCTGTAGTCCCAGCTACTCAGGAGGCTGAGGCAGGAGAATGGCGTGGAACCGGGAGGCAGAGCTTGCAGTAAGCCGAGATTATGCCACTGCACTCCAGCCTGGGCAACAGAGCGAGACTCTGTCTCAAAAAAAAAAAAAAAGAAAAGAAAAAACAACCTGGAATCTTGTTCCGGTGTTGCCATATCCTAGCTTTGTGACTGGCTAAATCTCTAAGTCGAATCCATTTGCTTAAATAACCTCTTCCCCAGAGTTCATTCACTTTCAAGACAATACACTCACCTTCGATGATTCTTCTGCACCTTGGTTAACAGGCTTTCACCCCACACCAATCCTGCCCATCTTCCACCTGGTACTGACTCCCTCCTTCTTCCACAACTTTAACTTCCAGTCCTCTGACTAGTCCTTTCTGGCATTCATCACAGGCTGTTTATCTTGTTACCAACACACCTTCCTTAAGATTCAACCTCTCTGCAGCACCCCTTAAGGATCTCTCATACACTTCTGCCTGTCTTCAGCACCTAATACAATGATTGGCACACACTGGGCCTTTGAATAAATGTGTATTAAAGAAGTAACTAAATAAAAGCATAATGTAAAACTTTTGCTACCATCTTGATATGGTTTGGCTGTGTCCCCACCCAAATCTCATCTTGAATTGTAGCTCCTGTAATTCCCACGTGTTGTGGGAGGGACCCAGTGGGAGACAACTGAATCATGGGGGCGGTTTCCCCCATACTGTTTGCTTGTCAGTGAATAAGTCTCACAAAATCTGGTGGTTTATAAGGGGAAACCCCTTTAACTTGGCTCTCATTCTGTCTCTTCTCTGCTGCAATGTAAGATGTGCCTTTTGTCTTCTGCCATGATTGTGAGGCCTCCCCAGTCACATGGAACTGTGAGTCCATTAAACCTCTTTTTCTTTATATAAACTACCCAGTTTCGGGTATGTCTTTACCAGCAGTGTGAGAACGCTAAGACACATCTCTTTGCAGATGACTTTCAAATCTGTATCTGCAGCGCTGCTCTCAACCTTTCTACTAAACTCTTATTTCAAACTGCTTTCTAAACATTTCTACCTGAATGTTCCAGTGATAACTCAAGTTTAACATATCCAAAACCAAGTTCATTGCATTCCCTTACTAAACCCACATATAACATTTACATTTTTGTTCATTAGAGTAGTCATTCTCCTAGTCATTCAAGTCCAAAATCAAAGCACACCTTCATTTCTATTATTTGTTTTCCCTCAATCCCCATTCTCTAGTCAGCCATCAATGGAGGCTCCATTCTACCTCCTATTCTTCCTTCACTGCCCTAATTCAAGTTTTTGTTGTCTTGCTTGAACTATTATACTCCTAACCAATCTCTCCATTTCTAATGGAAGATCCTCTCAATTTCTAATCATTGTAGGACTCATGAACCTCTCAATTTCTTATCATTGCAGGATTCATATTCCTAAAAAACCAACCTGATGTTACTTCACTGTTCAAAAAATTTAAGACTCCCCAATGACCTCTTGAATTTATTTATTTGTTTATGTATTTATTTTTTGAGACAGGTCTCACTCTGTTGCCCAGGCTGGAGTGCAGTGGTGCAATCACAGCTCATTATAGCCCCCATCTCCCAGGTTCAAGCAATCCTCCCACCTCAGCCTCCCAAGTAGCTAGGACTACAGTTGTACACCACCGGGCAATTTTTTTATTTCTTGTAGAGACGGGGTCTCACTATGTTGCCCAGGCTGGTCTCAAGCTCCTGGGCTCAAGCAATCCTCCCACCTAGGCCTCCCAAAATGCTGGGATTATAGGCATGAGCCATAGTACCTGGCCTTGAATTTCATTTAAACCTGACATTCAAAGTTTTTCCACAGTCTGGCCCCAAACTATCTGTTGCTAATCCCATCTCTCACTAGCCATTTTAGTTTTCCTACCTGTAAGCCTTTATTCACATGGTTCTCCTCAACATGGAATGCCTTTCCTTCTCACCTCTTTCTCAATAGCAATCCTTCCCATATTTTCGAGACTTTGTTTAAATGGAAAGCCTTCTAGGCATCCCCACTCCAGGCTAGCTCCCTCCTTTATATCCCTCTAATGGAAAGATAGAGGTGCCCGTGATCTGAAATCTCAGCTCCTGAACCAGTTCTCTGCTGTGGCCACAGTCCCACCTTCCAGAACCCCAAGGAGAATACGAAGAGAGGAAAGGTCAGGCAAATAAGTATTCTTTGTTACTGCCTACGGCTTTGGTCTTAGCCCTGATGTGCTCTCCCAGTAACCAGGCTTCATTTGCTCCAGCCTTGTTGTTTGGAAATTGAAAGATTCATTAAGTCCAGTGGTTTTTAAACCATTTTTTAAAAAAGTAAAACACTTTTTTCAAAGAGAATCTTATGGGGGAGATCCAATGTATGAACATGGAGTTTCTCTTGTTGAAATGGTAGAGTGCTTTGGGAACTAGCACCAGATAAACGTTATCAAATGAATTTAACTTCGATCAGTTATTCCATTATAAGTACATTATATATTCATCTTTTTAAAAAATTTATCTTTTTCTTGCTCCTTTAGTTCATGAAAAGTTCAGGTCAAAATCTTGAAGGTGATGACCTCATTTAAAAAAATCCTAAAACCTTGAAAAATATTCTATTAAAACATAACTCTATGCACTCACCTTATGAAACAAGGATAAAGAGATGTAATCACAGGTAAATTAATATGAAAATGGGAGATCATTTTCGGTTAAAAAAGGTGAAAAAAAATCTGCTACTATCTTAGTCTGAAATTCTAACTTTCTAGATCTGATTCATGCTGTTGCATGAATGGAATATAATGCTTGAGGAATAATAATTCAAAAGGAAAAGAAAACTGAACAGTGGTTAAAGAATCATCAACTTGTTTTCATGCAAATGACCAGAATAATGAAATAAGCAATCCTGCCGACAGGCCTACATGTAATTGTTTTTAAATAGGATGCTTGAAGCATTAGCCACCTAATTCTAGAAGAAATTGATTCATCTTTTCTTCTTCTTGGATAATACCAATCATATACTATACATTAAGACACTGACAAAAATTTGTATTTCAAAGATACAATTTTTCTTGAACATTGCCATCAAATCATTATTTACTTGACAGTAGGTCATGCTGAAAAAGATATATCTGCTGAGAGTTATGATGGAAAGAAAGGTTAATGCCTCTAACTTAAAAGGTCCTTTAAAAGGCAATCCCTGGAAAAAAAAAAAATCTACCAAGAAAAAGAATATGGCACTTGGTAGAAATCAAGGAAGACATAGCATTCCTCTCAAAACTTCAACTAATTGCAATAATCCACTCACAATGCCTAAGAAATGCAAGCTGTGTAACCTAAGACAATATAGAGCTATGTAGCTACAAGGCAAGCATCAATAAAATACTAAGATTCTCCATAATTCAAAGCATTTAAAGTACCAAACACAGACTAGGCTGGATGCAAGCCTTAGGCAGGGAAAAGGGAAGTCTAAATGGATGGATGTGACTATGAAGGGAACACTTTAGAACTAAGTCATACAAAAACAAGTTATGAGAGGCCCTCCTCCCCCTCCCAATAATGTCAGGAAGTTAGAGTTATTGAGTAGGCATCACTTATGACAGTGAGAAAAAGGGCTTGCCACCCCCTCCTCTCAAAAACTCCTTCACAAGGTCACAGATACATCAGTGTTACAAACGCATTTAAAAAATATTACAGCAATAAACTCTGGTTAGAGTGGTTCCACCTCTATATTCACAGGAAAGAACAAACTCCAAACTTCTCCTAAATTAAAAGGTAATGTTAGCAAACACATACTCTCTCTGCCTACACATGAAATCTCTCCCCTCTTCTACACAAGACCAAAAGGAAACCTACTTTCTGTTTAAAGCTAGATCAGTTGTAGGCAATTAACTTTATAAGCTTAACTTTGCCAGTCCTATTTCACAGACTGTATAGTCACACAAATAGTGGAAGCATCGCCACAAAACAGACTGCCTTACCCATGTCATTTTTTTAAACACAGCAAAAAGCCATTTCTCAGGTTTGATCCGATTACTGTGATCTATTTTTTGATCCTGTAGCCACTGACTCCAGATACATCTTTATTACTGTACAAGGAAAACTGTTACCCTGAGGTTTAAATTTCCGTATGTTCACCATGCCTCTTCTAAGAATATATATATCTCAGTTTTAAGACAAGCCTCTCATGAAAGCTGAGGTGAAGAGGAACAGATGACCTCAGAGATAAGTTTCTTGGTTTGTTGCTTCAACTCTAAAGTGACGATATAGCCTCAGCAATGACTCAAAGTCTAGGTATCCCAGGACTGTGAAGTGATTAAATAAATGGAAAGAGATTCTCTTATCTGGACTGCTAGACTAAATCTCTTTAATGATTGCCCAACAACCAAGTATGAACAAACACACTAGAAGTCATTCCTTCAAGATACAAAAGTCAGGCACGTTGATAGCTCTTCATTCATTATGGGAGAACAAACAACTTCAACTAAGAATTATAGCCCTAAAAAAGCTGATAATAAGACCACCACTAAATTAAATTCATAGACACTAAGGCCTTGGCATATTCTGTATCCCAACAACCAGTATTTATAAGAAATGAAAAGGATAGGATATATACATATTAGAAATCAAATTGTGTAAAAAATGTTAAATGTCATGAAATGGTTAGAGAAGTTGTGACAGAAGTTGAAAGGAAAACATATTCAAGCTGAGAAATTATGTAAGACTTAAAAACACTGGACTTCGGTCTTTACATATACATGGGATTTAAATATGCCTACGTGGAAGGTATGAGGATAGGACATGTCTATTGGTGGAAACAAGTTGGACGAAATGTGTAGCGGGCATATAGAAGAGACTCAGGCCATTCAGAGAAGTCTGTTTGATAGGAAGGAGGAAGATAAGTTAGGAGTAGCCCTTAGGGAAGTACAGAAGAAGGGTTCAAAGAAAAGATACCTAACCAGCCTGAGTAATCATGGAAGTTTCCTTTCAGAATGCAGTGCTTGAGGTGAATCTTGAGAGAGATGTAGGAACTAGCCATATACATTAAGGTGCTTAAGGTAGAGGAGGTAGCATATAAAAAGCAGAGAGGCATGGGAGAGCATGGTGCATCCAGGACACATTTACTCTGGTAGTCCTAAAGCAAAAACAATGGTGTGGAGAGCCGGCGAGGCCAAGCATGAAGGACACTGCAGGACACACTGAAAGAGGGTAAGCCTCACCTTTAGGGTGCCAAGAAAAACATTTAAAGTTTTGAGCAAGAAAGTGACATCTAAGGTGTATTTTAGGAAGATTCCTCTAGAATCAGTGTTAAGGATGCATTACAAGGAATGAGGCTAGCAGTAAATGAAACAATTAAGGGGCTGTTATACCATTGTAAGTCTACTTTCCTCGTCTGTAAAATGAAGACAGGCAGGACCTATAGCTAATATAGGGGGAGATGATAACAAAGGAGGGAATTCTCTATGAGGACTCCCAGGTTTATTTAACTCATTGGATGGATGGTGGTACCCTTCATCAGAATAGGAAACATGGAATAGAGGGAGATGTGGGAAGAACAGATTTTTTTTTTTTTTTTTTTTTTTTGAGACAGAGTCTTGCTCTGTCGCCCAGGCTGGAATGCAGGGGTGCGATCTCAGCTCACTGCAAGCTCCGCCTCCCAAGTTCAAGCAATTCGCCTGCCTCAGCCACCCGAGTAGCTGGGACTACAGGCGCCTACCACCACGCCCGGCTAATTTTTGTATTTTTCAGTAGAGACAGGGTTTCACCATATTGGCCAGGCCGATCTCGAACTCCTGACCTTGTGATCCGCCCACCTGGGCCTCCCAAAGTGCTGGGATTACAGGCGAGAGCCACCATGCCCGGCCAGAACAGATGTGAAGTTCAGTTTTAGACGTCTTGAATTTTAGGAAAATGCAGTTAAGTGTTTAAAACTGTGGGTTTTGAACATAGATATAGTTCAGATCCTGGTTCTGATACTTACCATTTGTGTTTCTTGGACAAGGGACCTATTACTGTCCTCTCCTCTTCCTCTTCTGTAAAATGGGGCAACAGTGGTAACTATAGGGTGACAGTGAGGATTAAATGAGATCATGAATACAGACACTAAATATAACTGCTGTTTTGTCATTCATATTATTTGAGATAACTGGAACATCCGGACTGAGATGTCCAAGAGGCACTTTTAGAACATAGTCTGAGGTTTAAATGCAAAAGACATCTTGGTTGTGCACTTAAAAGTAAATTATACTGCAATTAAAAAAAAAAGTTGGAAGAATTGGGGTTTGAGGCATTTATTTGCCAACTTATTGGATAAGGAGAAGGGTTAAAAAAAGACAGCCGATCAGAAGCAAGGTAAGGCATGGTTATTAAATATCAGAGACACGTTATATTGTATGAAAAGGGCAATCCTTATTTTCTTGCAAGTAACTTGATGAATTAAAAGAAAAAAAAGGCCGGGCGCAGTGGCTCATGCCTGTAATCCCAGCACTTTGAGAGGCCGAGGTGGGCAGATCATCAGGTCAGGAGATCGAGACCATCCTGGCTAACACGGTGAAACCCCATCTCTACTAAAAATACAAAAAATTAGCCTGGCAAGGTGGTGGGTGCCTGCAGTCCCACCTACTCGGGAGGCTGAGGCAGGAGAATGGCATGAACCTGGCGGCGGGGAGCCTGCAGTGAGCCAAGATTGCACCACTGTACTCCAGCCTGGGCAACAGAGCAAGACTCCATCTCAAAAAAAAAAGAAAATAAAAAATGAATTCCTTCCACTATCCAAGTAAAACTATGAACTTGGAAGGAAGAAATGGGAGAAAAGTGAAAATAGTAACTTGGAACCAACCCAAACTTGGAATAAAACTTGGAACCAACCCAAATGTCTATCAATGGTAGACTGGATTAAGAAAATGTGGCACATATATACCATGCGATACCATGCATCCATAAAAAAGGATGAGATCATGTCCTTTGCAGGGACATGGATGAAGCTGGAAACCATCATTTGGAGCAACCTATCACAAAGACAGAAAACCAAACACTGCATGTTCTCACTCATAGGTGGGAATTGAACAATGAGAACACTTGGACACAGGGCAGGGAACATCATACACCTGTAATGGGGTGAGGGGCAGGGGGAGGGATAGCATTAGGAGAAATACCTAATGTAAATGACGAGTTAATGGATGCAGCAAACCAATATGGCACATGTATACCTATGTAACAAACCTGCACGTTGTGCACATGTACCCTAGAACTTAAAGTAAAATAAAAATAAATAATTAAATAAATAAAAACAAAAGGCTTCTAAAGTAAAATACAGCCAAATGAGGAGGAAGGTCATCATAACAAATACGAGAACCTAGGATTTGTCAAATAATACATATTATAGGCAGATATTAACAAAGGCTGTGTGAAAGTTTAAGAGAATAGAACACTACTCATTATATTTTCAAAAGGAAAAATTGAAAGGATATACAAGAAATGTATGAAATTGGCAACTATAGGAAGTTGGGTGGGAATGGTACAAAAAACATAGGGAACGAAATGAGAATGGACAGTTTTGATTTTGAGCCACGTTAATGAGTTATATGTTCAAATTATAAATCAACAATGATAGGAAAGAAATTAAAACAAAATATAAACAGAAATAAATGATCCTAACTGTATACCTATTGATACATAACACACACACAAAAAAACTAATCTGTAAATTTGTGAACATGATACTCATCTACCCTCAGTGGGATCTATTTTAAAGACAAAAAGAGTGGCAAAAAATCCTGCGCTCTACTTGGTAGATTTGTTGTCTACAATGGTCTTGGTGGAGTAATTCCAAAACTATTTTGTACTAAAAAGACGTTGCTATCACTGGGAAACAGAGTTTTCACCATGGGAGAAAGAAAACACAAATAAGGAATGGGAGATGGAGAGAAAGTACCCTCAGATGTTAGACTGGAATTGAATGTATTAGCATGACATTGTGATTTAAATGAATAAACATTTTTAAAATACACTCACACAGTTGACCCTTGAACACAGGGCCCCTACCCCCATGCAGCTGAAAATTCACATATAACTTTTTTTTGAGACAAAGGATATTTTATACACACACACACACACACACACACACACACCCTTGTTTGCTCACGGAAAAGTTTAGAAACAATGACAAGTCAGTAGCAATGAGCACAATTCTTAGATGTGTCCGCTGTCTAAATATCATTCTTTGACTAAAAGGAATCAGGATTCCTTGGAGAAATAACTGATTCCAGGTATGGGGGCAGGAAAATACAATGTAAACATAGATATCTTCTTGTGACATGAAATACAAAAGAGCTTAAAAATTAATGAGAATATATTAAAAGGATACAGGAGCCACTCTGAAGGGGTTCCCACTGGCCAAATCCGATGGTAATGAAACATACCATACTGAACCCATTGTAATTTTCTAAAAAAAAAAAAAAAAGAGGGGGAAGAGTAGGGAAGGCAAGCTCTTCTTTATTCAGAAATGCCTCTACCCAAGTAGAGGAATTACAGAATTAGAAAATCACAGTTTTATAACCACGGACATAATATTTGATTCAGACAAGGTTTACCAATGCTGCTCAATCCATTAAGTAAAGGGCCATTAGAGAACAAGATCTTCAGGCTCAAAACTAAAGAAGACAGAGGGCTCTTCACAACGAAGTTTGCTCACAAGATATGTATACACAAGGTTACTTATTAATTATAAAGGGACAAAAATGGAGAACCCTACAAATTCACCTACACTCAGTAACTAAATTTATATCTTGAACCAAGGATCAAGCTAGTAATAGGGCAAACTGATATTATGTCCCTCTTGAGGCAGTGTTACAAGGAAGTTGGCAGTATCAGCTATGCAGGGTTCTTGCAAAAGATGTTTAATCTGAACTGAACCATGAGGAAATGATCAAACAATTTGTAGAACTACAGAACATTCTACAAAAGAGCAGGTGGATTCATCAAAATGTCAATGCCATAAAAGATACCCCTTAAAAACTCCTTAAAGAAAAAACAGGTGGCAAGCAGGGTAATGGTTCTAGATTAAAAGAGACTAGAGACCATATCCAATGTGTGATCTCTGATAGATTCTGCAGCAGAGAGAACAAAGTAACTGGGGAAATATGAACATAGACTATATAATTTCAATGTAATAATGGTATTGCGTGTGCCCAGGAAAATGTCTTTATTCTTAGGCGCTACATGCTGAAGTATTCATCATGATGCAATGTGCTTTCATGTGGCTTAGGGAAGAAAAAAGATGAGTATGTGTGTATACATTATTGAGAGAGAGAGAGAAAGCAAATGGGGAAAATGTTAACAGTTGATGGATCTAGGTAAAGTAAATACAAGTATTCATTGTATTCTTCTTTCAAGTTGCCTGTGGTTTTGAAATTTTTTGAAATAAAAGTTGAGGGAAAAATAGACTAGAACCTTCTGAAAGACAAAGATGAACCTAACACAGTGTCTGGTATAAAAGCAGATACTCAATTTTAAAGTCATTTTTAAATGCTCATTTTTCTACCAAATGTCTTATGGGTTAGCTACAGAAACACCATTTCTTTATTAAACATAGTATATAAAATATAAAAAACTGCATGAAACAATATGTCCTTTCTGTATTAGAAGACCCAGAAATTAGAGATTATAATCATTGTCAGTTTCCCCAAGATTACAAAATGATTCCATTTACTTATCAAAAAACATTCAACTCCAGTTAGGATCTTGCTGTCACGGTGTTCTTCAGTTTCACCTTAGAGATGACTGAGTACATCCTGAATTAATCCTTTTTACATAGTATTTTCTTTTTCAGTATTCCCTAATGTGGAAGACTTACAAAAGTTATTATTATTAGCAGTAGCCAGAGAAATAACCCCCACCACTAGGTATTGCTGTTTTAATAAAAGTGATTGATAAATAGAGATAGGTAAATAGGCAGAAAACACTTCCTACTTAAGAGTGTTCATATATATTATTTTATTTTTGCCATCTTGTAAAGTAAGCAGTTTGATTAAAGCACTGGGTTTTACTATCCTGTAATCTTAACTGGGTATTCCACTTGCCAACCTGGCCCAGAGATGGAGAGATTTGCTTCAGGAAAGGGAAATAAACAGCAACTAACAATTATGTGATTACTAACAAAACTAAAGAAGACAGAGAGCTCTTCACAATGAAGTTTGCTCACAAGATATGTACGTACAAGGAAAAGTGAAATTCAGTGTATTTAAGCTAATCTCTACTTGAACCTTTTAAAAGATAAAACCATTTGAGCAGTAATTTAGTACTAAATTAACTTGGTTTTTTTCTCCCTATCTTTGAAGTTTTCATTGTTTAAATAAGGGTTTCTGCAAGAAAAATGAAGCAATGCTCCTTTTTTATTCAAAAGAAGAAATCAAGGGGATGACTTGTAACATCCAGGAGGCTGGATTTATACAGCCATATTCAGCAAAGAGCCAAATAAATATATACCACATAACCCATTCCCCAAAACTGTCCCAAAATACTTCAAGATAATCAACTTTTAAAATCACTGTATTATCATGCTGCATAGCCTTTTTCTACTAGCAAGAACTGAACTCTGAAGGGAAGGGTGTCAGGCAAGCAAAAAAGGAAGGAAGAACTCTGGCAGATATTGCTCCCAGATAAAGGCTTTGAAAAGATCCTTACGATAACAAATTTAGCAGGTAGACTGAGAAAGAAAGGTTTCATTTTTTTGTTTCTTGAGCCAGTGATAATCCACCCTCTATGTTATCTACCAAAATGCAAAATGTAACTAAATTCCTAGACCTGTCCCGATGCTGGCCTGGCAGTGACTGATGGCGGTAACTTCATTTAGCCAGGCAGCTCTGCTCCCAAAGTCAAACGTGTTGAAAACACTAGCTAATAAAGGCCTGGGTTTTAAAGCACTTCCCTTCCATCTCTCTGGGTAGATTTTTTAGGATTTATTTTATTTTATTTATTATTTTCTGGTAACTAGGTAACTACACGCACCAGACACAAGCACCAAATACTCCTCTAAGGTGGTGGTATCTCTTGGATCATCTTCAGAGGAGCCAATCTCATTCACCCCAAGTCAGCAGTTCCACATGAGGCCCTCTGACTGTGACCCTTAAAAAGTCTTCCTACTTCTAAAGGACTTCACTTTTTGTCTGAAAGTCTTACTTTGACAGCTTGTAATTTGTTTAGTCAATTACACAATTTTCATGCTGTAGGAAATCCCCATATTCAAATACAAACTACCAAATGGAGACAATACATTTTCATGAATGTATTGTTTTAAATTTTCACGAAAATCATGGCCATAATATCAACACAGTTTGGCTTAGCATCAAGAAACATAATCATGTATAAACCTGTGAAGTCAAGAAAGAAACTTGTGGGTTGAGGTACCTTTTAGGTAAGTATGTGTTAGTTAAAATGAAAGATGTAAAAGGAAGGTGTTTATTCTCAATGTAGGCAAAGAGAAATCAGCCATCCTACACCTACAAACCAAGACAGTTAGTTAAGGGAAAAAAGATAAAGAGAGTATTTTATGCAAAGGTAACCAGCTGAAGGCTGATAGGCAGAACCACTTTCTTCCTCAGTTTCACTGGAGAATCATCAGTCTTCCAGTCCCATCAGGATTAAGCTGAAAAGTAATAAGAAATGAGGGCAATAGAGAGGGAGTGGGAGAGCAATTGAGGAAGAACAACCTAAAGACAAAACAGTGTGGAGTTTGAATCTGATGCAAGAAGTAAGAATTTGAGATTAGGTTTCTGAATGGGAAATGTTATGATCCTGTCCTGAAAAGAATTAGAATTGCAGTAGCTAGCAGAGGACTAGAGTAGGGGGAACTGGCTAGGAGCCTCCTGTTAGCAAAACACAGTTTGGAGAGGGCACTGATGTTTCCAGAGAATGTCACTTAGAAACAATCAGCCCCATTTTATTTCAGTGCAAGCAGGAAAGCTAAGGAGGGGAAAAAAGACTCCAAATTTAGGGGCCTTGGAGACCAGGATGTCAATGGTGTCATTGGTAATAATGGAGACTTTGAGAAAAGTTGATACCTACTGCAAAAAGATTAAAGGTTCAAATTTTTTAAACGTTAACTTTTAGGTTAATCCCAGCCAAGTGGAGATATGGCACAGACAATGGGAGTCAGGGAACTGGAGAACCCTTTGTTTTCAGGCAGATTCTTCCCACCTCCTCTAGGGACGGCATAACTCAATTCCAACTAGACACTGCAGTCCAGTGCTGGACAGCCAACGAGGAATCAGAGCACCTACCTTCCCAAGGAAGTCTGCCAAGAGCAAGATACTTATTCTAGGCATTTTTAAAAGTCTATGTCACTGGAATATCAACTTCAAACACTGAGTAGCATTTAAATATATATCACAGCACTTTCATTTCAAGCCTATTTAACATTTCTGAAATACCTAGATCAAAATGTTAGGTCAAATGCCTGTATTCCAGTAAAACATCTACTAAAAGAAAAAATTTCTCCCACCTTATCTCCCTTAAGATAATCACCTCATTCAAGACACCTGTCAGTCATAACAGGTTTTTCTCAGTGCTGGGTTTTTCTCAACCTTAACACCAAGTTTCTTTTGAGTAATAATAAAGGCCACACGTCATTTGAGCTGTGCATTTGTATAAATATCTACATCGCCCTTTTTTCTAACCCTAGTTCAAGGCCAACTGCACCAAAGCTTTTGAGAACCAGCACTTGGAAGATCTTCAAAGAGAAACTGCCCATTAACCACAACAGCAGCTGCTGGCTAGAGCCTGCAATTTAAATCTCTGAAAAAGAAACTGTGGCTTCTGAAATTTAAACAAGGAGGTGCCACTTGTAATTACAAACATTCCAGTGGGTTCCTTCCTTCATTGATGGTTTCCAAACTAAGGCTTTTTATTCGATTTTGCTGGTGCTCCCCAAATCGTGAATGTAGGCATTCCTTTGTGCTTTTCTTGTGGCCTGGTCAACTCAGAGGGGGCGGTGCAGGGGGCAGGTTTTCACCTGTCCAGGGCCATTCGGACCCCTCAAAATCATCTCATGCATAATTCCCTGTTTGTCTGGAAACAAAAAAACCAAATGTTAAATGCTTCAGATTTATAGTCCATATTTAATGAAATTTTTGAGAAAGAGCCTCAAAAAAAAAAAAAAAAACCCTCACATTTCATGAACCTTGGAAAACGGAACAATTTTCAGAAAAACCAAAGACTTTTTGAAATTAACACTGAAGCATTCCAACATTTCTAGCTGAAGTTAAAAATTCACATTTTAAATCAATGGAGCAAATATTAAGAAGTAAAGGTAGTAACCTTTTCTCTCCCCACCATCCTTCACCACCATCCCACAAAAATAAGGCCCAAATACTTACAGCCTGATGCATGAGTTTCCCACACCAAAGAAGGCATTTTGTGATCACTTCAGTTACAGAATAGCGGCTGAAATTAGCACTTAGCCAGTTCGAAATGGAAAGAGACATTTTTATTTTAAGCAATATATTCACAAAATGCAAAGGTATTTATACCATGGAGGCCTTTAAAGACAAATATACGAATGGGGTATCTCATAGTCATCAAACTAACATGAGCCTTTCCTACAGAAGTCCTCACATGGACGGTAATCATTATGGGAACAATTGGAAATGGCCAGTCTCGCCAACGGTGCTTTCCAGCGCACGCCACAGTTGAGGGACTAGCTACAATTACTGCATATTTACACAACTGTATTTGCACAACAATAAAACTCATCTTATCCGATCCAAACAAAACCTTGCTCAAAATAAACCAAACCATAGGAGAAGGTCTCCTCAGTAGAAGCAATAATCGTGCTGTAGCTTCTCTGGCCTCTGCCTTTGCTTTCACCAACTGCAACAAGCCTTCATTCTCTCTTCCTCAGTAAAGCTAAGGCAAAAATTCGGTACATCCAGGTGAGAATACTGTGCGTACGGCCAGATAATAATACTGTGATAAGGAGTGGAAAAAGAGGGGCTGTATCTTAGAAATCATTCTAAAAGTAATTATGGAAGAAATGATAGGATGTTCAGGATTTATTTAAAGTAATCTGAGGAAAGGAAGAAGCACAGAGGGGATAGAGCGACCAGGGGTGGATAATTATTGAAACTGGGTGATTTGCATGCATGGTTAAATATGGTATTCTTCCCACTTTGTATACATATTTGAAATTTTCCATAATAAAATGGGAAAAAAGAAAAATCTGATCAATGTAAAAAAAAAAGTCATCCTTCGAAAATAAAACTTTTTTTTCTTTAAAAAACAACAAAAAAAATTCTCAGCTTTTTCTTGGTTTCATGAAAAGAGGCAAGTTCCTGGTAAGAAAATCAAGCTCTGTTCTTGTTCTTAAGAACATTTCCTTTTTTCCTTAGTTATACAGAACCAGTTCTACTGCTAATATTAATCCTTGAAAAGACAAATAAAAAACTGTAGAAATCTAAATCTGAGCCTTCAGAAGCCTGGTTTTTGCATATCAGACTTATTCCAATGACACAAATCCAGATTTCTCCCCTATGAAGGTGCTTTGGATGACATTTCTGTTGCGGCTGCCAAATAAATTCCAGAGGTTTCAGGATCATTTGTCAACACCAAAGACAATATTACCAAGAACTGGTCCTTTCTTCCCAGAGGTCACTCCTCTGATCCATGGGTTTATTACCTAGAGCAACAATTAATCTTGCTGCCTTCAAAATACAAAATATTTTTAGCCAAGATAGTGTCTATTCATGATCCATATCTCTGACCAGGCATCCTTGCCAGGAGGCGGAACAGAAGGTCCACTGGCTGGACATCAAGGGACCTGTCCCTATCCAGGATCTGTCGTTAACCTAGCCTTAGTTCAACTGCAGAGTAAGATTCTTCCCTCCCTGGCCTTCGGCTACTTTACTTCAAAATGGGATTTCACCAGATGATTTCTAATATCTTTCCCCTCTCAAAAATTCCATGATTATAAGAATCTCTAATTCCTCAAAAGGTAATATTTTTAAAAACAGCTTTAGTCCCAAAATGTTACATTTTCTATTACATAATTTTTAATGTGAATATGAATATTGTATGTGGGCAAGTTTTTGTATCCTGTGCATATATATGTATATATAAGTATGTATATGTATGTATTTGTATCACTACTTATACATACACACAAACACACACACACTGATACCATTAGGTGCTTATATGGGACTAATTGCTTCCAACTCAAAGCAGCAAATTTTCAATTCTGCAACAGATGTCGCTGTGTGATTTCTCCTTTCTGTGCTGGATTTTCAGTTAAAAATGCCCAGCATAATGGTCAAAACTATTCTTCCCAAGAAAAACGTACAGCATTTGAATCCTTTGGATTTATTTTGAATTTTCTTCATCTGCTGGTAAATTTCCATTCAAATTATAGCATTGATTAGTTTGGCCCAATTTAAGAGAATCCCCACATTAAAATGCACCTTTTGCTAAAAACAGACACACACACACACACAAAATCATTTCTAAAATGTAAATTCTAAGTGACCAATTAGGCATTAAAATGTCACGTACAGAAATCCCAAGAGAATGAGACAGTTTATATTCATAGCAATCTTATCAATTTTTAAAGCCTAAAAATCATTTAGCAATATAGGCCAAGGAATAATAAAAATTCACTTATGTATGAGACTAAAATGTACCAGGTGTGGGAAAAAGTCACTAAAAACTCCAAGAGCACCATCAATAAGAATACAATTTTTGGATGCTGGTTTTCACAGCATTTCTTTCCAAATAAATAATAAGGCTAATGTTATAATTGCAAGACATCTTACCAATCTGACATTCACTATCAACCACTTCTTGACACATGTCATAGAAAAGTGACATCTCTTTCCCTTCAACCAATATATCCTCCAACAACATCAACCTCAACAGGTAGCTAGCATTGTCTTCTGTTGAAATTTAGAGCTGGAAGAAAGGATTTCACAATCTCTCTGTGGAGACCCAGGAATCCGTTACCTTCTGGGATTTTAGAGAGTGTGGAGAGAGATGAGCAGGCAGTGAGCCGGGGACCAACTCCGATAAGAATATGAAGTCAGGAAGTGAGAGAGGAAACGAAAGTGTCCTGCCTGTTGGCGTCTTCCCTGTCCCACTCCCCTTTACCAGGAGGGCCATTGGGGAAAACTGGATAAAGCATGTACAACATCCATATGAATAAAGCTCTTTGTTCCAGAGAACTGCCTGCTCTTTTATTCCCCCCCTTTTTCGTATTTGTTCATTTCAAAAGATTGCTCAATGGGTCTCTTGTTCCTCCAAAACGTCCCAGGCAAATAATGCAAGCTTGTCTCGTCACACAAGTCACTAAATGAAGCCTTGTGCGTCTCCAGTGACACACTGTAAATATAAAGTGGCATTAATGAGGGATATTTTATCAAATCTATCACAGACAAGTGCAAGTCCCTACTGCGGCTATTCAATCTGATGCAGGGAAAGGCAACAATAACAGGGCGGCACTTTTGTAAAGTCTCTATCCCCGGTTTGCAAGCCCCAACAGGCCAAAGCAAGCAAAAGTCAGCCCCCCTCCTTCCCATCACCACCATAAATCCCCCATCCACCAGCCATCTTCTCTAATCCTGAAAATGATAAGAGGGGGGTGATCAGCTACTGGTTCACTCGGGATCGTAAACAACATCATGCATGCACCTTGAACGTATAACAGGCGTGATTAACACTGTGGAGTGAGCTTAAGCAAACCCATTTTTACTGCATTTCATTAACATCCATTTCATCCAAACATCACAGGAGAAATGAGAGGAGATTTTCTGCGGGGGATGGATGGCTTCAGTTACAGGAGAAAACAGAACCAGGACCCACGCACGATGGTCCTAATTCGCTTTCCCAGCAAGGATGTAAACGAAACAAGCCTAATGAAGTCAGATGCACCAACAGGTTTCTTTAACCCTGGGAGTGGGAACTGGAGGCCTCTGAGAAAGCTTAAACAGAACTGAGGAGGAAAAGTCCCTTGGTGCCCACCTGAAATTTACCCCTGGGGTATGGGACCCCGGAATGAGCCAAGACCTCCTCTCAAACTCACCACGAAATATATATATATGCATTAAGAGAAAAAAATTAAGAAAGTCATCTCATCTCCTCACTACAAATCATACCCAATTACTTTCTAATTTGAACACAATCTGATAACCAGCATACAAACAGGGATGTACACAAGAGCAAGAAGCTGCTTCCATGGTAACTGGCAACAGAATTTTCATGTAGCTTTGACATGCACGGTTGAGTTCCAGACCGCTCCTAAGTCAGCATATATCCCTCGCAGGGAAGGCAACTTCTCACCGCGAGATAGTTACAAATATAGTACCGTTGCTACTACCCGGTGCCTTCAATGAGCAGTCTTGACAGGGGAGGCATAATCTAATCCTACTTCTGCTGCCAAGCGTCATTGCACGACTCCCATTTTTAGTCAAAAAGCAATATCCCCGACCACAGCTTTCCACCGCCCCCCGGCTTTTTTTTTTTTTTTTTTTTTTTTTTTTGCAGCCAATACAAGTCTATTGTTGCCTCTATTATGCGCCAGTTACCGAGCCTTTACTCACGCTCACGTTTAACTGACACTGGCGCTTTTTACAATGCAGCAGCACGAGGGATCTCTTTCAGGAACATTTTATTGAACCCATCCAGTCAGAGGCATCACCTGAAATGAAGTTGTAACCACACCGGCATCGGCTGAACCCAATTATCTCGTAACTCATAAATTAAGAATTCACAGAGGAAAAACACATAAACAACATCCGGAGACAGTGGCATGGAGGAAAAAAACCCTCAGCGCTGGAATTGACGCTGCTGCCAGACGCCCCCCAATAGGTTTCCCAAGCCGAGCTCCTTTGCAAGCCTATTTTGGGGGCAAGCAGCCAACCCGGCGTCCCCCAAATCTCAAGCTAGCACCCCCACACATCCCCCGTCTCCTACAGCGTGTCTCCTGCGGTGTTTACATAACTGTGTGTCCTCTAGCGTGTAAACAAAAGGCACAGCCCAAGCGGAGAGGCGCCCCTGAAGCAGCACCGTGGCCCCAACGCTGTGCCCGCCCGGGCCTGGGGCTCCGCAGGTGGGGGCTGAGCTCTCGGCGTCCTCCGCCACTTGTTGCTCCCGGGTCCTGCAGCTCTGGAGCTGCAAGGAGGGGCTTTGCAGGCTCAGAGCCCTGCTGCATCCCCTCCTGCATCGCCGCTCGCACCCCGCGGCCCCGTGCCACTCGGTCCCGGCGCCCGCCTGGAGCCTGCAGCAGGGGCCAGAGGACGCCGCGCGGCTGCCAAGCGCGGCGAGGTGGCGGGAAGGGAGGCTGGGTGCAGCACAGCCGGCCTCTCCGCTGAGGAAGAGCTCCGGCTCCCTTTTGTTAGCAAAAGCAAACACTGCCCTCTTCTTTCCCGACCGCGCCAACGCGCCCGGCACACGGGCAGCCACACATCGGGCTCCAGCCGAGTGCTCGGTGTCTTCAGGGAAGGCACCGGGCGTGCAGAGCCGCCCCTGGGCAAATTCCCAAGACTGCTCTTCACGCAGGGAGCGCGCGGAGGCCCGCAGGGTGCCCGCCTGGCCGCAGAGGCCGCGACGCCCCCTCCGCCACCCTCGGGCCGCCGAAAGAACGGGCAGCCGGGAAATCCCGTGTCCCCACTCGTGGCAGAGGACGCTGTGGGGCGGGCGGGCTGCGGGCTCCCGGCGCCTTCCCGCAGAGGCGGCGACAGCGGCCGCCCCCCCCGCGGGGCCGGGCCGGGGAACTTTCCCCGCCTGGAGCCGGGCCAAAAAGACCCGCAGCAGAGCCGAGGGGGCGGAGGGCTGCGAACGGCCGGAGGGAAACACGAGAGGCGTGCAGTTTGGGGACAGGGGAGAAAGGCAGAGCGCGTTGGGGGAAGGGGCAGGGGAGATCAGACAAGTCTGGGGATGTCCTGGGGACCGGGGAGAAATCACGCCGCGGGCGGCTGGGAGTCAGCCACCAGGAGGCTTCGGGGATGGAGAACTGGGGGGGCCCTCTGGAGAGGTGGGGGCGAATGGACAGCCCTGGGAGGTGGGAGGACCTGCAAGTTACGGGGAGAACGGCGAGTTTAGAAGGGTCCGGAAGGGTTGAGGTTGTCTTTGAACCATCCCCTTCCCCCATGCTTTACAGCCCCCGGGCCCCCCATTCTCACTCCACTCTGCACCCCGCGCCAAGCCGGGGAGAGAAGGTGTGGGTGCAGCCATCCCTGGGGACTCTCATTCACACTTAGCCGGGCAGGGGAGAAGGGGCTCACAGATGCCCTCAGCCCCTTCCCTCTCAGCCCTGAGTTTCCTCTCCACACTCCCTCCGCTTCGGATGTAGGAAGTGGGGGGAGGTTGTCATGGAAACGTTTCCCCCCTCTGTGGCCAAGGCTACTGGGGTGCCTTCGGAGATTTAGGGGCCAACCGGTCGGTGCCCACACCTACCTGTGGGGATCAGTGCCGCGGCGGAGAAGAGCAACAGCAGAAGCCGGAGCCGGAGCCCGGGAGGCGCCGCCGCCGCCGCTGCCGCCGCACACTGGGATCCGCTCGGCAGCACTACACTCGCCATGTCGGGCACCTGCCTCAGACTGGCGGCGTTGGCTGCCTCCGGAGCCCGAGCGGACAGCTAATGAGATGCTAATGACATGCGCTGGAGGCGGAGTCCGGGCAGACCAATCACAGCGCCGCGAGCCCAACCCGGCTCTCGGAGGGCCTCGCTCCCTCCCCCACCCCGCCCCCTGGCGCTGGCGTTCGGCGGCGCGCCCGCGCCACCTAGGGGCGGGGCCAAGGGGAGGGGCGTATGCAAATATGTTTATGTTAAAATTCGGGTTTTGCTTTCCCCGGATCAAGGAAAAAGTGTTCTCCCGGGCGCCTGGCGTGCAAGGACTCGGGCTCCAGGGGGCGGGTCTAGCTTCTTGTACACCTTTATTAGGAATGTTTATAGCAATCGCTGTATCAGACCGACGACTGGAGAATCTCCCTTAAGAGGGTCCTCTGTCCCGCACACCGAGTGCATCTGGCCTAGCGAACCAGACGTTGCAAATTTCCGTCACTCACCTTGCACCGAAGGAATAGATCTTTGGGAACGGGGGCTGTGCGGGAGTGGAGAGTAAGAAGGCAGGTCCCCGGATTGACAAAACAATCTGGGAGAAGTGCATGCGTGCTTTGCACGTCCGGCGGAGCGGGAGAGCCCGCTCAACAGCCTAGCGGTAGACTCGGGGATAGTTGGAGAAGGCAGCCGTAGAGTCGGGTTCTGAGATTTTCCAGTCGGTCTTTTTGCGGCAGAATCTCGGGAAAGGTAGATCGAGGAGGGTATGCTCAGGCTCCTCCGCTTGTCGAGGGTCTCCTCCCTGGTTTTAATATATAGGTGTGTGTTGAATATATGTGTGAAATATTTGTAATATTAGATATTTAAGATTACACAACAACGGAAAAAATTAGTCAAGGCTTCAGGTGAAGAGCGGGGGTGGTGGGAGTTGGGGAGAGGGAGTGTGGTGAAGGCAGGGTCTGCCGTGTTCCTCCTTCGGGGCTCAAACCCTCTCACTCCTCCTCTGCGCCCCCAGCCCTTCCTAAGGAAGCTGGGGACCAACAGGTGCTCCGAGCTTCCCCTGTCTCTGGGAGAGCCTCTCCTGCTAAAGCGACTTGCATCTCCGGACTCACTCTCCCTCCCCGAAATTCTCTTTGCTTTCTTTTCAGCCAGGCAGCCGGCTCTCTTGTTTGTCTGCTTTTTAATTACTTATTTTCTTCCCCTCTAGAAGATCGTGTGCGCTCTGACCCTCTGTTGCTCAAGCATCAAATTGAAGGACGAGCCATATTAAGTGTAAAGGTTTATAATAATTTAAGTATTCATAGAATGCAGAACAATAAGATGTAGGAAATACAATTTGCATAATAAATATCAATATCACAACAGCTAAAACAAACCATGACAAATTATCTGTGGCTAAATGACCAAGAGATTACTGAATGTAAATTGCTAAGTCTGAGCTATAGTCTAGAAGAGCTGCGCCAAATGACTTCCCCAGCCTTCTGTCCTCATCTTGCTATAAAATAAATAAATAATACATATCAAAAAGGAAGTCATGATCTGCCAACCCACCAAATGAGTTACACTTAAAAACAGCCTCCTATTATCCATTATGCATAAACTAATTTCGAGACTGCCCGGTCTTCACAGCCCTGGATATTCTGCTCTGTAATTACAGGCCCCGATGCATGAACTGCAGGCAGTCCTTCAGAAGTGGGGAAAGCTCCAACAGGAGAACAGCACTACAGGAGACAGGAAACCATTGCCACGTGGGTGCCAGGATAATGCCCAGTCTGCAAAGTCCTACCCGTTCTTACTACCTCTGGCAGTGAGGTACCTGGGTCGGACCAAATAGAGAGCAAAGTTCCACCAAAATTGGAATAAAAAAGTTAAGGCCAGCCGGGCACGCTGACTGATGCCTGTAATCCCAGCACTTTGGGAGGTTGAGGCAGATGGATCACCTGAGGTCAGGAGTTCGAGATCAACCTGGCCAACACGGCGAAACTCCGTCTCTAATAAAAATACAAAAATTAGCCAGGCGTGATGACACACACCTGTAATCCCAGCTACTCAGGAGGCTCAGGCAGGAGGATCACTTGAACCCAGGAGGCGGAGGTTGCAGTGAGCTGAGATCGCATCATTGCACTCCAGCCTGGGCGACAAGAGTGAAACTCCGTCTCAAAAAAAAAAAAGTAAGGCCATATGTATGCTGAAAGTGATATGTAAACTATAAAGGCAGGTCCTATATGGCAAGAATCCTGACACAGAGCCTGGCACATAGTAACATTATTATCTGCCGTTACTATTATTACTACTCTTGCATTCACTGAATTCTTAAGTATTCTACATGCAAAATCTCATTTAATACTTGAAACAATCCCCAAGGTACATACTATTATCTTTCATTTTATATTTTTTAAACATGATTAGAAAGATTAAGTAACTGCCCTAAGATTACAGTCTCTAACTTGCAGAAAGAGCCTATGCAATTAACCACTGTGCCTTTCTAAATATCCGTAAAGTGAATGAATAAATTTCACATTACAATGCATGAATAATAAGCAAAGGATAGCTACATTTTTAACATAAGATGAAAATATGCCAGCAACCCAGAAACATTTTTTTTTTTAACTAACAGAATTGCAGTATACTCCTAAGGAAAAACATTCCTCATGAAGCTGAATCTCCAGGAGAATCTAGCCAGGCCCCAGTCCTCCCACACTCGGAACACAGTATGGGGACATTGGAAGATGTAGGGTGTTTTCATCTCCCTTCATTCTCTTGGCACATCAAATGAACACCTACTCAAATTTCCAGTTGGCAAAGAACAACATGGGACATTTCTGTAGGAAATGCTAATGTCGTATGATTTACCTCACTAGAGGAATGCAAATAGCTTTAGAAATTTCCACCAAAATGTCCCCTGTGCCATAAGGTTAAGGAACTTGCACGTACAATTCCCCAGGTAAAGAAACTGAGTCCTGGGGCACATTTAGACTGGGTCTACATGCAAGAAGCAGAGCAGAGAATTTAGGATTAAGCTGTTTCTAGTCTATCCACTAGCCACACGCCTTTCCTACCCCCAGCTCCTTCACACTGAAGATCTCGCCAAGCAATTTAACATATGGAACATGTGAAGAACGCATCAAATTCCCGCAGCCGCTAAGTACAAGTTATGACTACTCTGGCTTTCTCATAGTAAAGCTCGTCATTTTCTGCTTCATGGACTAGAACTCCTCGCCAACTACAAGTTCCAAAATTTTCCCCTTTGCTACATGGATTTAACCAATTTTGAAAACCAGATGGTGTTTTTGCCATTTATAACTGATAATCAATTGTTTTGTGAATTTAATTTTTCAAGAAAGAACTGAAATACTTATCAGAATTACAATCTGGGTGCTTCTTGTGTTTGAATATAATTGCCAGAAGCACCAAGAGCCCAGGTTTTCCTTTTCTTTTTTTCCTTTTGTTGTTGTGAGAAACTTTAAAGAGCAAGAGTGAGAGCAAGAGAGAGAGAGACCTTATATTGTTTGCTTTCACTAAAACAGTTAAGAAACATGGATAAACATATATGAAAAATGATCATTAAAAGATGATTCATGTTTTGAGGATACATCAGAGACAATCAATGAGAACTAGCAGCATCTCGCTTTGTAAAGGACTAATTATTTGAGTACCTAGGTATAAAAAGCAACAAAGACAAATGATTAGGGAAAAGAAAACAGTATTTGGAGTCAGCATTTGCCCCGCAGGTGGATTATTTAAGTACCTATAGAAAAGTGATTTAATCTCTATTACGGACTAAATGTTTTGTGTCTCCCCAAAATTCATATGTTGAAGCTTAAACTCCCCCCATGTGATGGTGTTTAGGAGTGGGATCTTTGGGAGGTAATTAGATTTAGATGAGATTATGAAGGTGGGCCTCCATACTGGGATCAAAGTCCTTATAAGAAGAGCAAGAGATACCAGAGTTCTGTCTTGCCGTGAGCATGCACCAAGGAAAGGCCAGGTGATCACACAGCAAGAAGGCAGCCCTGTGCAAGCCAGGAAGAGGGCCCTCATCAGAACCCAATGGTGCCTTCCAGCCCCCAGAAGAGCACAAAAATAAATTTCTGTTTTTTAAGCCACCCAGTCTACAGTATTTTCTTATATCCTCCTGAGCAGACTAAAGCAATCACTAAGCCTCAGCTGCCGTTTTCAAAAGGTGCATTAAAAGTATCATAAATGTCAGCTTTTGATAGAAAAGCATTCCATACATTCAAGTAAGTTAGCAATATATTAGAATATTGGACTAGATAGACTATTGGTCTCATTTAGTAGCTCTTATATACTTTGATTAAGATTAAGAAGCTCATCTTTAGGGGTATCAATCAGTCTATGAATCTTTATGAAATATGAAGCCAGCTAAATACATATTTCTAAATGTGTAAACAGTTTACCCAAAGGTTTATTCTTCTAGTGTCAGAGAGTTGACTGTACACTCTTGAATATCAAAAGTCAAATACCAATTTGAAGGAAAGTACTGAAGCAGGTTGCAGAAAAACCACACATGAACCAGATCAAGGAGCAGCCCCAATTCCCATGGAAGGGAATTTTCCATTGGGACTCAAGTCATCGTTTTTTCCAGTCAAATATCTAGGAATATATCCAGATATATGTGGCTGATCCAAATACGTATTCAGTAAAAGAAAAAACATTGTGGTGTACTTCCACTGAGCAGTCACCGTTACATTTTGGGAATACAAAGGCAAATGAAAAACTGTAGCTACTGCCAAGGAACTCAGAGTATAGTTAGGGGAGGCAAAGTGCACCACAACTATCATATGTAATAAATGTTTTTACAATATGTGCACACAGCTCTATGTGAACACAAAAAGGAGGCACCTACTCCGGAGGCAAGTATGAATATGTGTGTGTCTCAGAACATTTTCACACAGGAGAAATTCTTGAGCCAAGTCTTAGAATTTAAGTAAGAGTCCACAAGTTAGAGAGGGATATTATTGGGGCAGGGGGGAGGTGTGACGAGAGGGGAAGTCATTTACAAGGCCCAAAAGCTTGGGACAGCATCATGTATATTTGAGAAATTACAAATAGAATGGCCGGATGGCAGATTGTCAGAGGATGAGTGGCATGAAAGGAAGCTGGAAAAGATACACAGGGACTAGAGAATGTCTTGATTAACCTGCTAAAAAGTTTCAATATTTATAGGTAATTAGAACCCATTGGTCTGGGTGCAGTAGCTCACACCTGTAATCCCAGCACTTTGGGAGGCTGAGGCCAGTGGATCATTTGAGGGCAGGAGTTTGAGACCAGCCTGGCCAGCATGGTGAAACCCATCTCTACTGAAAATGCAAAAATTATCCGGGCATGGTGACACGTGCCTGTAATCCCATCTATTTGGGAGGCTGAGGCACGAGAATTGAGACTTGCTTGATACCTGGGAAGCAGAGGTTGCAGTGAGCCAAGATCATACCACTGCACTCCAGCCTAGCAGCCTGGGCAACACAGTGAGACTGTCTCAAAAAAAAAAAAAAATTGTACTTGCAGCATTGGAGTAGATGTTGGTGTCATTCATCCAAGACAGGTATGGGCACATGGGAAAGGTTGGTTTGATCGTTTGTTGTTTGTTTGGGGGATGGGTGCTGGAAAGAAGATAATTTTAACTTGGGGCAAGGAGGCTTTGAGATGCCTTTGAAATATTCAGCCAGACAACTTAGCTGGGAGTCAAGAGCATGTAGGTAGAAATTGAAGTCATGGACTTGAAGGAGGGGAGGAGAGTTTCACCCAGATAGAATATATTGAAGGACTTTAAACAAAATAAGCTAGGGGTACCACTATGATGAACACCAATTATTTAAGGAGTGGACGGAGCTTGAGAAGGAGGGACATGGGGATAGGAAAAGAATGAAAAGAGGAAGGAAGCCAAAGAGGGAAGATGCAAAGATTAACCATGCCAACTGCTCACAGAGAAGTCTGATGAATATATTTCACAAAGATTATCAAAGGTTAGCATTAGAGATCAGATCTTCTTATGCTAAGGTCTAGTATTTGATCACCTCACAGTCTACATAAACAGTTTGATTAAAGTTTGACAAAACAAGGAGAGGGATATGTGCTAATTTTGCTTACCCTCCCAGTAGGGCAGGAAGATATGTTTGCTAGTGATTTTCTAATATGGAAGAAATAGCTTTAGAGTTTTTCAATTTGACATTCAATTTCATTGACACTGACAGACAGCCTTGGGTGGGATAGAGGGATTGTGGCAACTGAGGTAACTCAACTAATTATCACATATAGACCTTAGTTTTTATTTCCAAACTAAAATGTGATTGGTTATGATACTGTAAAAGTTTTCTTCCATACTTTAGAAGTAATATATTCCTGATATGATATCATAATTGTCAGATGAGGCTTTGTGATAATTCCATAGCAGTACCGCACAACTTCCCAGGCAGCAGGATTTCAGCAAGATCCATTAAAAAAACAGATATTGATATCTATAGATTTTCATAAAGCTGCAAATATAAAATAGCCATATTATGAATATGAGATTGTATCACTCATGCTGCTAAAAGATGACAATGGTAATATAACTTTTTGTAATATGGGTTGTAAACAGGACAAGTTCTGAATAGAAATTGTCTCAATAATTTATCTTGCCGTCCCAAACAGGAAAACGTTTTAGGAGAATGTTCTCAAAAACCAATCACTGGGGCCTTATGATGGCCCTGTCCAACTTTTCATGCTTGTTCCCCTGGTTTCAAATGAAACTTAAATTTTTCAACTGCATTTTGAACTGGAGATTCAACTTTTGTTTTTTCCTTCTTTCTGGTTGTCCCTGCCTGACTAGTGGGCAACTTAGATATTTATATTTTTGCACCAAAGTGTCTATATTTTTTCATTCTTCAAACTCTGTCAATATAAATCAGACTATTGTCTGACTCTGTAATGAACA
Organism: Homo sapiens; assembly: GCF_000001405.40. NCBI lineage: Eukaryota > Metazoa > Chordata > Mammalia > Primates > Hominidae > Homo > Homo sapiens. The sequence goes on from NC_000011.10 coordinate 115,511,308, forward strand.
ACAAACCCTAAATTTCCAAAGGACTGCATGTAGTTTAGCAATGCAACTCACATTAAAATCAATGCCTCGCTAAATCCCATGTAACTCTTTGAAAATGTAGGGGTTTGTCAAAAGGGTTCCAGAAGAGGAATAATCATCTTACTCTTTTGCAGATTTAAGTATTGCAAGTTCTGTCTTTTTCTTTTTTAAAAGTTACTTTGGCTCTCCAAGGATGCCTCTCTATCAGCTAGCAGGAACCCCACGTGGTGCTTTGAATATCTTCTTTTACCGGTCCCCAGACTGTGAAGAACTGAAGTTCAGTTTGTTTAAAGATCATGTTTTGAAGAAAAGCAACGCTTAATTTCAGTCTTTCATGTTCACTGACAGCATTGTCACTTGCTAAGCTATTTCTCTAAGACTTTGGTTACAGTACTATATCTTTCTATATATTTTATTTATGTGGCTTGGTCTGTGATGAATAACACATTTATGCAAAAATCTCAATATATCTACAAGATGCCAATAAACAGAATGGGCATACTCTCCTATAGTGCAGTTAATAAAATACAGTAAATAGCATATAGTTTCAGAGGCAATTAGTAGAGTTTGTGGCTCCAATTACAAAAAAAAAAGCCCTTATGATTTCTAATAATTGTTATTTATCTTTCCTCTGAAGTGGTCCTCTTGTCTGTGTCAGCTGTGGCCTAGAAACAGCATTGCCAGTGGGGAAGGTATATAGTGGCTGCTCACCACACTAGGATGAGAAAGAGAAATTGAGGATCAGGACCCTAGAGCTAACTACTCTTCTTGGAGAGCTACTCCATGGGGCTTTGGATTGATCTTATTCTGCTCTGCCATCCACTCATGTCCTCCCACCAGGGTCAATTACCTGGCTTCCCAGTTCACACAGCCAACCTGAACAGTATATTTTGCTTGCTAATGTGAAGGAGAGAAAATCTCATGAAGTCAATTCAAACTTAGAAAGGGTTAGCAATCCCAAGTTGGTAAGGTGTCTGGCATATTAGTCTTCTAAAGATGCATTTTGTAAAGCATGATCATCTTAGCACCAGGTGCCACCAACTCACTCCATGCTAGTTTAATACCTGTTTGATCATGAAGCAAGCCCAAGGGAGGCTCCCAGGTCATTTGTCCACTGTTCTGTCTCGAAGCAGTGCCAATGGATCAATGTCCTGCTCCTAAAGAATCTCCCAAGTAGGCTAAGATTTGATATCCACAGAACCCAGGAACATTGTGCATGCTTGATATTTAAATGACTCTGCCCCTCTTCTCAAACTTACAAGGTATCCATCACACTTATATTCAGGATAACAATGTTACGCTGGTAAATTACATGTGTTCAGCATCTACTGCAAATAGAATTTCTGATTTACAATTTACAAAATTATCTCTTCCACCCTCTGGGTTTACATTGTGGCTCATCCAGAGGCTTTTATTCAATATGTGTTTTGTTATGAAGATGCAAAAGAAAAATGGAAAGCCCCCCGCTTTTCTTTTCCCCCTCCTCCATCGAATGCACTAATAAAGCAAAGTTTTTTGATTTAGAAGAAATCCTACTGAGGTCCTAAAGGGGTGTCATCACAGTAAAATCACTTCTTCATTATCTGATTCTTTTCCCAATTGGCAGTGCTTTACAGAGAGCCATATTCTTTCAAAACCAATGATAAAGGGGTATTTGGAATAAACAGAAGAGCCCCTAGTCAATGAATACCTCAGATTGCCATGGATTGTGACTTTTAAAGCCAGTTCCAAGGAACTCAGCCTTTTTATCTTCAAATGTTCAAAATTAATTGCTGAGCCATACAGATGGGTTTTCTCCCTTCACTAAAATTGTCTTTAAAATCACTGAGGTTTAGACTGTGCTTTCCGTGCAGAAGCAGAGGGGCGGTTATTTCTAATGTTTTCTTCTTCCTTTTTTATGATATCATTGATTTATTTATTTTAAATAATCGAGAAAAAGAGATGTTTTTGCAGAGGGCAAGAGGGCTGAAGCTAATGTACAACCATCTAGTACACAACACCAGTTCAACTCAATTATCTGGGGTCTGGGGAGACTCCAACCTGCCCATTTCTGTTTCTCAGAGGCAGGTTAAAAATCACCCAAATGGAACTGGTTTGCCGAATCAGGTTACAGTGGCCGATTCCATATTCTCATCATTTTTGAAAGATTGCTCTTCAACTCTGAAAGGCATTGCAAATAAACACACAAAAAAGAAAAAAATCCACTTTCTCCCTGGAAAGATACAACCTTAAGGTAGCTTAGCACTTAGACCCTAGCCTTTCCTGCAAAGTTCAAAAACTCAGAATCCCTGAAAGGACACTCATGGACACCTAGAAGTCACAGTAGAAAGACTATGACCATAGCCCGCTACTCACTAATAAACAGTCTTTTTATTTCAGGAATTTTATTGGATGTCTTTTTAGGTGTCTAGACCACTATAAAATCCATCATTTATAAGCATTTTGCATTTCAGTTAAGCCCTCTACTCTTGAAGGAATTATCATTTTTCTGAAGGTTAGTGGCTCATTCTCTTCACAATTAAGCTTATTTATTATTAAGGGAAAAGAAGCAAAAAGGAGAACAGGAATAAATTAATATTTTTAGAAACTATGTGCCAGGAAATGTGTTAGCTTGCCTTAAATGCATAATCTTTTTTTTTTTTTAGAAGCTCCCCCTTTTCTTCCCTCACTGATAAGCGTATCATATAAAAGGCCCTTTCTGGCAGAAAAATTTGAAATCGGCTTATTCCGATTCTAAAAAAGTTAAAGGGACATTATTTGAATTTTTGCTGAAGGGTTCCAGATCGTCAAACTACTTCACTGGATAAAAGGAATAATAGAGATAGGATCTGTATTCAAATGCTATATTACTATTTTTTCTTCATTAGTTTGAAATGCATTTTGACAAAGGTATACAAATTTTAATCAGAGCTGAGAAGTATGGAATAAGAGAGAGAAGCATCAATATCTCCCTCAAGGTTTAAGATATTTTTTTCCCAATATCTCTCTTCATGAAGCTCAAATGTTGAATGGACCTGCCTTCATCTTTCTTTACAATTGCCTTCCTGGGTATTTTAAAATTAATCAGTCAAGCAAATATTTATGACCAATATACTATGTTAGGCACCAAGAAAGTTACAAAGATGTAAAGACATGATCTCTTATCTCATGTTGAGATAATTATAAATTATCTCAAATAATTTATAATCAAGTTAAAGAGGCAAGATCTTGTGAAAAGTTAACTTATAGCTCAAGGCTATATATGAGAAGCTTCTAATAGGTAGAGGAAAAGGCTATGCAAATATAGTAAAATCCCCTTAAACAATTCCTTATGGTACAGATTTAATTACATCAATAATCAGCTTATGTACCTTATACTAACAAAATCAAAAGATCTTATATGACATAATTGACAATAAATACAAATAAATCTCAAAAAACAAGACTACGTGTATACATTCAAATAATATACCTACTTATATTGCTGCCTTGTTATTCTGAATTGTCAATCTGAAAAAGAAAAAACTGGATGCTAAATTTGCATATAATTTCACTTCATATAAAAAGGTACCTTCTTGTTTCATGCCTTTTTCTCACTTCCTTCCCGCCATTGAAAACTCAAAGGTCACGCACAGTGTCAGGCTGAATAATGCTCTTTTTCCCCCACAAAAAAAATTCAGCTTCTAATTCCTGGCCCCTGTGAATGTTACCTTGTATGGAAAAGGAGTTTTTGCAGCTGTGATTAAGTTAAGGATCTTGTGATGGGCTATCCAGGTGGGCTCTATGTGCCATCACAATTATCTTTATAAGAAGGAGGCAGAGGAAGACTTGATATACACACAGACACAGAAGAGATGGTGAAGATGGAGCAGAGATTTAAAGATGCTGGCCTTGAAGATTGGAATGACATGGCCACAGACCAAGAAATATCAGCAGCCATGAGAGGCTGGAAGAGGCAAAGAGCAAATTCTCCCATAGAGCCTCTGGAGGCTGAGCAGCTCTGCTGACACCTTGATTTTGGCCCAGTGGTGCTGATTTTAGATTTTTGGTCTCCAGAACTGCAAAAGAATAAACTTCTCTTGTTGTAAGCCACCGACTTTGTGGTGTTTGATATAGCAGCCTTAAGAAAGCAAATATAGACACTAATGTTTATTGAGTGTTCACTATGAACTATTCTATATGAAACATCTCATTTAAGTCTTGTAACAACTATTATTATTAGGATGAGGGAATTGCAGCTCAAAAAGGTGAGAGCAACTTGCAAAGATTTATCTCACTTCAAACAAAGCCCATGCCCTTTACACAGTGCTATATTTTCTCAACACCTTTTTCCGTTTGTCTGTTATTCTCATGTCACGTTAAGATAACCCAGGCTGACATGAAGTATAACCAGCTTCAACATGTATGTGTATGGATTTCTTTCTTTTTTGTGTGCTCCACAGGTTCCATTCTAATCCAACAGATACTCTCAGAACCTTAGTTTGAAACAAAACAAAAAGCACCATTGCCCTCTTGCTGTGGAACCTGGCAGTGATTTGTCCCTAAGGGTCACCCTTTGGAACATGTCCTAATAGCTTCACCCCTACCTGCCTGGGGAAGTCATATCTCAGCCCTAGATTGAAAATTTCTTCCTGTCTATTGCTGCAAACACACAAATCTGATCACAGTGTGTGCTGCTAGTTAGCATTTTGGAAATGGAGGCTTTCTCATGGAGAAGAGGGATAGGGAGAGGTAGGGAGGGAGAAAGTTAATCTTGTCTCTCTTTCCTCTTCGTCTCTTTGATGGCTGCCCTGGTCTTTGAAGTTGGGTAAATACACAGCATGGTGGGAGGGGATGCCAGCTGCCCAGACACCACTGGCAGAAGACCGAGGAGCGGTTGCCTTCCCTCCCCAGCCTGGGAGGTGTGCCCTATTGCAGCATTTTTTGCCTGGGGTATTCCACATTGAGAGCTTCCAAGTAACGAATCCCACCCGGTATCCTGGTGGTGAGGCCTTAAGCAGGATCAGCTCTGGACAAGAGTTTTATGACTCTTAGCATTGTCTTCTCACCCTATATTCCCCTCTCCAGGTCATTATCTGGACAAGAGTTTTATGACTCTTAGCATTGTCTTCTCACCCTTTATTCCCTTCTCCAGGTCATTATCTGTGATGAAAAAAAAAAACTGGGAAAGGCCATCTGTCTCCTTCTTTTTGTTTCTTTACACCCTCTTCTCTGTGTCACTTCCTTTCCAAATTCTTTTGCAATTTCAGGGGCTGACCTCTCTACCTCTTCTTTTTTCTTTCTATTAAAATGTTAACCTTCTACATGGCCTAGTCAAGCCACAAGCATTCATTAAGCACCTACAGTGTACAATGCACTAGAGTTTGTGCTGTAATAAGGCTTAGCTTAGTGCCAAGGAAGTAAGCCACAGCAGCTGCATGGAAAGGACAACAAGCAAGTAGCAAAGTGCTGTGAGTAGAATCCAGCTCAGCCTTTCCTTCAGAAAAGAAGAAAAATCTTTCAGAGGATAACTGTCTACTGCAGCAGACATGCATAAATGCCATCAAAAGAATCCAGAAGACTGCAAAAGAGATCCCAGGAGATCTTACTGACCAAATGATTGGAAACAGCCAAAGGTGGAGATAAGAAAGTGGAGACAAAACAAAATTCGAAAGAGGTAGCTTTGAAAGGAAGAAAGAAATGGAGACTCTAGCAAGGCAACTAGTTAAGACTCTATGAAGGAATTGAGGAAGGGGCCATGCTTAGCAAGCCACAAGATTAGGAAGAAACAATTACAAAAAAGAGGTCTTCTCACAAAGAAGGCAAGCATCAGCCATGAACAAGCTCAAGTGAAAACTTCTGAGGCTGTTTTTGGATCCTATTAGGTACTGCCTTCCTCTCCTTGGGGACTCACCTGAAAATTCATATTTATTTATTTATTTTAAAGAGACTGGGTCTAGTTCTGTTGCCCAGGCTGGAGCAAAGAGGCACGATCACAGCTCACTGCAGCCTTGACCTCCTGGCTGCAAGCAATTCTCCTGCCCCAGCCTCCTGTGTAGCTGGGACTATAGGTGTAAGCCACCATGCCCAGCTTATTTTAAAAATGTTTTGTAGAGATAAGATGTTGCTATGTTGCCCAGGCTTGTCTTGAACTTCTGGCCTCAAGCCATCTTCCTACCTCAGCCTCCCAAAGCACTAGGATTATAGGCACAAGCCATTACACCCAGCCTGAAAACGCTTTTTTTTGAAGAAGCTTTCCTAGTTTAAGGAAGCAATATCAATATGGCTACTATGTATAATGATAATAATTAAAATTTATTGAACAATTACCATGTACATGCCAGGGTTTATGCTAAGTGCTATATCAAAATAATACTTTCTGTACTAGGGTTATACTATTATTACCCACATTCCCCAGATAAGGAAACTGTAGATTGGGAATATTAAGTAGTTTACCCAAGGTAACCATTAGGAAGTGGCAGACCCAACCGGAAACCAACTAGGAACTTGGACTAATTCTGAAGTCCATGTTATATGCCAAAGATATGGTAAGTAATATGGGTATGTGCCCACATGTGTGCACACACACACACCATCTAGCATCATGTTTATGGTAGGGTTCTCTGTAATACCTCTTCGGTTTTCTTCAAATCCCCTGATGCCATGACATGGCTTCAACCAATGTCTTTCTGCTGTTCTTTCTAGAAATGCTGGTCGGTTGTCCTAGGAGGCATTAATGCTTATCATGCCCTCCATAACATAAAAGTATCAACTCATCTGTAATTCCCTGTTTTCTGGACCATTTCTTTGAACACACCTTGATTTTCTGGGAAGGCTTTGTTTTAATACTCAACCTAATACTCATCCTCTTTGCCCCGGGGTAAAGCCGGCATATTACGTGCACGATTTTTTTAGTCTTTGAGAGTCAAAACCAGTTGCCAGAATACAAAATGAAATAACAAAAGAGAAGCTATAGGTTTCTTTATATGACAATGAAGAGCTCAATGGCTGACTGCACTGCAGTCTGGTGCCTTTATAGTTCCTGGCTGAGAATGGACTGTCTGCCATGTTAGCTCAACAGTGCTCAGTGCCTCTTAAACTTGAACATGCATCAGAATCATCCAGAGGGCTTGTTAAAGCACAGATGACTGGAGCTTCTAGATAGCCAAACATGTGGAGGTTCCTGGAGGGTGGTGCACCAAGGGAGGACATGGAAGCTCGGCGCCCCTTCCCTCCACTACCCCAACAAAATACCAGAAGACTGAGTCTTACTCCCTGAGTTCTTGATTCAGTAGTGTGGGGTGGGGCTCTAGAATCTGCATTTCTGATCTACCAAGTCCCCAAGTGATGCCGAGACTGACTGCTGACCTCAGTGGCACATTTTAAAAACCACTGGTATCAAGAAATTGATTTAGAACTAAATAATGTTAGAACTAATCTGGGTTGCATGGGACAGTGCTAAATGGGGGTCTATCTATATATCCATATATCCATATATATCTCGTATATCTACATTTATATATACGTATGTGCATATATCACAACATATGTGAATATGAATTTATAACCGTTCAAAACATGCTTAGCCAGATCATTTCTCTTTATCCACATAATTTCCTCCATGGAGTAGCATTCATTATGACATTGTGTGTCTGAGGCAGTGGACTCTGAGGTCAGATAGGCCTTAGTTGACATAACCGATCTTCCAATTACTAGTTGTGCTTCTTTGGACGACTCACTTTAAGCTCTCTAAGATTCATTTCTTCATTTCTAAAACTGAAAAATAAGAGTGCATACTTCATGGTGGTGATGTGACGATTAATGGCTATAACGCAGGAAAAGCGCCTCACATGTTGACACTTGGTAAATATTCCACAAACACAGGTGCAATTGTTCTAGTTCTACAGATGAGGCACCAAAAGAATAAGGGACTTGCACAAGGACCCCCACCTGCTGGGGGCAAAGCTGAGCTTCCTGATCTAGAGCCTCTTTATTTGCAGGCCTGGACTCCCGTTTGAATAATTCCAGCACATTGCAGATTCTATAGACAGCTTTGGGGATGGTGGTACCTCAGTTAATGAAGCCTCTGGGAATGAAGCTCTTTTATTCCACATTTTAAAAGCAAACAAAAAACCCTTCATAAATCATTTGAAGAAAAGCTGCATGTATTCACAGCTGCCCATGACAAAAATACCTCTGAGCACAGCTTCTATTTGTCCCCTCCCAGTTGAATGTAAATAGGGCTCATCGCAGGCAAACCTGTAAAGACGAAGACGATTCCTTTATTCCACCTCAGTGGCAAATGTCAGGTGTTCTCTTTCCTCCTTTTCCTTTTCAAAATAAGAAAGTGTCTGCTATCAGTCATTTGCTCTTATTTGTAGATTGACTTTAGCATGAATGAGCTTCAATGTACAATCACATCTGTATTTTAAGTCTTTCATATTTAATTATGGGAACCAAAACTTTTTCTTCATTAGCATAAATTTCAGGCATTAGCTGCCAGACAGAGAGAAATGAGGGAAGTTAACAGAACCCTGGGATATCTTCTGTTTCCCCGAGATATTAGACGAATGAGCTGGGAACTGTCAAATTCTTTCTTCCAGACAAGTGGCTTAGTGGGGTGTCGGATAGGATGAGGTGGGTGTGGGAGGCTCCCAGAATCTCCATGAACAGCCTCTCAATTTCCCCAAGTAAAAATATAGGTAAAATCCATGTGCTTTCCTTGCAAACAGAATTTGAGGACAGTCCTCAAACTCCACCCAGCCAGATTGCCATGACTGCAGCCCCTCTGTAGAAATTTTGAAACAATCAGGGTTCCAGACTTTCTCTCTGCCCCCTCCCCTCCCTTTCTTACCTGACTTGAGGCTGGGCTCCTTCTTCCAGTCTAGCATATGAAGTTGGACAAATTACTTGGCCTTTCTGTGTCTTGAGTTCCTGGATTTTGAGATAGAAATAATATGTTCCTCACTGGAAACAGTGAGAATGATAAGCGATATTATAAATAAGGCTCCTAGGACAGATCCTGTACTTCAAGGACACTTAACAAATGCTTATTTATTCATTCCATTTGTCAGTCTGTCATTTGGTCAGTCATTCAGGTATACATTTTTGTATATATAATATGAGCCAGGCACTACACTGGCCACTGGAGATGCCACTTGGGCAAGGTATTGTTCTTCTCATTAAACATATCAGCTAATGCAGTGCTTCCCAGCCCTGGATGTGCAGCACAATACCTGGTGGGATGAGTTTCCCTGGACCCCACCTCAGAGCTAACTCAGAGCCTCTGGGAAGGAAACTGTTTCCTTAAAAGCCCCACTGATGCTTTTGAGGCATAGCCAACATTGAGAACCACTCTGGGGGTTAAGTCGGTTCTCTTCTCTTCTGCCAATCCTCCCACCACATTAATCTGGCTCTTCCCCTTCCTTCTGTTTTTCCCAGGGAGACAAGACAGTTTAAGTTTCCTGATGCCTTCTTTAGTTATTTTAGTTACCATTTTATATTTTGACTACTATTTAATACTGTTTTAGTCATAACCCTTTTTGCCTAGAATCTTGGCACACACCTTCTACTACCCATGTATTTCTATGTCTGGTAATGATTCTTTTTTTTTTAAGACAAAGTCTCACTCTATTGCCCAGGCTGGAGTGCCAGGGTATGATCTCAGCTCACTGCAAGCTTTGCCTCCCAGGTTCAAGTGATTCTTGTGTTTCAGCCTCCTGAGTAGCTGGGATTACAGACATGTGCCACCATGCCCAGCTAAATTTGTTGTATGTTTAGTAGAAACAGGGTTTCACCACGTTGGCCAGGCTGGTCTCAAACTCCTGACCTCAGGTGATCCATCCACCTCGGGCTCCCAAAGTGCTGGGATTACAGGTGTAAACTACTGTGCCCGGCTCTGGTAATGATGTTTATCACATAGAAGTTATGGGATGTGTCGTTTTTGTTAATAGAGATTATACCTGTAGACTTACCTGTTCCAAATGGGTTGGGGTTACTGTCTCTAGAGGACTCACATTCATTCCTGTCCTTTGCTCTCCATCTTCAGGCTCCTCCTCCAGCTCATATTAAAGTAACAAATTGTGGTAGTTTGAAACTCAAGTTTCCCATTCATATCAAGATAGTTACTGGTTGGCAAAAAGACATCTTTGGGTACCAGAGGCCTTATGATTACTAAGTTCATACCAAGTGCTATAATTATTATGATGATTTACCACTCAAAAGCCCCTCAATAGTACAACCAAGTCCTTCAAAGATCTATCCAATTTAGCTTTGAATCAATACCAAATGTTATCCAAAAGTCAAGTTCTGTTGTAAGACACTAGACCCATGACTAATCAATAGACAGATAGACAGATATGCAGGATATAGGCTGGTCAGTTATAATTCTAAGCTGCCAGTTTAAAAAAAAAGAACAGAAAATAAAGGAAGAGAAAGGTTAAAATCCCTAGATTGGATGGAATGAGCTGAAGTGTTTTCAAATGGATTTGAGAAACTGAACTGTTCCCAAGCGGAAAGATAAAATGTGAAGCTGCAGTCAGTCTGGCTTTCTGGCTCGCCTAACCTTTTTACTGCTGGATAATGAGGAATCAGCTATAATTTAGACACAGTATTCTTTTCACAGATTATACTGAAGTTGGGGGGAGAAAGGGGAAGAGAGAGAGCCTCACTTTATAGTCTTGCATCATCTCTCTCCAGCAGATGAGACTAGAATGCCCTCCCCAAGAGGCACATGAGGGGAGCATTGCCCTCTGTGTGTTGTGACGAATTTCAAGTCAAGAGGGTGCTTGAATTGGATTTATTGCAATTGGAAGCAAAGAAATTGTAATCTTTATGAGCCAACGACATGGAGCCTTATAATAAGAGAATGAAGGATCATTTCAAATTTAAAGCAAATTAGATTACTGGGGTCAAATCCTTCAGCAGAGACATCGTGCCTTCAGAGCATTGCTCAGCTATTTGACATCCTCCTTCCACCCCAGGTTTCGCATTAACATTTAAGTATTTTTTTTTTGTAAAAAATACATTTAGTACTTTTGTGGAGGGAAAGTGTCCTAAAACTCCAAATGATGAATAGATGGAACAAGAGGCACCTACCAAAAGAATTCACTAATCTCTATGCTAAGCTAAGACTTGCCTTTATTTACTCTAGACCTTCAAGAAACCTCAGCAGGTTATCTGGTAAAGTATTAAGTCTCTAGGGAGTAGCATATACAAATCACACGGGAAAGGGTATCTCACTTCCACATTTTTTGTAGAAGATTTTCTAGCTCTTTCAGTTGCTTGTTCTGGTATTCGATCTCTGAACAAGACCAATAAGCTCTGTCTTACCCAACTCTTCTCTTACAATTTAAGACTTTGTCTCTAGCCTGTCCTTTTTATTTACTGCTAGTCTTTCAAAATCACCCATCGCTAACATTGTTCTAAGCTGGGATATTGCCTATAATTAAGTTTCATTCCCAGTCAAAGATCTTTTCCTTATCATTTAGGCTTGCTTTAAGGAAATGTATGAGGCTGGGTATGGTGGCTCATGCCCATAATCCCAGCACTTTGGGAGGCCAAAGAGGATGGATTGCTTGAGCACATCAGTTTGAAACCAGCCTGGGCAACATGGTGAAACCCTGTCTCTACAAAAAAAAAAAAAAAAATACAAAAATTAGCTGGGCATGGTGGTGTGCACCTGTAGTCCCAGCTACTCAGGAGGCTGAGGTGGGAGGATGGCTAGAGCCCATGAGGTGGAGGTTGCAGCGAGCCAAGATCATGCCACTGTATTCCAGCCTGGGAAACAGAGCTAGACTGTGAGAAAGAGAGAGAGAGAGAGAGAGAGAGAGAGAGAGAGAGAGAGAGGAAGGAAGGAAGGAAGGATGGGGGAGGGAGGGAGAGAGAGAAAGAAAAGAAATAGAGAAAGAAAAAAGAAAGAAAACATATGAATTGACATCTATAAGTATTATAATACTTACATAATAATATTATAATACTTATATTGACATATATAAGTATTATAATAATTACAATACACATCTATCTTGCTATGGATCTGTTTTTTTTGTTCTGTTCCTTCCCTAACCAAGAGCCAGTATCTCTCCTTTCCTTCAACCCCATGTCTAGCTCTGCATCCCTATCCCCATATTTTAGTCCATGATCCTTGGGGTCTACCCACTTCTTTCTACTTTCCGTTTCTTGTCTCTCTCAAGGAATTGGTAAAGTAACAAGAAAAAGATTCTAGTTCTAATCCAGTTTTGTACTGTGACTCATTGAAGGTTAAAACAAGGAATGCGAACCCTGTTCTGGAATTAATAGGTTTGGGAGTCGAAAGATTAAGTAAACAGATGACATTTTCCATTCTTTCGAAGTTTCAGCATTAGAACAACGAGTGGCTGGAACTTTAACGCTTTTTCTCTTCTAGCTCTGTCAAATCTGTGAGTATAAATGATATTTGTCTTCTATCCAATGATCTCAACACACCTTGTTAACATATTTCAATAATTACCCCCATTGCAGAGGCAGAAAGTGAGAGAGAATAATTAGGAATTGGGCCAAGTTGTTCTCGGCAGTGGTGGCCAGAATTGGAGTCAAGGCTCTTTATCTCCTAGACTATTTACTGTTCAGCCAATTCATCCCAAAGAGACCTCCTTTGCCCCTTTCACCAGCATCTCCCTTGAAACACAAATGGGCCAAGAAGACTCACAGCTCTGGAATAGTAATTTCTCTGCTCTGAAGAAAGTTCTCTCTGGAGATCCTTTGTGCTAAGTGGAGGTTTAGATGATCCAAACATTTAAGTGCATATTGATTGCAGTCAGATACTGTACCCTGACCTGCATCACAAGTTCTGGACTGTATTTCTCTGGGATACTAGCTTTTTATGTAATAACCTTCCACCACCTCCCCATGGAACAGAGTGCAGGCCAAAATCAAAGGCCTGGGTAGGGGTCAAAGTTTTACCTATTAAGCCGTGCAGGAGCATGACCTTGAGAACCAAGTTTTGCATTAACTTAATATTGCTACAGAGTCTTTAAAGAACCTAAATAATTGGGCCACCATTCTGCCTAACTCACTCTTGTTTTGTCATTCTTTTTGTTGTTGTTGTTGTTTTAAATCAAGACTAAGATTAAAAACAAAACAAAACAAAAGACACCAGAAGTGCAGCTCTCTCTGTTTATCCAAGTTGTGAGGTTATGATTTGCTCATATCCAACTCTCATTGTGAGGAGGATTGGGATGTTTAAGGAACCCAAACTCTAGAGACATAAGGAAGAAAGGAGCTTTCGAGATACAGAGGAGTGAAAGAGTGTGTTCGGGTATCACAGAAACATAAATCTTTGAGCTGCAAGAGACATTAAAAATGATCTGGTTCAGCTGCCTGTATTCAGACATGGAAAGGCATTAGAGTTTCTCTTTATCTGGGGGAAACTGGGATTCAGATGAGATAACTGGTTAAGTGATTTGGCCAAGGTCACACAGTTAGCAAGTGTCAGAATTGGGACTCAGCCCTGGTGCCCTGCTTCCAAGCACAGTGCTGGCAAAGGAGAGCCCAGCTCATCCACAGAAGGGCTGTAAATGTTCCTTCATCAGAAAAAAACTACCTTCAGGCCAGATGGCTAGGGTTATAAAATTAATATTAATTTTTTTTCCTAAAAGCTCTTTTAAAATGGAGAATGGATCAGTGTAATCAAAAACTCTGTCCAAGAAACATGAGATGTGCATAGGGTATGATGCTGTCAAGGACAGGCTGGCAAGAGGTGCTCCAGAAGCTTCATGGACTTCATACCAAATTATTATAGTGATTTCAATCAGCAGATGAGATTCTGCAAACAATAACATTTACAAGGTAATCTCCATTCAAAGCAATTGCCATTTCCCAAGGGCCAATTTGTGGGAAAGAGCATTACCATCCCAGGGAAGATGTACCTGCTTCTGAATATCTTTCTTGTCTTCAGTTAGCTTTTGGTTTAACATATGCATATAATACATTCTTGAATTTACCTGCATCCACACAGAAACACGTATGTTATGAATATGTAAACACATAGGGTGCTCAAAAGGCCGCAAGATAGTTCTGTAGGATCTTAATCATTATATGTGTAAGTTCCACACTTGCTCTACCAATAGTAAAGAGCAAAACAGTGCTGGGCAGCAGTGTTCCCATATCAAAGAACAAAGTTGAAACTCCCATACAATTATGTTTGATCACAGTAGAAGGTGAAATCATTAGATATTAGCGAGGTGCAGTGGAATAAAAATGATGTGTTAGCGGGGGTTCATTACACTGTATTTTCAGAGCCAAGAAGATCAATGCGTTCATGCATCATGAATTAGGCTCCGGCTTTAGCCTTCCCTGCTCTCCGGAAACCCAACATGATCTATCACCAGCCATACATCACCGTTTCAGGATTGCACATTAACGAGAAAGCTGCAGTTTCCGCCTGTCAAGCTGACCAGCTGCTTCTTTCTCTGCAGAAGGGGAAATATTTCTGGTTCAGGATTTTACTTTTAAAACACAAAGGGGCATCAGAGGTCACTATCAGCTGGGCAGTCATATGGTGTAATATTTGTGTTGTCCCAATGCTCCGATTGATGGTCCTATCCTTCCTGGTCTCTGACCATCCTGGATCCAGGCCTGCAGGACTCACTGCTATAGCTTAGATGTTAAATAAGGACATGGCTCACGTGACACACCTCAGGTCTCCTGGAGCACACCTTCTCCCCACCTCCCCACCCCAGAATTTGCCTAACATCATTGAGTATATTTAGACATCTCAGAGGGAGGTCCATATGTTAAATGTCCCCCTTTTCTATACCCACTACCCCTCTATCTCCTGGTCCACACCCCCTCCCACCTTTTTCCTTTACAGAGGCTCTTTTACTACCCAGCAGTTTGCCACTAACACTTTCCCTTCATTTATTCGCAGTCCACCTCACTTCCCCCCTGCCTGACCCTACACCTGCTAGTGCGGCCCCTCTTCCCTGCTGGTGCTCAGATACCCGCAGACAGTTCTGATCGCTGCTTTTAATCGGCATTTAGCCAGTCTGTCCATATTTAGTTCTTTTAATCTTTCCTCATCATTCAATCCCTCCAGCCTCTTCATCATCTTTTTTTTTTTTTTTTTTTTTTTTTTTTTTTTTTTTGGTGTGTTGCTCTTTCCTGAGTTTTATCCAATTTGTCTATATCATCCTTCTGGCTGTGACATGCCCACCAGCCCCGAACTCCATAACTGCAGGAAGAATGGCTATTAAGGCTTCGCTCCACCCTTGTCTTCTCCTCTACCACTCACTCAGGCCTCTTCGTCACTTACAGAATAAGCAAGAGAAGTTTGTAGGTAAATTTTGGCTGAGCAAGGCCTGCCCCTTTGCTGTCCAGCTCATGGCTGAAACACAAGTAAGGACAATAGAAGGAGTGATGTCAGAACAAAAGAAACTAAAGTCAAGTACACATAAGAACTTCCCAACAATTGTTCCTTGGGGAACAGAAGAGACCTTGACCTCATGTGCCTGGACTCTGGGAGAAGAAGGCTGTCTGAGGAGTTCCCTCTGCTCACCCAGTTTTAGCCAATAGGGCTTGCAGGGAGCATCATGGTTGATGACTTGGTGGCTGTGATTGCCTCTGGGAAACCAGCCTCCCTCAGTTAACATATGGTATAGGATGAAACAGCACCTGGAAAGGGGTGTCTAGTTCCATCTGTGAATATGAGTAAGAACTGGCTGGAGGCAGTGGAGGGCCTCAGTTCAGTGGATTGCAGCTTTATAAGGTTGAACTCAGTAGCAGAAATTATGGACCATGGGCATTGTTTATAGGAAGACATTTACAGAAGGAGGCATATTGTTGAGATGTGCAGACAGCAAGATCCCAGGTCCGGGTGGCTTGTAATCCAGAACCATTGAAGGAAGATCTTTAGGAAGAGAATTTGGTCAAAGCTGGTTAGAAGCAGAGAGATTTTTTTTATTTGAATGAGTAAAACAAAGAGCCATATCTTAGTGATAGACTTTCTGTTTGTTAGGAGTTTTGAATTCATTCTTTTACTTCATTTATACCACTTCTCAGATGTCACTTCCTTAGAAAGAACTTCCTTGAAAACACCATCTAAAATGGTACCCTACTTAGCTTTCTGTCCACTTCCCTGCATATATATATATATATATATATATATGTTTCATTGGTTTAACACTTGATTATTAAATACTCCTGCCAGAATGTAAGCCACCTGAGAGCAGGGATTTTCACAAAGCAGCAATAGCAGTGCCACACACTGGCCCTGTGTTTGAGTGTGAGCTAACTAATGGCTATCCTGCTTTGTTTTTTGTGTGTTTTGTGTTTTTGTTTTTTTCTCCAGAAATATGGAGTATGCAGATCCCAGCACAGACTCACAGGATCTGGTTCATGCATAAATTGGCAAGGTTTAAGTCAGCCTGGTTCTCCTGGGATTCTTAATCAAAGTTTTGCTGAGCCCAGGGTAGGGAGGATGAGTTGGGAAAACCTACCCCTTCCATATTGTTTCCTTTTTAACAGCTTGAAGTGAGAGAAAAATAGTCAATTGTAGAAAGAAGGAAGTGGAAGGCTCAATGCCCCCTCTGCCTCCCACAGGCTGCCATCAAACCTGTTTATCCTGTTTCACTTTTAAAGCCCTGTTCCAAAGAGAGCTCTGTCATTGGCTCTTTCCCCTGTGGAATCACAGCTGCTATGTTTTCAAATACCACCCTGGTTTTCTGAATGGCTTAAAGCTCATTAAGAGATAGAGAAAGAGTTTCTGATTCTCTCTAAAGGAGTACTTCCCTACTCCATGCCTAGCTCTGAAGGCTAGTGGGCTCCCCGCTGTCACTCCACTAATGCCAGTAATCTGCTCGTAAATTCCAAAAACCTAGATCCAGGAACCCTGAAACTTGTGTTCATATTATAAAAATACACTTTATATATTTTAGAGTTGCTTTATCTCTAGCTATACAATTATACTTTTTTGTTTTCTTTTTCATTTTCCACCAATGGTAGGACAGTTCTCCAGGTGGCCTCAGACTGACCCAGTTCTTCTCCTTTCTTCCTTGCAGTTCTCAAGACTAACTGTAGGATGTTCTGGGACTGCAACATCCTGAGATAAGGAAGGAATGACAAGAGCAGCCTGGGCCCTGTTCCAGTTCCCCCTTAGAAACAGGACGTCCTTCAGTGCTTTAGCCCAGCATGTCATGCGGCCTCTGGGAATAAAACCCAGGGTAGGCTGCTTTCTGGAATCTCTTAGCTGCCGTGCAAGTGGGGCACGTGCTGATGAGACTCCATCCATCCACGGCAGCTTTCCTGAGCCTGGAGGGACCAGCTGGCAATGAATCGTAGGCTTTTGTTGTTCCTTGCTGTCTGTCTGGAAGTCATAAATCCACTTCATATAACTCGCTGCATATGAGCGTTTTCTGTCTCACTGGACTCAGAAAAGTTGGTAACCAGTGCACAGTGAGCCTGCTTTACATCAACCACTGGACACTCCATGAGAACCTGAAACTTTACTGACTAGCCCACTGCATCTTAGACTTAATGGCTGGTGCATAGTAGGTGGTCAATAAATACTTGTTGAATGAATGAACAAATACATTTCTATATCATCTGGTCCCCTTCTCTTAGATCAGCTACTCCTAACCCTGGATATGCATAAGAGTCACCTGGGGCACTTTTAAAATTCTCCCCTATCTGGACCCCACTCCAGACCATTAAAGTCAGAATCTCTGGGGTTGTGGTCTAGGAATCAGTATTTTTAAAAAGGTCTCCAGGTGATTCTAACGTGCGGCCAGGTTAGCACGCTCCCCAGGTGATTACAGAGTACGGAGCTTTCACTCCAGTATCTGTGTGTTTTATATGTCATCTCCTGGGCTAGGAAGGACCATGTTTGTGTTTCAGAAATAGCACTCACTATAATTATTATATCTTGAGATTCTGTGGCCATGGTTAATTACTCAGGTGGCAAGGGGGCAAGGGAGATGAGGTAGTACCAGAACCTCCTATTTGGAACATTTGATAGGGAAGCCAACATATCTGCAAGTATGTCTGGAAAATGGTCTTTTCAGTTGTAGTGCAGATATGAAGTTGGTATCAGGGGATCCATGGGAAAGTTGCGAAGTTACCTGCCAGAAAGGAGAATAATGTGGTAAAAGTAAATTGGAATGAGGGTGTTTAGAAGTTCAGACAGATGAGCAGTGGATATCAGTGTGGTCTCTCTGCAGGCTATCAGGGCCCCAGGAAGTTTGATGGAGTTTAGGTTGGAACCATTGACCTTGGGTGGTTAGAAAGGGACTTATTAGTACAAAAGCAGAGACTTCCAGGACAACAGAGATTGGTCAGGCTGGTGCAATAGGAACTCAGGGAGGAGATTAAAACAGAGACTTCTCTACCCGAATCAGGAACTACCAGGGAGCCTGGACTCAGAAATAAAGTTGGAGCTGTCTAGTTCTGTGGTCAGCATCAGGACAGTAAACCTAGGTAATAACATAAAGGGATACTCAATCTTAAAACCATCAGATGCTTGAAAGGAGATTTAAACTACTTAAACAATTCCTGCCATGTCTATTCTGTTCATCAGCGCCTAGCAGAGTACCTGGCAAGGAAGGGTTCTCAATAAATGAG
Organism: Homo sapiens; assembly: GCF_000001405.40. Classification (NCBI taxonomy): domain Eukaryota; kingdom Metazoa; phylum Chordata; class Mammalia; order Primates; family Hominidae; genus Homo; species Homo sapiens. Next base: position 115,529,878 of record NC_000011.10, read on the forward strand.
AAAGAAAGAAGCTGGAGCAGACTTGTGCCTGTGAGTGAAGATTGTTAGTAGACTTGGTTTTTGGTGTTTTTAATAGCTTTATTGATATATAATTCACATACCATACAATTTATCAATTTAAAGTGTACAATTCAATGATTTTGGTACATTACATTATTATTAAGTTTTTAAATTATAGTGCAATGTAGATGACATAAAATTTTCCATAGTAACCAATTTTATATGTATTATTTGTGACATTCGTTATATTCACAGTGTTATACAGCCATTGCCATTATCCATTTCCAAAACTTTTTAATCACCTCAAACAGAAACTCTAGCAAGCAGCAACTCCCTTACCTTCTTTCCCCCAAGTTCCTGGTAACCTCTAATCTACCATCTGTCTCTACAAACTTGCATATTCTAGATAACTTATATAAATGGAATCACGCCATATTTGTCCTTTTGTGTCTAGCTTGTTTCACTTAGCGAACCTAGTTTTGAGGTGCTGGAAGGGTAGTGGAATGATGGGGAAGGGGAAAAATGGACCAGTGCATGTTTTTATATTGGTGGTAGTAATGATCTTGTTGCTGCTTCTGCTCATAAGAAACACAGGTCCTGTGATTTTTGCTTTGATTTGCCAATGCTCTGAGGGCTAGCATCAGCCCCTATCACCACCCTCTACTCCCTACCCCAATCACCTTAGACAAAATTGGATTTTCCCTTCAGAGTTGCTTTTCAAACTGGTACTAGAGCAAGTATTAAGAAGCTGTTGTAGCCTCCTGATTAATATACGTCTTCATAATAATTAATTGAAGGGATGCTTTGAAGTTCTGAGATAGAGCACAGAAATCATTCTCTTTCTGAAGGCAAGGCTGGGACTTCCTCTGCATTCGCAGCCCAGAGAGAGGGTTGTTTTCAGCTTGGACAATCAGCTCATCCCAGGCTGCTCCTTCTTGAGGGGAGGAGGAATAGCAAGAACCCTTCCCATTGACTGTCTCCCTCCAACCTCCTCTCTGCTATTTTCTCCCATCCCCTCAGCTCTCTCTATCTCTTAGGACAGCAGCCAAGCTCTCACACTGCAGCTGGGGGCGCAGCTGAGCGGCTGGTGTTCACGTTGGGCCCTTTGATGAGGAAGTATTCTCACAGCAGATACAGAGGCCTTGCCAGGGAGGAGAGACCATCATGAATGATTATTGCAGCAGAAGGTCAGGGTCCTTCTTGGTAGAAAGGTGCACCGACTCCATCAGTCCAAGTGGATGAGGACATACTCAAGGTGATAGATACAGCCTGGTGGCCCAGGTTTGTTCTTTCTGGAGTCTCTAGACAAAGAGAACCAAGGGCTTGTGATAAAGAAGAGGATGCACGGGGAGAGGAGAAAGAGAGTCTGAGAGATGAGACTGCTTGGGGAAAGAAACGAGAGAAAGATGAGGGAAGCAAGGGTGGAGAGGTGGCTTTGCCTGAATCTAGATAACACCCACTAATCCCACTGCCCGACTCACATTTCTTAATCAGGCACAACTGGAATTCCACGAGGGTTATTTGTTGGGGAAGGACCTTGATAATCTGGAGATGGTCTCTAATAAATGATATAATATATGCACACACTTGCAGAATAAATCCTCGTTGGGTTTTCATTCATTTAGAGGACTGCGGATTTGATCTCACCGCTCTGGGACAAAATCAACTAGACTGTGATTTATAGCCAGGGTCTATTGGTTCAGGTATCCATCTTGAATGATATCTGATGGAATTAACTGTAGACAAACCCCAAGCAGGCTATTATATTTAATGTGGTTCTAGCTCCAATTCCTTTCTCACTAAGAATTTAAAAATTTTAGCCAAGCAGGTCCTGTTTCTATTTGAATTCTTTTCTCATCTTCTTGGTTCTTTATCTTTCACTATATCCCCTGCTGCTTTAGCCAGACCACCTACTTTTGAATGGTTGCTTCTTTTTATACCAATTGTAAAAAGAAATTCTCAGTCTCTTTGGCAGCAATTTCTTAAAGTTTTCCCTCTAAGTACAGAATCTCCATTAACTGTATTTCTGTAGCTCTAGCTACTGCTGTTTATAATAGCTACTATACAGGTCCATGTAATACTGAACCATTTGTGAATTCATTCTATGAATTTTCCATGTAATTACCTATAACTCTAACAACATTATTTTTTTATAAACCGTAGCCTTACTCTGTCTTTCTGCTTCGTGTGTTCTTTGAGCCATTGTGAGGCATTGCGAGGGATTTTTTAGTCTCTGACTTATTTTTTTGTAAAAAGAGAATAACTCCTCATCTTAGTAATAACTGGAAAAATTTTCTTCACCATATAAAACACATTGACTATATATTATGTCTTGTGTTACTTCATTTCTAGGTGCTTTTTACTAAACAACTTCATGCTCATATCCATGTGAAGATATGAACTTTTATGTGTAGTGAGAACACAGAATTAAATGATTGAGTCAGTTGCATATTTCAGTGAGAGGTTTTATTTTTAATTCCATAAACTGGGCATCAAAACAAGCAATATAAAATGTTCCAAAAGAGGTCTTGAGACTGTCTCCATGGAGGAACTGTGTTCTTCCAGTAGGAGACCTTCGTTCAGAGAGAGGCATCTTCTGCACTGTCTTGTTTCTCCTCATTGGACCTGAGACTTCGCTCGGCATAGTTGAAGTTTCTTCTCTGGGCCTTTTGGAATGAGTTTGCTGAAGGTGGGGCTAAGGAAGCTGCATGCAGTTGTATCATGAATAACACAGTTTTTAACTGTGTGGGACCATTACATGTGGATTTTTTTCAATCAAACGCGGATCAAAAATAAGACTATTGCTGAGATGTGAAACCTGCGTGTACGGAAAGCTGACTTTTGCTACAGGTAGTTCTGCAGAGCTGACTGGTGGACTTGAGCATGTGTGGGCTTGAGTATACCCAGGGGTCCTGGAACCAATCTCCCATGTATATTGAGGGACGGCTGTAACTGTTAGAATAAACAGTGCTATCAGCTACTGCAGATAAACCCCTACACCCCAGTCAGTGGCTCAGCAACAGAAGTCGATTAGTCACTCACATTATATTTCAGTGAAGCTGGTCCTAGTCTCATGGCTTTCCATGTGGCAATTCAGGGACAAAAGCCTTGTCCATCTTGTGGTCTGCCCCTCTCCAGACCCTCAGACTCCTCTTCGTTCAGCTGGAAGAGGAGAAAGGAGATCTGGGATTATAAGAGAGAAGATTTTTTTTTCTTTTTTTTTTTCAGAGATGGAGTCTTGCTCTGTCACCCAGGCTGGAGTGCGGTGGCATGATCTCGGCTGACTGCAACCTTTGCCTCCTGGGTTCAAGCAATTCTCCTGCCTCAGCCTCCCGAGTAGCTGGGATTACAAGCACATGCCACCACGTCCGGCTAATTTTTATATTTTTAGTAGAGACAGGGTTTCACCATGTTGGTCAGGCTGGTCTCAAACTCCTGACTTCATGATCTGCCCACCTTGGCCTCCCAAAGTGCTGAGATTACAGGCATGGGCCACCGCACCCGGCCGGGAGAGATTTCATGGGCCAGACCTGTAAGAGGAGTACATCTCTTTTGCTACCATTTCATTGTTCGAAACTCAGTCACCTGGTGGCACTTACTCTCAGGGAGGCTGGGAGATGACATCTACCTGTTTGCCTAAGAGAAAAAAATGGGCTCTGCCGAGTATATCACAATCTATGCTGCAGGCTGGGACCGCTTTCTGGCTTCACTGTTTGCCTCTGGTTGCCCCATATGTTTGGGCTCCTTCTCTCCCTATCGCTCCAACATGAGGAGAGGACAGCAGCCAACATGTCCCTTAGGCCGGTTAAATCATACCATGATCCTCATGCAAGGGGCAACATCTGTGTGCTGTGAATCCATCGTGTGTCAGGCACTGTGCCAGGGAATGTGGACAGTGACACACAGTGTCCCGAGGAGGATTTAGGAACACCTCGGTGAAACAGAAAGATCCCTCCTCCTGTGGGAAGAATCCATGGGATGGGGGGCAGGTGTAGTGGCTCACACCTGTAATCCCAGCACTTTGGGAGGCCGATGTGGGCGGGTCACCTTAGGTCAGGAGTTCAAGACCAGCCTGGCCAAGATGGTGAAACCCTGTCTCTATAAAAATACAAAAATTAGCCAGTTGTGGTGGCGGGTACCTGTAATCCCAGCTATTTGGGAGACTGAGGCAGGAGAATCGCTTGAACCTGGGAGGTGGAGGTTGCAGTGAGCCGAGATCACACCACTGCACTCCAGCCCTCCAGCCTAGGCAACAGAACAAGACTCTGTCTCCCCCTACCCCCGCAAAAAAAAAGGAATCAATGGGGAAATTGAGATTATTCCAGAACACACTTCCCTTCTTAAAACCCTTCAATTAGTGCTTCCCATCTTCCCTCATTCCCATCCCACCATTGACAAAATGAGAAATCTAAATTTCTTGAGCTGATTTATGAGGTTCTTCATGATCAAGCTTCCACTCACCTCTCACTTCTCACCACTCTTTCTTTCACACCCCAACCAGGCTGAAGTCCCTGTAGTTTCCTAAATGCTCCATGCTTTCTTTTAGCTCCAGGTTGTGGGGCACATTATTACTTGCCCTGCTTTGGAATTCTCTCCCCTCCCTCTTTGCTTGGCAAATTCTTTTCTTATTTAGCTCTCAACCTGGATGTCATTTCTTCTAGGAAGCCTTCCTTGCCCTCGCTTCACTCCGCCAGGTTGAGATAAGTGCTCCTGTTTTGTGTGCCCACGGAGCTACTAAAGTTCTTATCTTAGTGTTTGCCCTTTTAGTGTCCGTACTCTCCAAACACTGAGTCTCTGAGAATATTATCATTGTTCATGATAATATCTTTAGCACCTGATACAGTGCTGGACCACAGCAGGTACTCAGCCAACAGGTGAAGCTCTGCCACAGCCATGCTCCCCCGTAACAGCTTCCATTACCATTACCTACTGTCTTTCCCACCCATTTGTAATTTACACCCACAAGAGAAATCAATGAATTTCCATCACTAACCCTGATTTTCTGTTTTGTTCTTGTTACTTTTTGCTCTTCTTGGAACATTTCACTTAAAGTGGTGACTTCCCCTGCCCATAGCTGCGTGACGTAATGAATTGTTCCCGGGTTCCTCGCCCAGGTATCTGAATGCCAGCACATCCCGCATGTCGCCTGGACATGGATATCCATGAATTGCCAGTCCTTCCCGGTTGGTCAGGGTCTCTCTCCTCAGCTGCTTCATATTCTCACAAACACACGTGGACAGTCCTAACTCAAACTTGCCAGGGAGGACGCGGTCTGAAGACATGTGGACGTGGGAGCCTAAACTTGGTTTGGGCTTTGCTGCCCTCAGTTAAAGAGTCAGTAGATGGGTTTGTTGTAGAGACTAGCACTCCTGGACCTGTGAGGCTGGTTTGGGTCCAGGTGCCTCCCAGGCAACGTGGAGCAAGGTTTTCTTTCATGAGTCCTGAGAAGTAGCCTGCATGATAACTGCAGAACCATGCGTCACTTCATTGATTCCTTCATGCATGTATGCATTCATTTACTCAACCAATACTTATTGGGTTCCAACTATTACAAACATTGAGGATGCAGAGGTGAACAAGATAGAAAAAGCCCTTGCTCTTTTTTCTAATGAGGAAGAGAGAAACTAAGCAAATACACAGAATAAAAAAAGAGACCACATATAAAGTGATTTCATACAGCAAGATGTGCTTTCTCAGACTTCTTGGAGGGGCCATATTCTTATTGCGAATGGAGGACTTAAGCCCCTCTTCTTCATTTGAATTAAGGTTCTCCCCTCAGTTGATAAGATACCCACTCCCTTTTAAGACACTCAGAGTGCTCTGCAAATCTGCATCCACAAACCTCCTGTCCCCCACTCCTCGCAAGAAGCAGCTGCTCTCCAAGGCCATGTCAGCCCATTCTTCATCCTTCCTGAACCTATGAGCAAGAAGTCAGGCTATCAAAAACAGCTGGAGCAGAACTGGGCATCATTTGTGTTCCATCTGTCAGGCTTCACCTGGTTCCCAGGCTTTGTGCCTCTCTCCTCCCTGAGCTGAATCTACTTGCCTGCCAGATCTGCAGGCTCAGCTCTGCCCCAGGCTCTAGGATCAATTCTGACTTCAGGCAGGAAGAATTTAAGCTGCTGCAGTCCAACTGTGTTGATTTGGTCTTGTCACCCTGGCTGCTTGCTTCTTGTCCCTAATCTTGTGCTTCATTCTGACAAGTGGATTGTCTGACATATGCCTTTATCCCTAAGTCCTTCCTTGGTTATTTTCCTTCTACTCAGGCCCTCAGAATCTGAGGACATTCCTTCTCAGACAAGTGTCCTGCCCTGGCCTCCAGTCTCCTCAGGGATTACATCTTGTCCTTTTAGCTTGCTTCCTATAAACAGACATCCCCAAAGGTGTCTTCCTGCCTGCTGGGACTTCTGTGTGTTGCCCATATTTGACTTATTTCTTATGTGCATCTCTGCCCATCTACGTAGTAGGTGACCCCTAATATTTCCTGCTGAAGCCCCGGAGCTAACCTCCGGCCCCAACTCTCATATGGTCCCTGAATTGATGGCTCTGCGCTCCCCTTAGGGCTTGCCACACCTGAGTAGATGTCTAATTCCTGATCTCAGAACCCCTGCTGTCTTTCCTGTCATAATGCAATTAATCAGACCACACCCAGCTGTGTTCTAAGATAGGACTCTGCCTTCAACTTGGGACACACCATCCTTCTTCCATCTTTTAAATTCCCCCAGAGGTCTCAATTGAATAATCAAGAAAACCCAGGGTATCTGATAATCAGATGACCAGGTAATGGAGATAGAGGCTAATGGAGTTTCCTTAGCTTAGCTGGGGTTGGGGAGGCGGGGGAGGGCAGGAACAAAACCAAAAAAAGGAACAAAAACAAAAAACAACAAACAACAACAACAACAACAAAAACCCAACAGATCAGGGCAGCTGTAAGTGAGACATGGCAACCTTGCTAAGTAGGGATCTCAAGTCCCTGTGGTCTGAGGACAGATGTCCCATAAACCCTCATTTATATTGGGTGGTTCATTCTGCCATAGGAAGTTTATCTTTCTTGTGCTGGAAACCAGGGGAGCTCAAGTGGGAGCCCTCCTCTCTAAAGCTTGCCCCATGCCCAGAAAAGGAGCCCCACTCCTCACCTCAAGGTGATACTGTTTAAATCCAGCATTTGCAAGCCTTGTCTTCACAGTCCTGACCTACAGCCCTTGCTGCTTCTGTACCTGGTCTGTACCTAACCCTCGGCTTTGCCCGTCTGATTTTCTATTTGCTCCAGCCAAACCTCTAACTTTAATGCCTTAGTTTCTGCTTCTCCTGCTTCCAGTTACCTTTCTCTTCTTTTTCTGACTTACAGCATTCATTCATTTATTCATTCAAGTTCCCTGCTCCTAAGGAGCTTGTAGTCTAGAGAGACAGCAATTGCACAGTTATTGGTTATAGTTATGAAAAACGTTACACAGAAAAGTCTGAAGATGCTATGGAAAGGTGCCCAACTTCCTCTGGTGGATCTGGGAATGCTTTCTGAAGGAAGGGAGTTTTAAGCTGTCCTTTAGAAGCAAGAAGAAGGGACTCTGGGAGGCTGGGATGAGGAGGCAGGGGGAACATGAAGAGCCTTTCAGCCTCAAAGGAACAGCACGGACAAGGGCCCTGAGGCAGGCAGGGCTTATCTGTGTCTCTCCTCCTGGCTCAGCATGGCCCACCCTGTCTACACAGGAACCAACAGCTGTCTTCCTCAGCCTGAGAACCTTCCCTTTTGTACTGTCATGGAAGCCATGTGCACACATCCTGGAATTCCCAGGATACTGCCCAGTCTTGGCTTTTGAGCTGAGCATTGAAGGGGCAGTTGTAGGGAGTGCATCCAGGGAATTCGAGATCTTTATTCTCTACACTGGGCCTACATGAATGGGTAGTGAGCATTTTTGGCCTTGGAGAATTCATCCCAGGCTCTAGTGTTCCTTATGCTCCCCAACCCTGACTCTTTGAGCCCACCCTTCTCTGCCCAGGCTTCCAAGGTAAGCATCTGCATCTAACGCAGTGCCTGGCTCACAGTCAGCCCTCCACAAATGCTAGCTGATTTGATTAGATTTGACCTGGGTCAATGTAAATAGGTGCAGGAGGAGAAACAGAAGAGAGAAATCAAAGGATGATGACTATAAGGGGAGCCGTGATGTAATTTTAACCTGAAAATTGTCTGTAAATAGTCTGCACAGTTTATTCAAACCTCAGTCTTTCATAATCCAATTATATGCAAATGCCCCTGTGGTCTTCCTTACCATCTTGAATACCTGGATAGAGCATTTTGAAGAACCACAGTGGAACTCCTTGAGGTAAGAAAACAAAAAAGACAAGGAATTCAGGATCTTTAAGTTGAAAGACAACAGCAGTCGTTTAATACAAAGTGGAGGCCAGGTGCAGTGGCTCACACCTGTAAATCCCAGCATTTTGGGAGGCCAAGGCAGGAGGATCCCTTGAGTCCAGGAGTTCGAGACTAGCCTGGGCAACATAACAAGACCCTGTGTCTACAAAGATAAAAATAAAAATTTAGCCAGACATGGTGGCACTCACCTATGGTCCCAGCTACTTGGAAGGCTGAGGCAGGAGGATCACTTGAGCCTGGGAGGTTGAGGCTGCAGTGAGCCAACTTGGGCAACAGTGTGAAACCTGGTCACAAAAAAATTTATATAATACAAAGTAGTCGCTTCTCCAGTGGAGACAGCTGTCTTCAAACCTCCTTACACATCTGACAGGTTACAAGCATTGCCTTATTCCATTTTTGGAAATTGCCAGCTAGTAGAAATGCCTAATGTTGGGGCAGAGTTGTCCTCTCTTTCTTTCTCTTTTTACTGCAAAAAGTTTTATTTCCATTTGGTCCAAGGCTTGAGAAAAAGCTCCAAGGTGGTTAAAAAGCTGCCTAGTGGCTGGAGGGAGAGGCTCAGGCAGAAGCCCTGACACCTTGAAGGGGATCCTTCAGAAGTTTTTGGGCCCAGTAGGCTCCTAGTCATGCCTGAGGGTGAGCCTTTGGAAGAGGAATTTGCCCAGCCTGGCCTGGGGGCCAGTCAACCTATCAAGGTTGGTCAGGTGGTTGTCCACCTTCTTGATGAGTTTCACTTCCTCATTGAGGAAGTGGCTCTCCAGGAAGTCAAGATATGGAGGTCTGTGTGGGCAGAACCCAGGACATGAAGATCTAAAAGACCCTGGTTCAGCTTCTTCTCCAAGGCCGTGGCGGCTCCCATGGCATCCAGGGTTTTACCCCACTCATCTTGAGGTGACTTATGGATGTCCTGGAATACAGCACTGCTGCCACACTGGTTTTGTATCTTCAAGAGATGCTTGGAGCTCCGTGCTTCTCCTTGTCCAATTCATAGAAGTGGCCCACAGCTTCCAGAGCCACATCATCATGATGGAGACAGAAGCCCAGCGAGAGTGGGTGGAAGAGGCTCACTGATGCAAATTGACCAGGAGGTTAGTGGCTGCCTCCACGTCGGTGGAATAATTCTGATGAATCTGGGAGCTTCTCATTGGTTGGCAAGAAGGAGCTAACCACAACAACTGTGTGGGCTGATCCCAGAAGCAGGAGATGGCCAAGATGATCCCGGAGTTTGCAAGTGAAGAGGAGACTGGAGGATGCTCGGAGGCTGGAAGAGAGGGAGTCCCCGGGTCTGTTCCATCCAAACACTGTTGAAGAAGAAACATATTCATGGGACTGCTGAACACTCTGCCTGCCATTTCTCTTATTGGTGTGAGTTCTGTTTTTTGAAACCCTTTCAATTAAATCTGATTCCTTTTCTATATGATTTCCATTTGAATGTTGGAAGATGGCCATCGAGTCTCCCCAAGATGGAGAACCGCCCATGTTTCCTACCACGCTGTGGAGCCCTGTCCTGCTGGCTCAGCTCTGCACAGGCTCTGCGACCATGGGAAGGAACATTGAGAGCCCTGAATTGCAGGCACCACTGGCCAATACTCCCAACCCCATCACTAGGCCATATCTGGTCACGAGGACTAAGTCATGTAGTCTAGCCCCTGTGACCATATTTATTCTCTAATTCCCAGATTTCTGTTTTGTCTCCCTGCCTGGGATCCATTACCTTGGATTGGGGCCCTGTCTTACCTCACAAGGCCTCCCTAGGAGTAGAGCCAAACCTCTGTCCCTGTAGGTGAGTCCCCAGCAGTTGCTGCCAAGTTCTTCTGCCTGCCTTCTCCTTGGCCCCTTGCCTGCTGCCAGACTCCACTGGTCCTTTCTGGTCCTGTCTTTGACATGAACTTCCTGCATGGCCTTGGATTCCTTGTTTTCCAGCCAGCAAATGGAAGGAGTTTTAATGCATTGGTGGATTTAAAAACTAACCCCATCTAAGAATCACCTGGGGGAAACTTTATAGAGTGCCAGTGTCCAGGGCTGGAACTGGGATGAGAAGTGAAAGGTGCTTAGCATGCAAAATGTAAAGTGCATCCCTCTCTGGTGCCAACTCTGCCCTGGGAGGGCCCTGAGAGTGACTGTCTCCTTACATTTGCTCCCCTAGGAGCCTGGCTTGCTTTACCCTGGCCCCAGTCCTGCCATTACCAGGACAGTAACACCAGAGATTCTAATCTATGTGGTCCAGGAAGAAGTCCCAATAATGGTATTTTGAAAAACTAGGCAGGGGTTAATGTGTGTAGCCAGGGTAGGGAATCGCTGGACTAGGTGGTCTCTCAGGGGTCTGTCACCCAGGAGAGGGCTCCAAGACCCTGGGACTCCTAACTATATTCTTCTACCCATGTTTGGCCTTGGGACTTTGCTAGTAGCTTGTGATGTCCTATTGTTTCCTGGAGAGTATGTCTCATTTCCAAACTCCAGCCAGGCTCAGTCAAGCCCATCCTGCCCCCAAGAACCCCAGGCTAACCAGGCCTTTGTTCTGACCAATGTCTTCTCCACTTCCAAGCAAAGCTTCCCTTAGATAGCCAAGGTTCCAAACCCTCCATTCTGTTGGCTCGCCTTTGGATATGTTCCAGCTGCCTGTGCACCGTCTACGTGATGGGATGGGGAGGCTTTACAATACTGAAGTATTCGGGTACATTTTCATTCATTCAACAAGCATGTGCTGAGGACCTGTCCTGTGCCCTGCACTGTGCTATTTGCTGAAGAGTACAAAGATAGAGTGATATATTCATGCCTAGGGTAGCTTATGGTACATCAGCATTTCCCCAAATGTGCTCTGATTGTTAATGGATGTTATACAAAAGCAAAGCAAAACAAAACAAAACAACAAAGAACACTTCTTGGTAAAATGATTTAGGAAGAACTGAGTTCAAATCAACAGGTTTCTTTATTGCAGGACTTCTCAGAATCTTTAGTTTGCTAACATATACTGTGTATCTCCATAAGAGAAGCTCAGTATAATATAATTCCCAAATATATTTGACCATCCACTTAATATGAAATACTCCAAAAGGCACTTTGGATAATGCTGTCATAGAATGATAAATCTGGAATCAACTGTAATTCTAGATATGAGAGCTCTAGTAATGTGATCCAAGGTTGCATTAGCTCTTTGAGCAGCCACATCACTCTGTTGACTTCTCAGGAGCTGTAAGCTGGCTAAAATGCTTGGGTCTTTTTTCACACAACCATCCTTAAGTAGGTCTTTCTCTTTCGCTACTTGGGCTATCGACTTTTTGGAAGTGGAATATAAGGCCTATCAAGTTTAACTTTATTGGTTCGGGGCCAATAAAGTTAAAGGAGTTACAGAGGTTGAGATCTTTTTTATCTGAGTCCTGCCCGCCAACATATCAGCTAGGTTTCCCTGCTATGTGTTGCCTACAACGTAAGTGAGTAGGCCTTCTTTATCTTCATCCAAGCCTCCGAAGAATGTGGTGAATGTGACAGATCTCTGTATCGCAACACCAGAAATCTTCCTTGGAATTGGCATTGATCCTTTCACCTACACCGCAGTCATGAGCTGTGTAGCAATGTTTCAGTCGACCATGGACCACATGTGTGACAGTCGTCCCATGAGACTATAATCTCATATATTTATTGTGCCTTTTCTATGTTTAGTTATATTTACATATACAAATACTTATCAATGTGTTACAATTGCCCACAGTATTCAGTACAGTAACATGCTGTACAAGTTTGTAGCCTAGGAGAAATAGGCTAAACCCTATAGCCTAGGTATGTAGTAGGCTATAACACCCAGGTTTGTGTAAGTTGACTCTATGATGTTCGCACAATGACATAATCACCTAATAACCCATTTCTCAGGACATATCCCCACTGTTATCGATGCAAGACTGAATTGGTGTGCAGTCATGCAACAAATTCACCTAGCTGAGCCCTAACCCTTAACTGGACTCATGGCCCTTCATCTGGGTCAAAGGATAACATGAGAGTTTTTGGGAAATCCTTCATGGAAATCCACATTCCTTTAGTCTACCAGTCTGGTTATACTTCCAAAAAGAAGAAAATTAGGCTAATTTGTCATGAGTAAGTCAAAGGTTATTTTATTTTTGTGGTTATAAAAGTAGCCTATGCTCATTAATAGAAAATGTGGAAAATATAGGCATTTTTAATATTAATTATTATGAAGAAAATTAAAACTGCCCAGTATCAAACCACCTAGAGATAGTCACAGTTAACTTTGCTATGTCTCTTCCTTTGTTTTTTTGAGACAGAGTCTCACTCTGTCACCCAGGCTGGAGTGCAGTGGCACCATCTCAGCTCACTGCAACCTCCTACTTATTGAGTGTCTTCCACGCATCAGGTATAGTTCTAGGTGCAAAAGTAAACAAAAAACACTCCTCCCTCAAATTCCTGCTCTCATGGAGTTTGTATTCTAGTCGAGGCTTATAAATAAATAAATAAATACATAAATACATAAATAAATAAACACAATCTCCCAGGATTCAAAAATATCCTGCTTTTTTTTTTCTCCCAACTTGACCTTATATTAGAACTATCCCTGGAACGACTTCGTGTTAATGAATCCAGGCCAGCTTCTGATGATTCCTATTTTCTTTACTAAATGTCTGCAACCATCTCTTTAATGGGGCAATCTTTGATTTTTTTTTTTTTTTGGCAAGGTCTCATTCTGTCACCCAGGCTGGAGTACAATGGTGTGATCTCGGCTCACTGCAGCCTCAACCTCCCAGGTTCAAGGATCTTCCCACCTCAGCCTTCCAAGTAGCTTGGACTACAGATGCATACCACCGAGCCTGGCTAATTTTTTTTTGGTATTTTTGTAGAGATGAGGTTTCTCCTTGCGCCTAGGCTGGTCTTGAACTCCTGAGCTCTTGAGTTGGAGAGGAGTTCCCCTCTCAGCCTCCTAAAGTGCTGAGATCACAGGTGTGCGTCACTGTACCTGGCTGTTCTCTTTTTTAAGAGATAGGGTCTTGCTATGTTGCCCAGGCTGGACTCAAACTCTTGGGCTCAAGTGATATTCCTGGCCTCAGCCTCCCAAATAACTGGGACTACAGGTGTGCACCACTGCACCCACCTAATAGTGCAATCTAGAATTTTGCGGAGGGTTGATATGACACTTACCAAGTTACAGTCTCCAGAATGCAGCTTTTACCTCTCTTCAAAAATGGGGACAAATGTGCATATCTCCAGTTACTGGATACCTTGTCTTTTTCACTATTTCTCCAAGATTACAGATTATAGTTCCCCAGTTTTACCTTTCTGGGATGCAATTTGTCTAGGCTTTAAGACATGAACTCATTTACAGATATTCTTTGATTATCTCTCCACCCATCATGAGCTTCAGTCTATTCCTGAGTTTGTTCTACTCTTCCAAGATTGAAGATTAGTCTTCTTGGTAGACAAGGTAGAAGTAAAAGGAGTTGCAAAGTTCTGTTCTCTCTCTGCTGTTTATTAGCATTATGTCACCTGCCGCAGGTAGTGATCTCTTCTCTTCTTCTTGCACTCATCTTGAAGGGGGAAAGGCTGTGGGAGAATCTGGAGTAAAACCCTTTTATTTTTCATTAGTCTGTTAACTCTCATAAAAAAAAAAATCCTGACAGTATTCTTGTAGGACTGAGTTAATGTGCTGCCCTTTTGTATTTGCCTACTCCCTCATTTTACAAATAAGAAAACTGAGTATTATGTTCAGTAAAGGGCATTGCATAAATCGGAACCTAAACTAGAATTACAGTATTTATTTGATTCAACCTTGCAGTATCCGAGAGATTAAAAAAACCTTGCAAGAAATGGATCACTAGGGGAGAAAAAGGACCTCAGGAGAAATTTAATTGAGAACCCCTCTCATGGGAGAGGACAATGGATTTCACTGAATGAGCCTCAGATTGTAGCAAGTTTTCCCTGGTTGCAGACACCTCACAGGGACCATTCTGGTCTGTTCTGCTTGGGGGAATGGCAACAGCCCACTCCCTTTGCCTTCAGCATAGGGCTCCAACACAGGAAGCCAAACAGCTGGTTCTTCATAGGAAGCCACCCCAGCCCCATCTCTTCATTAACTGAAACCCTTCCTCGGGGGAGCAGTGACAGCTCCCTGTGAATTGGCTATTGGCAGTCATGCTGAGGCTTCTAAGCAGCTCCTTGTTAACCTTGAAAGATGACTATTTTAGTTTTCTGGAGTCTCTGTCACCACCTGCAGACAGAAGCAGATGATTTAAGAGGTGAGCAGGTAAGAATTTTGTGACCTTCAAACAGAGATGTCCCCAGAATCAGTGGACAGAGTCGAATCACTACATGACTGTCTGTCTTTGTGTCCTGGCTTTGTCCCCAGTCCATTGTGTTAGATAAGAGGTTTTGTGTTACCCTCTGAAGGGCTGGGTTTACTAGGCAAGCTCAGAAGGCATCTACAACACTATTTCTCTGTAAACAGCCTTTGCAAATGCTATGTTAGTAACAGACCTGGGTGGATGCCATTTTGGCATTGAAAGTGCCATCTCTTAGGGCAAAGGCAGTGTGGGTAGGCACATAAAACATAAAATCCGGTTAATTTAGTCTATTTAAATGTATAAATAAATAAAGCTATTCCACTAGGGCATTTTCTAAACCCAAACCAGGAAACATAAAATTCTTTGTAATAAACAATAAAATACAAACTTTGTTTCATTTTATAGCCAGAAGAGTCAGAAGAAGGCCAAGGAAAAGGAGAAAATTGAAGAAAAAAAGAAAAGAAAAGAAAGGAGGTTAGAGATGAGAGCAGGAGAGGAAGAGAAGGAAAGGGACAGGCCAGTTAGGCACCGTGTCTAAGGGTGCTGCCTCCTTGATCTTCTGTCTCTGAGATCATACCCATCTGCTTGTTAATACTTGAGTGGATTCTTGACTCTAAACTCTACAGGGACAGCAACAAGGTGGATTACTTCAAGACTTACCTGACTTCCTGGAATGAACAATATGGTTTATTTATAGTTAACTGCTGCATCTAGGAGACCCGCAGAACTCTGGTTGGGTCCTGTCCCCCTAGCCAGTTTGGTCTGATATGCTCTGAACCCTCTTCTTGTCCTGCTGCATCAGCACTGACAACAAGTCTTCTTCTGCAGCTCCTGCCACTGTTAATTTGGACCCGTCACTTCCTTGCAGTAGAGCTGATAGGCCAACTGCAGAACCGTAGTCTGCCTCCAACTGTTCACTCTAGAGTATACAGATGTCTCCCTGTGTTTCTTCTACTTTAGATATTTCGGCCATTTGCTATCACACATATTCATGCGAATGCAGGAATTTCACGAGGTACAATTCTCTTCCAATGTAAACCTGTTCTGTGAATGCCTTCTGCAATAAAATCCCTCTACAAAATGTCTGTGGATGTCTGTGAATGTCTTTCCCAGCTGTTGTAGAAGGGGTTTTATCATCTTCCATGGGTTTAAACAGGAAAAGAGTAACTTTTGGGTGAAGAGCTGCCTGGAAGACTTCCCCCTTCCATTAGTAGCTCTTTCCTGTATGGTTGCATCCTGAGTCCAACCAGCAAATGGCCCTCAGCCACAGCAGCTGTGGCTAAAGCTAGTTTTATTCTAATTAACTATTTCCTTCTTACTTACACGGAGCCCATGCTTTTCCACTTTCCCTTGATTCCTGACCTTGTTTGCCACCATCCATCATTGGTCCTACTCAGCCTGTTATGCCTTCCATCCAAACAGCATCCATTCTCAATGCCAGCCCAAGCCTCAAGATCTTGGCTTCCTTTGTACTTAGTGCACTGGCCAAGTTTCTATCACCTCTAATTTTCATCTAGGTCTCATTCGTACTCTGAGGCCTAGATCATCCCAGTAGTTCCAGATTCTAGGATTTTAACCAACACCCACTTGGACCATGTTAATCAGATCAGTTTGTTCCAACAATTTCTTTTTTCACTCCCTTCCTTGTGCCTATGACTAACTTGTAGCAGGCCCAGTGTCCTCATCAACCAACCATAAATGCTTGGGGTTGGGTTAACACCACAGATGAAACCATCCTCTTTCTTTCTCTCCCACTTCCCACCAAAATCAACTGCTGAACATTTACCAACATCATTAATAGCTGTGTCTCCTTTGAGCTGTTCAGGATAAAGCCTTTTCTACACAGTAAAGAATGCATGCATGCAATCATATTTATTGATTTTAATCTCCATGGGGTGCAGGTGAGGGGAGAGGTATATTTCCAAAAATTTAGAGGTGTTCCAGAGGAAATAAAATCATTAGGATTCTATGAAGTTTGGCTAAATAATATGATCCCATTGCCCATTATAAAAACTGTCTTGGACCAATAGTTCTCAAACTTTAATGTGAAGAAAAATTATCTGGAGATCTCATTAACATGCAGTTTCTGATTCAGTAGGCCTATGGGAGAACCTCAGAGCAAGCTTCCACGTACTGCCAATACCACTGGTCCCACCAGTCTGTAGACCAGCCTTGAGTAGTAAGGAGCTAGTGCTCCTCCCACACTGGGCTCTAGACTTGTTTGCATCCCAGGTTCCTCTCACCTACCTGAGATTTACCATTTGTGACATGAGAATATTGAACTGCCTGATCTCTTATCCCCTCACAATGCTAAAATGCAAGGTTCTGTATACACCCTTCTCATCTCACATGTCAACTCTTCTCTAAAGTCTTCCCCAGTTCTCCAATGGAAATTCCCATCCTGAGTTCCATACTTCAATTCAATTCCATTTAGGACAGTTCAACTCAATTCAGAAGCCTTCACTGAACATTTTTTATGTACTAGGTGTTTTCTTTCTTTGAGACTGAGTTGATGAGGATGCTATTAACCAAAGTGGAAAGTTGAGTTATATAGATGGAAGAGGAGACTGGAGGAGAATGTGTAAGCAAGTTCGTATTTGCCAAAATAGGTTTCATATTCCTGTAATTTGTAGAAATGGAGAGGTAGTGTGGCATGGTAGCCTCTAGAGGCAGACCACGCATGTTTGGAACTCACCCCTGCTGTTCATAAGCTGTGTGATCTTATGTTAGGTAATCCCTCTATGCCCCCATTTCCTGATTTTAAGATGAGGATAATAATGGCACCCACCTCATGGAGTTGTTATGTTGTTACGAGTAAATGAGGGCTGGACGCGGTGGCTCACGCTTGTAATCCCAGCACTTTGGGAAGCTGTGGAGGGTAGATCACAAGGTCAGGAGATCGAGACCACCCTGGCTAACACGGTGAAACCCCGCCTCTACTAAAAATACAAAATATTAGCCAGATGTGGTGGCAGGCGCCTGTAGTCCCAGCTACTTGGGAGACTGAGGCAGGAAAATGGTGAGAACCCAGGAGGTGGAGCTTGCAGTGAGCAGAAATTGCGCCACTGTACTCCAGCCTGGGTGACAGAGCAAGACTCCACCTCAAAAAAAAAAAGAAAAAAAGAAAAAAAAAGAGTAAATTAGGGTCAATACTTATAAAGCACATAGACTGTTATTGGTACATGGTATACCAAAGAAATGTTTTTCCAACAAATATATGTTCTGGAGATGTCATTCAGAAAAAGTCCAGGTAGGAGATATGGATTTGGGAGCCGTCTGTATTTAGGAGCAAAAGATATTTTGCAGAGAGAATGTAGGCTGCAAATTGAGTGGCAAAGAAGGAAGAAATGGATTCTTTAGGGGATACCAATATTTAAGGGGCAAGCAGAGAAGGAGATGCAATGAAGGAGACTGAGGAGTGGTCTCAGAAGTAAAGATGACCCAAGAGAAAGTGAAACCAGAAGCTCAATAACTAGAGAATTTCAAGAAAGAGGTAGTGGTCAACAATGGCCAACACAAGTAAGATGAGGAATAAAACAAAGCTGTTTGTTCAGATGGCTAAGAAAGCAAGTGTCAGACCACATATAATTTTTATTTGTGTCTGTCTTCACCCCTAAGCCATGAGTCCTCAATGTAAGGGGTCAAGTTTGTTATTCAGCCTTGTATATCCAGAGGCTAACACATGCCTACAGCATAGCAGGATGTTCTCAGTGTGGTCAAAATATTATTTTTGTTATGAGACTCTCTAATGACTCCTGTTCCTTCGAGGTCCACTTCACCCTGCTTGTCTATTAATAATGAGACAGTAAACAAAATTGAGAGAATCTCATTTCCTGTCCTGTCCTTTTTTCTTGGGGGGCCCCCAAGGAGAAGATGAGGCCAGTATTTCTTGGTACTGGACATCTTTTAAACATGAGACTGGATGATTGCAGAAGTTGAGATGAGGTTATATGAGGGCTGGGATGGGGGGCAGCTGTCTGGTAAAAATCTCAAGGGAGATAATCTTCTTGGGGTTCACAGCATCTTTCTTTCAGCCTAATATGCACTAGCAGGGTCCCACAGCTTGTGCGCTGGGCTGGGCCCCCAGGTGGGTCTGTTTCCAAGGCTCTATGGTAATAACCATCTTCACTCCGAGGAGACCAAATGCCCATATGTTGTGGGAGAAATTCCTCTGTTGGGTAGTAGTTGGGCTAGCCCCTTCCCCAGATTCTAGGAGCCTGGGTGACCACTTAAGGCAATGGTGATGGCCCAAGATTCTCGTGGTGGGGTTCAGGTGAGGGCAGAGTGGAAAGTCCTGGGCACACAGTTCTATGCTTGTTTAGGCATCTGCAGGCTTGTGGGATAAATTGAGAATGGCAGGAAGAGGAGATGGTGAGCCAGAGGAAGGAGGGGGAGTGTGTGGGTTACAGGACTGCAGAGCCCCCTGCTGAGAAATTGTAATTCTGGCCCTGTGGACCAGGTAAGAGGGAGGAAGTAAGAGGGGGTGGTGGGCTGGGAAGGTGGAGCCGGGGGAGCTCTGATTCATTCTAGTGTTGACAAATAGGCTGGATTCCTTTCACTCGGCTGGACTTTGCCCTTTCAGGATATACAGCCAGCGTCAGCACACTGCTAATGGGGCTTTGAGAGTCTCCTTTTGATGAGCACGTCCCAGAAAGCAGGTATTAGCCATTTCTGCTGGGGAGGCAATGAAGGCATTTGCAGCTGAAATCGGCTTTCCTGGCTGCCCTAATAAAGCAGAGACTTTCAAAGCCCCATTAGCAGTGTGCTGACTGCAGCTTTACATCTGGACTAGCCCAGTTTAGGAGGGGAGCGCTGGGCACTCATATCCTGGACCCCAAGGAACAAACTGCCTCTGACCAAAGCTAGCTTCTTTTTCATCGACACACTGTGGACGCCATAGGAGAGGAACCCTGTCTCCCTATCCTTGGGATGTAGCTTGGTGCCTGGCACAAAATAGACTCCCAATAAACGTTGATGGAATTGATAAACGAGTTTGGAGGGGGGTCAGCTACTAAAAGGACCTGGAGCACCACATTATGGACAGCTCCAGGCCCTTGGTGAGTGCTTAATATACATTTATGAGATGGATGACCGACAGGTAGGACAAACAGCGGGTTGGGAAATGAAAGGAAAGGCTGATGTGAGAGAAAAGGAAAAGTAGCTCCTCCCTCTGTCCCCCACCTGCTGAATTTTCTACAAGTAGGAGACTTCAGAGCCTTCCATGTCTCCCCAGAGAGAAGCCAGAGGAACTTTTTCTTGTTAGGCCCCAAAGGTGAGGAATGGCACGGGGGAAGGAGGACCCCTGGTTGCCAGGCTCTTTTGCAAGTTCTATATGCGGAGAAATCTACGTAGATGGGAAGGATTTTCACTTTCTAGGTGATGTAATGGCGTCTCTCATAAGTATGTGCCTTTTGCAGGTCCACAAACATATGAATGATAGAGCCAGAGTTCCAGTTCAAGTCAGTCTGCCTTCCAGGCTCGCAGTCTTTCTTCCCAGCCACCTCCAGTTTTCCCTCTGACCACAAAGCCCATGAGGAGTGTCATTCTGAATATTCACTGACTCTAGACAGATGGCCTTTTCTACCTGTTCTACAGGCGTGCACATGCCCTTCGTCAGAAAGCAGTCTAGAAGTCGTTCATCTCCACTTTCCATCATCTTCTTCCTCTTCCATGACCCTAAGCACACTTCTGGAGGATGGGTGGATGGACCAGCACGACAGCTAGCTGTTAGTTGCCAATTTCCGTCAGAACAGATAATGTTTCTCCAGGTGGATGGGGCTTCCCCACCTATCCTCCTATTTTTCTGAATACTTTCTGGTCTGGTTTCAGACCAGATCTTACAAGAAGCTCTGTAAAGGAAAATACACAACAAATAATAAGTGGAATGAAATGGATAAATGCATAAAGACCTAGCTGGCCAGAGCGGCCTGCCCTCGTGGGTTTATCTCACATACCTGTCTTACTCATACACTGCCTGGTCTCACGGAGGCCCTCTAAGTCACTGGTGTGTGACTGGGGCTCTTTGCCCGGCCGTTCTGCCACTTGAAAATTTCCAGTCAAGATTTAGTCACTGCACATTTTTGAGAGTCCTCTAATCAGAGAAATTAACTCTCATCAGACACAGGAATTAATCTTTGTTAGTGTTGTTGTCAGTCTAACTTTGCCTTCCTCAGTGCGAGACGTAGAGAGAGGGACGCCCTCGCAGGGAGCTGCTGCCACCATTGGCAGAGGACGCAGGCAGGCCTTCACTGAAAGAATGGGGGGTGACCCCTGCTTCTCCCTGAGTTGAAGGGTGTGTGGGATCCCCGAGGAATTCTCTGGCGTTCAGCCCTGGGCTGTGCTGTATTCAGGGCTCTAAAAACGCTGGCCGACTTGAATGTGTGAATACAGTTATGGCAGGGAGGGAGGGGAGGTGCTTTGGGAAGGATACCACAGCATAATGGGAACAAGCTAAGAATCAGATGACAGCACACGATGAGGGGCGGTGGGGACAGGGTTCTTTACTGGTTCACCAGTTTGTTAAAAATACGGACCTGTTTTATTTATTATTTATTTATTTTTTGACAGGTCTTGCTTTGTTGCCAAGGCTGGGGTACAGTGGCACGATTTCAGCTCACGGCAACCTCTGCCTCCTGGGCTCAAGTGATCCTCCAGGTAAGGAGGCTACCTTAGCTCCTGGCTAATTCTTGTATTTTTTGTAGAGACGAAGTTTTCCCATATTCCCCAGGCTGGTATCAAACTCCTAGGCTCAAGCGATCTGCACGCCTCAGCCTCCCAAAGTGCTGAGGTTACAGGTGTGAGCCACCACACCTGGCCCAGACCTCTCTTTTGAAGTCATCTTTCAATGGGTGTGGGTGTGGAGTGTGTGGCAGTGAGGGCGGGGACAGACCCTTAGCTGCATTTGTGGAAGTTTGGGACCAACTTCAAGATTCAGAGAATCATAGCCATTTTGGTTGTAGAGAAACTATAATGCTCAGAGAATCAGATTGCTGCAAAGTAAATAAATGTGATGTTAACACCATCATCCATAATATATATTTCATATCCTCTCATTTGCTCATGAAAAATATATTATGTAGACTTGTCTATTATCATCGTATTCATTCACTCATAGCACTTGATTTTGTTAGTGTCAAGCTATCTCTATATTCAAGTCAGTAGTCATCAGCTATTGTCATTAGCATTCTAGAACATCTTTTCACTTTAAGTTACATTTTCTTATATACGTGTTTCTTTGGCAGGATTAGAAAATTTGGGGGCCTTTGTTTCTGAGTGAGGAGTAGTAAGGAAAGCACTGGGAACCAGGAGAGATGACTTCCATCTTGTCTTCTCATGGCGTGCTCTGTGACCTTGGAAAATTCACATCCTCTTGCTGGTCAGTTTCTCCATCTGTAAAATGTTGGTATCAGACAAGATAATCTCTAGGGTCTCTTCTAATCTTTACTTTGTCTGTGAGTTGTTACTGAGAAAGTAGAGCAGGAAAATGGACTTAGATATCTATGGCCCAGAAGGAGATCAGAGTTTCTGGATAATTTGGGACACAGTGGCCAGCATATAAGTTGCTCCGTGGCCACATTTCAGAGCCACAGGAGGATCCCACCTGGATAGGGCTGTTTCATACTCTCCGTTTCTTGGATGATCACTTTCTCTGCTACTGGGATTAAAAAAAAAAAAAGAAAAAAACCTCCAAGACAAGTCACTTTCTCATTGGCCTGTGACATGCTACATGAACCATCTATATTATGGATGCAACCATGGATGCTGCCAACGTTGATTCATACCTTGGCGACCTCATGGATCACTGACAGCCATGCCACCTGGCAAGCTGCCTGGAATTCACCAGGGCCTGTCAGAAGCCCCAGCTGCACCTCCATTTTGCAGGCAACCACAGGCCTGGCTTTCTACCCTTGGGTTTTAAGCCTACTATTATCAGTCTAACGAACAATCACATCCTCAAATCAAAAGTCAGGAGTTCTAAGAGGAGCAATGCTGCTCATGGAACTGAGTGGTGACTTGCAGAAGTACAATGAGATAACAAAGTGTCTTTCAGACATCTTTTCATAATCCAAAGCCCTAGGTAGCCGATAAACAATGCACCGCCAGCCAGGCTGAGTTCGTGCTATCTTGTTGACTGAAGCATTCATTGTGAGGCTTCCTGGGCATCCTATTATGGGGGAAAGGAGGACTCTGACCATTTCTGCATAGTGTACATTAATCTGAGGGCTGCATGACACCTTTACTTCATGGTCTTTGTCTCATCGGGTGTCGCGAGGGAGGGCGAGTTGCTCTCTCTGGTTTTGGACACTTGCTTTTTGATCTTTTTTGCTGCCTTTGATTTTTTCCTTTTGGCTTGAGGAAAGGTGGGTTGTCCTGGATAGAGCCTTGTGCCTGGCTTAGCATGCCATGCGCTGGAGGAGCATAACCCTGAACATTCACCAGTGGGTCCAGGGCCAAGGTTAACAGATCTCCTTTCCTGACCTTTACGCTCAAATGATCTCATCAGACCGAACTAGGCGCACAGCTACAAAATACGCCCCCCCCAAACACAACCACCTCCACCACCACCGCGGTTCTAAAACTCCTCCCACGAATCGAGTTGCAAGAGATTGAGGAAGGATTAAAGGGAGAAGTGACTGAGTAATAAAGGTCAATGTCATTTTCTGAGAACACTAGCACGTAGAGAATATTTGGCACCTGACAAAGTGGCCATTTCCCAGACTTGCAAGTTGATCCCTATGTAGGGCTTGAGTCTTAAAAGAGATAATACCACATGCTTCAAATATAATAGACAATGGGACTAAAATAAATTTAAATAAGCTTTCCCTTTTCGTATTTTTTCTATGGTTTTATGAAAGTCAGCAAGCAAGGCTACAGAGGAAAAAGCAGTAGTTTTGAAATCAGACTGGAATTTGAGTTCCCATCATTTCTATGTTCCTGTTTACAAATCTCTAGAGTGGGGCTGAGTCAGGTGGCTCATGCCTGTAGTCTCAGCTACTTGGGAAACTGAGGAGGGAGGATCACTTGAGTCCAGGAGTTCCAGTCCAGCCTCAGCAACATAGCGAAACTTTTTCTTCCCAACCACCCCCACCTCTGAAAAAAAAAAAAACTATAAAGTGGGGAATAATAGTACTTTCTTCATTATTGTTGTGAGGTTCAGGGTGTATGTAAAGGGCATGGCACATAATAGGTGCTCAGCAAATAAAAGTGTTACTTATTCAGGAGCAATATATACATATATGTGTGTATATATGTTTGATATATATCAAATATATATATCATTTTATATATAATCAAATATATATATCATTTTATATATACATCTCAAATATATATATCATTTTATATATACATCTCAAATATATATATCATTTTATATATACATCTCAAATATATATATCATTTTATATATATATCTCAAATATATATATTTGAGATGGAGTCTTGCTCTGTTGCCTAGGCTGGAGTGCAGTGGTACGATCTTGGCTCACCACAACCTCTGCCTGCCGGGTTCAAGCAATTCTCCTGCCTCAGCCTCTCAAGTACTTGGGATTACAGGCACCCACCCCAAAGCCCAGCCAATTTTTGATAGAGACAGGGTTTCACCATGTTGGCTAGGCTGGTCTCGAACTGTTGACGTCAAGTGAGCCGCCTGCCTCGGCGTCCCAAAGTGCTGGGATTACAGGCATGAGCCATCACGCCTGGCCTTGAATTGCTTTTATTGCCCTTTCTGTCCAGATTTGCCAAGAATCAACTATCTAGGTGTAGTAAGAGACTGAGTCTCTGAATGGCGAAAAGGGCTAATTTTGCTACCCTGGGGTTGGGAGTCTTTATGATTTGTTGTGGAGATGGGCAACTGCCTCACAGCCAGTAGGGAATGAACACTTTTTGTATATTCCTAGGTAGGAAGGAACAGCAGTGGCTTGGGCCCTGCATCTGGTGTAAAGAGGAATGCTGACCAACCTTTAACAAACTCCCTTAGGACCACATATGTTTAAGAATTCAGAATTTTTCAGATTTTAAAAAAGTAGTATGGGCTGGGCATGGTGGCTCATGCCTGTAATCCCACTTTGGGAGGCTGAGGCGGGAGTAACACTTGAGGGCAGGAGTTCGAGAACAGCCTGGCCAATACAATGAAACCCCGTCTCTACTAAAAATAGGAAAATTAGCTGAAGGTAGTGGCAAACACCTGTAACCCCAGCTACTTGGGAGGCTGAGGGAGGAGAATTGCTTGAATCTGGGAGGCGGAGGTTGCAGTGAGTTGAGATCGCACCACTGCGCTCCAACCTGGGTGACAGAGTAAGACTCTCAAAAAATAAAAAATTTAAAAAGGTAATATGGTGCAGTTAGTGTATATTATGTAAGACCTACAGCAGAGTTTGGGGCAATAACTTCTGAGCAAAAAACATTCAGATTTCTATAACAAATATTTATCTTAAGTGGGATAAGTGAAGCCTACAAAGAAACTCAGGGCAGGTCAGGTTTTGCTACCAAATGAGTTATGAAAAAATCTTTTAGTATTCAGAGCTTTTTGGATTTCAAAACTGCATTTTGTTGATTTATAGTGATAATAGAGATGACGATAAATAATAACCCAGTTGCATTTAACAAATATTTTCATTGTGTCAGGGTCTCTAAGTGCTTGGCATCTATTTTCTTACTTGTTCTGTAACAGTCTTGTGAGGTGGGTAGTATTGTTTTCCTTTTAGTGATGAAGAAAATGAAGCTCAGAGATATTAAGAAACTTTCCCCAGAGGACGCAGCCATTAAATGGCAAACCTAGGATTTGAACCTATATTCATCTGATTGCAAAGCCTATGCTGGTAAAAATCAATCAGTGTTTTTCCCTGCATAGTAGAGGTTGCCTCACCTTAGAGTCAGAGACTTTGTCTTGTGGATGATAGAACATTTGCCAGGCTATTTTAGCCCCATGATTTGAGCTGGGCTGGAAGTGTCCTAAACTGACCAGTAGTTGTGCCATATAAAGGGATAAGAGGTCAGTGGGAGTGGATGATGGATGGCATAAACCTGGCCATTGCAATATGAGCATGCTGGCTGTATTGACACGAGGCTGACCCAGACAGACTTTGACCTTAGTTTGATCTCCCACCATTCAAGAAAAGCTTCCTTCAGCTTCAAATGGCCTTACTTGGAGCTCAGCTGTACAGAAAGGGTAAGTGAGCTGTCTAGGCCCAGACCAGGCCTCATCTCTGTGTGTGTGACGTCTATTGTTTGGGTAGAGTACTACAGAAAAAAAAAAAATCCTAATGAGCCTTAATATGGGAGGAAATGGCCATCCTAAAAATAACGCCAGGCTCTGTGGAGTAATGACATCATTAGGCAACTCCAGCCTAGAGGGATTCTAAGCACTTTTGACTAGACATTTTATTTCAGCACAAGATGTATCAAGTAGATCTATTATGCTTGTCAGCCCAAGCCAGGGTTGCAAGGCAAGAATTAAGTGAAAGGCTCATGTGAAGGGCCATGACACTTCCTTTAATCACATTTTACATAATTGGAATAGTTGCTATTTCCAAATCTTTGGCTGGGCAGTCTTCATGACCACAACAAAACAGATCTGGGAAGAGAAGAAACTCTATCATCTGGAGAGGACCTGGCATTTTAACTTAATTCTAAGTCGTGGGGAGGAGAAGAGGCCTGGGGAACTGGATTAACCAAGAGCTGCTGACAAAGACGGAAGTAGATGTCATGGAGAATTCCTCGGCTCTGGGATTATCCTCCTCTTTTTGGCTGACAAGTGAGCAGAAGGTTTTCTACTTCCCATGGTTTTTTTCCCTAACAAGTTCCTAGGATCATGCATGAAATAACAAGGCTTTATCATCTTCTGTTTAGCTTTCTCTACTTGGCCATGAGCTCAGGGAGGCCAGGATTGGATTTATGCATTCCTTCCTCCCCAGCACTCAGCATAGTGCCTGGCGCGTATTGTGATGCTCAATAACAATGTGTTGAATTACTTTGGGAGGTCATGGCAGGAGGATTGCTTGAGCCCAGAAGTTCAAGACCAGCCTGGCAACATAGTGAGACCCCCGTCTCAATTAAAAAACTATATAGATCTAGATCTAGATTGTACATATATATATAAATTTAGATCAAATGCCCATGAATTAGTTTTGTAAATGGTGAGGGACTATTTTGTACATCTCTGTTTGTTCACTTGCAAGAGGTTATTATTAATGTATCGTAGCCCCAGGAATAGAAGGGGAAGCCGGTCCTTCTCCATCAGAGCAGTGAAATGTGCACTGGACTAGGGGCAAAGAGACCTGCATGCCATGGCTTCAGTCAAGTGGTTCTAACAACTCAGGGTCCCTTCATGTAAAGTAATGATAAAAACTCTTAGTATCTCCTGGCTTCACAGAGGGACCAGCAGAATACATGACATTAAACCTGACTGTAGTATGGAGACAAATCAGCCTGCTATTAAAACTCAGGCCTAAAGGTTCTTTCCCGTTTCCATTGCACTGGTCCTGGACCTCTCACGGGTTCATCTCCCTGAGGAAGCAGGGAAAGTGAGGGGTGACCACTCTTCACGTGGTCTGGCCACATGCCTGGCCATGCGCTTGTTTTTCCCCAGAACAAAATGTCTGTTTCAGCTCCCTCGTTCCCTCCCTCCCTTCTTTGCCCTCCTTTCCCACTTGCAGTCCTCACTCAGCCTTCCCCTCTCTTTGCTCTGGCCCCCTGGGGCCTGTCATAATTAGAAAAGGAGGAAAGGGGGGAGCCATCCTAGCCCACCAGGGTTTTAGAGGGAGTTGGGACTACGTGCTGGGAACCCAGAGCTGCAAAGGTTTCAACGTCTTTCTTCCCTTTTAACCTGGGACTTTAGCAGGCCCTGTGCTAAAGTCTGGGAGGGGCCAAGGTAAGGCCAGGAACACATGGCTTTGCATGTGAATATGTACATAGCAAAATGTGAGTATGTGCACATGTGTGTAAAGATGTGTATGGATGTGGGTATGGATTAATCATGTGTTGTGCTTCTGAAGCGAGAGCAACGCAGAAAAGGATTCTTTTTAATCCAGAAACTTTAATCCATGTCATCTTTGGGGTACAAATTCTCTGGGGAATCTTTTTGTACTTACCCCTCTTTCTTTCCTCACCTCATTGCCCCCAGGCTCTCCATTCTACCTTAACAAAAGGAAAGCAAAGTTTGGAGTAGATGGGGGAGGCCTCCCAATCCTTTCTCCCTCCCTCCAAACCAGGTGTTGGCTTGAGACGGCACCATAGTCGCTCGCAGGGGGTGGATGCTGGCTTCCCACCTTCTGCGGAGCCACACCACAGTCTCGCGCCTATGCTGGCATTTTCCTGAGCAATGCTGAGGGGATCATTAATCTGTCTCCTTGCTATTTGTCTGTCCAGCCCAAGGGACAACTCTGGCCTATAAATCAGCTCAGTATGAAGTGGGAAAATAAAGAAAGGGATACAAGAAGGAGGAAAATAGCCATTGAGAAGCATACAGATCTGAGGTGTGAGACCCAGAAAGTGAAGGAAGAAGGAAGAACGCTCTTTTGAGGAAATGACATGGAGAAAAAATTATACTAACATGGCAGGGCCAGATCTGGGACAAAGGAGATCTTGAATCTGGTCTTCAAGATGTTATTCTAAGCTTCTTGCTTTAGCTAATCTCTCTGGGCTACAACTAGGCCATCTGTTAAGGTGGGATCCCACCATGCACTCACTCAGCTTTGTGCATTCCTGGAAATTAGAGCATGTGCAAAGAAACAAAACAAATTCATACATGCAAATTATTAAAACCTTACATATTTCCTCATGCAAATTAATTAATACAACGTACTCATGTTGAAGATTTCTAAGCAGCCCTGTAGGAACTGGGAGGCAATGCAGTCAGTGGGAAGGACATGGGCCTGGAATCCGGCCTCATAAGGATTCTCTCCAAGTCTCTGTCCAGTCTGTTAACTGTTGGCCAGCACCTCAGTTTCCTCATTCTTTAATATACTTCTGAACGCCAAACTTCTGCACTGATGGAAGTTGTGACCACAGTGATATGAAGCACTCTCATTCCTCTCAGTGAGGCTTCCACATCTTGGCAATCATTCACAGGCACCTCAGCTTGAAGGGAGAAAGGGCTGCCTCAGTGTGGGCCATCACTGTGGGTCCCAGCTACAGCCCATTGCTTTCTAGGCCACATGGGCTTGACCAATCCCTTCTGGGACAAAGTCTGCTCTAGGGGCATTGATATTTGCAGAGGCAGTTTGGTGGCTTAAAGAAGAGGTCCCCAACCCCAAGCAGGAGGTGAGTGGCTGGTGAAGCTTCATCTGTACTTATGTCCACTCCCCATTGCTTGCATTACCGCCTGAGCTCCACCTCCTGTCAGATTAGCCATGGCATTAGGTTCTCATAGGACCATGAACCCTATTGTGAACTGTGCATGTGAGGGATCAAGGCTGCATGCTTCTTATGAGAATCTAATGCCTGATGATCTGTCACTGTCTTTCATCATCCTCAGATGGGACCATCTAATTATAGGAAAACAAGCTCAGGGCTCCCACTGATTCTACATTATGGTGAGTTGTATAATCATTTCATTACATATTACAATGTAATCATAATATAAATTAAGTGCAAAATAAATGTAATGCACTTGAATCATCTCAAAACCCTCCCCTGCACCTCCAGTCTGTGGAAAAATTGTCTTCCACGAAAATGGTCCCTGGTACCAGAAAGGTTGGTGACCGCTGGCTTAAAGAGCTCAGGCTCTAGAAACAGATGGGCTTGGGTTTAAAGCCACTGGTGAACTATGTTGCCTCTGGGAAGATCCTGAGCCTGTTCTGAGGCCCTATAACCACATCTGTGAAATGGAACCACAACACCTGCCTTTTCTTGTGAGCATTAGGGATAGTGCATGGAGAGCACATAGGACAATTCCTGAAGAACAGAGACACTCAGTGAAGGACAACATTTACTATTATTGGACCACTGGAGTTGAAGACTGGAAAAGAGGATGAATGGGAATGAATACACCCCTCAGGTAGACATCTCACAGAGCTGGTAAAGTGTGTGTGCTTACTTTTTTTTTTTTTTTTTTTTTGAGACAGGGTTTCACTCTCTCACCCAGGCTGGAGTGCAGTGGCATGATCTTGGCTCACCGCAACCTCTGCCTCCCAGGCTCAAGCAATTCTCCTGCCTCAGCCTCCCAAGTAGCTGGGATTACAGGTGCACACCACTGCGACCTGGCTAATTTTTGTATTTTTAGTAGAGACGGTTTCACCATGTTGGCCAGGTTGGTCTCGAACTCCTGACCGCAAATGATCCACCCACCTTGGCCTCTCAAAGTGCTGGGTTTACAGGCATAAGCCACCATGCCTGGCCTGTGTGTGCTTACTTAGTGAGCTTGTGCACATATGTGTACATGTGCATGGGTCTGACTGATGTGTTAAGTGTGTGTGAAATAAGCGCATTTGTGTGTAAGAATGTGTGATATGTGCACACGTTTATGCACAAATGAGTGTGTACATGTGTGCATATAAATGTAGTTTTGAGTGAGTGTGTGAGTGTGTTTGTGCGTTGGGGTACTCACACTGACTAGTGCTCCAAATAGACTTTAGCTTTATTCATGCTTCTCTCTCCACCTGAAGTGTTCTTCTCTCCTTCCCTATCCTGTAAACTCCTTTTGATTTATCAAGATTCAACTAGTATCATCTCTCAAGCCATCCTTGAGCTCTTTGGGAAGAGTTGATCATTCTTCCCTGTGTTTTCCTCTGCTTTACTCTAATTAGAGTAAGCTGCAGGTGGAGGCATTAACTGTATGACCTCTAGACTCAGACGTTATAGGTTTGAATCTTGGCTCTTCGACTTGTAGCTGAGTGATCCCAGATCAGTTATCTGACCTTCGGAAGCCTTAATTTTCTTATCTATAATATGGAAATAATGGCGTCGTGCTCATAGGATTGATAGGTTTAAATAATACAATGCATGTAGAGCATTTCACATGGCACCTGGTTTGTAATAAGTGCTCAGACTGTATCAATTATCATCATTACTCTTACGAGTGTATTTGTCACATAGTATTAAAATATTAGAGGTGGCCAGACATGGTGGCTCACACCTGTAATCCCAGCACTTTGGGAAGGCAAGGTGGGTGGATCACCTAAGGTCAGGAGTTTGAAACCAGCCTGGCCAACATGACGTAACCCTGTCTCTACTGAAAATACAAAAATTAGCCAGGTGTGGTGGTGGGTGCCAGTAATCCCATTGCTCTGGAAGCTGAGGCAGGAGATTCACTTGAGCCTGGGAGGTACAGGTCACAATGAGTGAGATCGCGCCACTACACTCCAGACTGGGTGACAGAGCGAGACTGCGTCTCTCTCTCTCTCTCTCTCTCTATATATATATATGTATGTATATATATATGGTTCATTTTCATATTTGTTTCCCCAAATCTGTGAACTCCCTGACCATAGACTCTTTCTCTAGCATCTATGCAGTAGCCTGACATCCAGTAGCAGTTTAGTAAACATAAAGTAGTACTACTTATCTCTTCTCTTCCCTATTTCTATTTTTTTTTCCCATCTTAGCCTCTCCAGACTCCCTTTTATGTTACCATCAGAAGGAAAACTTGAAGGCTAGAGAACAGCCTCATTCCCATACAAAAGACATCCTCAAGCAACACATAAAGATCCACACTGTATCTATACTTGGCAGGCATTTGGCTTAGATTTATTACATCACCAAGGCTATTTTTTCCTGCAGTTGTATTCAATGGCCTCAATTGAAACACTAGAAAGCCTCTTCTGGACCATCAATGAGTCCAAGATCAAAACTTCTGGTAGGACAACACCCTACTGTTGCTGCTCCATAGAAAATACCCTCGGCCACCCTGGTCTACTCATTCCCCAAACATGCAACACCACGTGCAAAACCAGGTCCAGAAAGAGAAAAGGCCAGCTTGCCACAGAAAACTGACCCCCAGAAGTCACAGTGCAAAATACATACAAATAAATCATTGTATAGGACACAGGCTACCAGCCTCTTCAACTTATTATCCTGCCTTTGTTTTCTCCCATCCCTCCTTTTCCTGAAGGGATCTGAACTGGAGGCTCAGGCACATCCTAGTTTCTAAGGCAGTCATGATTGGGGCAGGGACTTCAGTGCAATCATCTGGTGAGGATGAGAACTAAGTTATGTTCTCTGACACTCAGGATTTGGTGTGCTTGGATGAGCACTGGGTACCCAAGAAACCTCCTAGTCAGGGCATTTCCTATGCTTCTACTATTATTCAATCCATAGGCCAAGACTTCTGCTTTGATGCACCACTCTGTAATTTTCTCCCACTCTATAATTTTCTGGGCTCTCTGTCTGGTATTACTAAGCCCCTTGCAGCTGGGACCGCTGCTCTGAAACTCATCAATGATGGGGTCTCTGGGAGGCCATCTGCTTCTTATCTGTCTTTCTTCCTGGGATTGGTTGCATCTCTACATCCCTTTGCCCATTGCAAGGGGCTTGCCGTACATGGATGGAACATGGATGCTGTATCCCCTTCCCTTTGGCCTCACCTCATCTCATCTTTTGAACTTCTCAGACCTGTGTTTGGCTTTGCCCAATTTTGTATAGGCAACAAGCATATACATACTAGACTCATTGGGCCCACCCCAAGGTCCCAGCCAGTAAAATTTGGCTAATTGCTCCCAAAGCACTGAGGACTACATGAAGCAGTGTAAAAGTTGTATGGCTATCTTCATTGTTCCTTGTAAGGATAGGTTAAGCTGCCATTCCTAAGCAGGTTTGGCTGGGCATGCATTCATGCTGGGAAGGGAAGAGGTGTGAAAGGTGGTAGCTGAAGAGCAATGTAGACTATAGGGAGGCCTGGTGTATTAATCAGAGTTCTCCAGAGAAGCAGAACCCATAGGATATATAGAGAAATATAAGAGGAGATTTATTATGGGAATTGGCTGACACAATTGTGGAAGCAAGAAGTCCCACAACCTGCCATCTGTGAGCTGGAGAACCAGAAAAACTGGTGGTGTAATTCAGCCTGAGTCTGAAGGCCTATGAACCAGGAGCTCCTGTATTTGAGGGCAGGAAAATACACATGAGTGTGTATTCGTGCACATAAGTGTGAAAGAGAGACGAAGAGAAATTCAGTTTGAGATGTGTTCAAAGTCAGGTGCTTATAGAGTATACCCAGAGAGTTTCCAGTAAGAGATTAGATCTACAGTGATAGAACTCAAGGGAGAAAACTGGGTTACAGACATAGACTTGGGAATCATCGAGACCCCTAAGGTCATTGAATCCATGAGTCTGCCTAGGAAGATAGTGCAGAATGAGAAGGGGGAGCTGAGTCTTGAGCCTGGAAGATTCCCAATATTTATGCTGTAGGCAGTAGAAAATGAGCTGCCATGGAGTCTGAGAAGAAGTACAAAGAAAACCTGAGAAATGTAGCCTTTCCAAAGCCAAGGGAGGAAAGAATTTCAAGAAAGAGGAATGATGAATAAGATAAGGGCTGAAAAGTGTCCATGGGCTTTAGTCACAGACATCACTGGTGATTTAGGAAAGAGATGTTTCAGTTTGGGGCAAAAGTCAAACTGGTGTGGATTTTGGAGTAAGAAGGTGAGGACATTTTTAAAAAGCTGGCTGGGAAGGGAAGAGGTGTGGAAGGTGGTAGCTGAAGAGCAATGTAGCCTACAGGGAGGCCTGGTGTGTTAGTCAGGGTTCTTCAAAGAAGCAGAACCAATAGATATATACAGAGATATAAGAGGAGATTTATTATGGGAATTGGCTGACACAATTATGAAAGCAAGAAGTCCCGCAACCTGCCATCTGTGAGCTGGAGAACTAGGAAAACTGGTGGTGTAATTCAGTCTGAGTCTGAAGGCCTGCAAACCAGGAGCTCCTCTATTTGGGGGCAGGAGAAGATAGCTGTCTCAACTCAAGAAGAGAGAGAGAATTGACCCTTTCTCTGCCTTTTGTTTGTTTGTTTGTTTGTTGTTTTTCTATTTGGACCCTCAACAGATTAAATGGTGCCTGCTCACAAGTTGGTGAGGACAGATCTTTACTCAGTCTAATGATTCAAATGCTAACCTCTTCCAGAAACACCCTAACCCAGAATAATGTTTTACCGGCTATCTGGGCATCCCTTAATCCAGTCGAGTTGCTACAAAATTAACCATCACAGTCTGCTTGATTGTTTTCTTTTTAATGGAAGAGACTTTAGTGTATGTGATTCTTCAAGGAAAGTAGACAGGAAGAGTTAAGTATCGAGGTTAGAGAGGGGATTCATGATAAAGAGAAATTCCTTTTTTTCTTTTTGGAGATAGGGATCTCACTGTGTTGCTCAGCCTGGAGTGCAGTGGTGCAATCAGCTCTCTGCAGACTTGAACTCCTAAGTTCAAGTCATCCTCCTGTCTCAGCCTCCCAAGTAGCTGTGACCACAGACATGTGACACCACACTAGGCTAATTCTTTTTTTTTTTTTTAATTTTTAGGGATGAGGTCTCTCCACATTACCCAGACGGGTCTCAGACTCCCGGGCTCAAGCAATCCTTCTGCCTCAGTCTCCCAAGTAGCTGGTATCACAGGTGCATGCCACTATGCCTGGCTAATGAAGAGAAATGTGATGCTGAGCACAGGTGGAAACACGAGCTTTCGACAGGAGAGGGACCCCTCTTCACCTTTAGACTAGATCTAGCAACCACCTATTAGAGAGAATGACCAGAAGGATGTCAGGTGGCAGATCAGTGGCCTACACTCTTAACGTTTGGCAGAGATAATCCACACAGACAAATTAGAGTTGCCTGAACTTGAAATATCTAAAATAATAAAACTCTCAAAGTGGCATTTCAGGGACTCTGACACACATCCGCAGTGACCCATGATGGTACAGGAGGGGTTGCCAATGACCCTGAAATGCTACTGTATGGTGCCTGCCTAGTGCTAATGGGAGATGGAACTCTTGCCTGAAGAACAGGCCCACTGGGGAGGTGCTGCCCTCCCAGGGGTGCTGGGCAGGGGTCTTCCCTTTGGGGACTGATTGCAAGGTTCCTCTGACAGGGCCTTTCCTTGCCCACTACCATTTTTCTTCATTATTTCTGCTATGTCACCCGTCATGTTGTCAGTTTCCTCTCAGAACGGCGATAAATGGCGCCTCTCATGTGCTGTCCTTAGGGGACACCTGTTATTTATTTCCATGATGGGCAAGATGCCATGGCTAATTAAGAAAAATTGTGGGCTGTCCACAGCCAATCCATAGTTGCCTGTCAGCTCAGCCCTACAGTCCTTCACCCCACATTGGAGCCATTTTCCCCACTGAGAGCTTTTGGGGGTCAGGAGATGAGAAACAATGGACGCCCCTCCCTTCCTTCATCCCTGAAAAGTTCCACACCCCATTTCCTGCTAAAGTACATGGGAATCGTAGGCCTATGCTGGAGGCCTCTTCCAAGCCTCAGACCCCTGAGGGCAGGGGGAAGTCAATCAGGGCCTTTCCTTCTGTTCACCCTAAGAACCCTGGAGACACGGCCGGCAGAGGAGTGTTCCCTCCCTCGTGACCTGGCAGGGAAAGAAAGGCAGGTTTCTGGCCAGGGCCACACAGACACAATGACCTAGAAAAACGAAATGACACCTTGCTCCTGCACAGGTTACCTGACTCAGCCTAGTCTCGGCTTCTCTAAACAATAGATGTTGCCGGCTGCACCTTCTGGAGTCCCCAGATTTCCAGGCCCTGTAAAAAGTGGTAGAAAGTTGGTGTGTGGGAGTCGGGGGAGAACCTACTCAGGAGAGGCAGCTCCTGGCCTCTGGGGAGCGAATGGTAGGGAAGGGACTCAAGATGAAATGGGGCAGGGCGCAGTGGCTCACATCTGTAATCCCAGCACTTTGGGAGACCAAGGTGGGTGGATCACTTGAGGTCAGGAGTTCAAGACTAGCCTGGCCAACATGGTGAAACCCCGTCTCTACTAAAAATAAAAAAAAAGTTAACCAGGTATGGTGGCCGGCGCCTGTAATTCCAGCTACTCGGGAGGCTGAGGTGAGAGGATTGCTTGAATCCAGGAGGTGGAGGTTGCAGTGAGCTGAGATTGCACCACTGCCCTCAAACCTGGGCAACAGAGCGAGACTCAAAAAAAAAAAAAAAAAAAGTTGCTGTGGGGTTTGGTGGAGGTTAGAATGGGGCACAGAGGGATGTGGATGAGTCTTTCTCTCAAGGCTTTTTTTTCTTTGGGATGCAGTTTCACTCTGTGGCTCAGGCTGGAGTGCAGGGGCACCATTATGGCTTGTTGTAGCCTCAACTTCCCAAGGTCAAGCAATTCTCCCACCTCAGCCTCCCAAGTAGATGCGACTACAGATGCACACCACCATGCCTGGCTAATTTTTAAATTTTTTGTAGAGATGGGGGTCTCACTATATTGCCCAACCTGGTCTTGAGCTTTTGGTCTCAAGCAGTCCTCCTACCCTGGACTCCCAAAGTGCTGGGATTATAGGAGTGAGCCACGTGCCTGGCCTGAAGAGTTTCTTACCTAAGGGGGTGTCATACTTCTGGGAGGATATGAGTGGAGGCTTGCCCAGGACAGGAGAATTGCCTGGATATTTCCTGTGCTCTTGAGACCCTGGATATTTTGAAATTCTTTGCGGGAATTTTCTTATAACTTCAGATGCCCAGGTGGTATTCTTTATAGTCCTGACAAAAGAGGCAAAAGGCATAGGGGAAGGGAGAGAGGCAGGTGTGACTGGCCTTGGGAAAGCTTTGGCTGAAGATTGGATCAGCGATTTGTGCCCTAAATGAAGGCTGGGGAAACCTGAGTCCGGTGCCTGGAACTGCGATATCACTCATCATGACTTCTCCCTCTGTCTGGCTTGCACGACTTCCAGCCCTCCCTGCTGGTCAGGCTATCAGAGCACTGCCCGAGAAGAAATTACATTGTACTCAGAGACGCGATAACTTCAGAGCAGCCTGTTTTCTTCACACTGGGACACAGTGCAGCCTCCCCCTTTTGTCTCCACTTTGATTCACATTGTACCTATTTTAACACACAGTCCAGGACAAAAGTCCAGTGTGTGTGACTCCCTCCTCCAGCTCACCCTCTGGTGCTGCTCCCTGCCCACATCGGCAGAGATAGGCACACCCTGCAGTGATGTGATCTGGGGTTGACATCCTAAGGACCCGACTGCTTCAGGAATTGCAGATGTTCCCATTAAAACCAGCAGGGCTAATCTGAGCACAAGTTGCTGTAATGCTGAAGGAAATAACAGTTTGCTGGGTTTCTCTGACTCCCCAGGTCCAGGAAAGAGAACATTTACAGGGAGGAAAAGGAACAAAGAAGAGAAAGGAAAGGAAGTCTACACACATGGCTGTGTGGTTTTGGCCCTTATTTCACCCAGACGAGGCCAGTGGCGATTGCATACTGTTTTCTGCACAACCAGATCTGCACCTAGTCTTATAGCTGCACAGTTTTGTGGGCAGACACAACTTCTAGACATCACCGGGAAACCACAGGAGGAACCTTGTGTTCTAGATCCATCTGGGGGATGAGGGTTACCCCCAGCCAAGTCCAGACCAGCCTGGGTTCTGTTGCCTTGGGTGGAGGGTCCCACGGGCCGGGGGAGGATGCTCAGGCAGCAGGGAAAGACAGATGGGAAAGAAGCCCTTTATCATCCCTGGATATCTAGACCTTTTGAAACATTCGGTCACTATTTTTTGTTTTTTTGGTTTTTTTTTAGGCAATGCTGTCTCTGAGCATTGGCCAGTTCTTGAAAGGTCGGCTGTTAGGGTGAGCAGGATTTGCAGAAAACAAAGGGAAAGAAGTATACTAAAGAAAACAATACAGAGACTCAACAAGACTTGAAAACTCTAGAAATCTGAAACTCATCTGGCAGACTTGAGACTGTGACTCTCATCATGAAGAGTTTATGGCAGAGCAAACACAGAGTGCAGTGGGATAGGGAAGGCGGACATAGTAGAGTCCCTTTCAGCTCCCATCCAGTCCAGAGTGAGCACCCTCAGCTCACCCAGGCTGTAGAGTGAGCCCCATGGGGTGACTGCAGCTCTGCCTGGCTCTGCCATGGTCTGAGCCCTTGGGATCCCAGCTGCCTGTTCCAGCCACACTCAACTCATAGGCAGCTCTGACAATAGCTTTTCCCACAGGATCAGCCCCCTTCAGAGATGACTTCTCAGTCTCTATGAGGACTTGTGTGTGTTAAAGGGCACACAGTCTGTAATATAGGTATAAATGCAGCATCTACTTCGGCAGAGTTTTTCTGAATCTCCATAATTCTGGATACATTTTCTCCAGGATTGGGATTCTCCATCCAGGTCTCTCATTACTTCTGTCTTGAAATCTATATTCTTCTTTTCTCAATTCAGTCCATTTCAGAGAGCAGATGATATTTAAACTGGGCCTTAACATGTGTCTAAGAGTTCACCAGGCAGATGGCATTTGCTGTTGCATTCACTCACAAGCATTCGTGCCTGATTCTGAATGCCAAGCACGGTGCAAGCATTGGGTTTACAAAGACGAGGTCACTGACTTCAAGGAAGATACAATTTAATGCAG
Organism: Homo sapiens; assembly: GCF_000001405.40. NCBI lineage: Eukaryota > Metazoa > Chordata > Mammalia > Primates > Hominidae > Homo > Homo sapiens. The sequence continues at coordinate 115,568,036 of NC_000011.10, forward strand.
GAGACAGACATAGAAATAATTAACTATGATAGAAAGCTGAATGGAATAAGGGCTAAATAGCAGCATTTGAAATGACTTCTGCCTTGAGATTCAATCTGCTGCTGTCTGAGTCTAGGCTGAGCCCCTGGCTACCTGAGAAGTATGTCTATTGTCCTCTACCTCTTCTGAACTAACTCAATATAAGTCAACCTTTTATTTCTTCCTCTGAATGTCTGCCCTATTCCTCCTGCGAAGAATGCCTTGATGTAGACTTCTTTCAACCAAATAACAATAATGATCAATTTCTGAATGCCCAGTGATTCACAAATATCTTTGGGCCTTGGAGAAGTCATCGTATTAATAAGTGTGAGAACCTGGATTTACATCCCAGTGTGTGGAATCTTAAGTGCTCTTACTACTACGTCATCATATTCCCTTATAAGTTGAATTTGGGGTTGAATTGAACTACTCAACACCAATTTGGAATGAGATGGGGTGAATATATATATATATATATATTTTTTTTTAATCTCATTTAATCCTTGCAGCAATCTTATGAGTTCACGATGATATATACTTTCTTGGAAGTATAGAGACGTATCTTGTTTAAAATTAAGAGTGATAGTAATACTGGACAATTCCATAGTGCTTTAAATTTTCCAAAGATCTTGCACACACATTATATCATCTCATCCACTTAACCACTTACATATACAGTCAGACGGCACCAACATTAGTTACCCCAAATATATCATCTATTCAAATAACTCATTCACGGCAGGCATTCTTCTAAGTGCTTTACGTATATTAATTCATGAGACCCTACAAGAAGTCATGGTTAGCCAGGTGTGGTGGCTTATGCCTGTTATCCCAGCACTTTGGGAGGCCAAGGTGGGTGGATTGCCTGAGCTCAGGAGTTCAAGATCAGCCTGGGCGACAGAGTGAAACCCTGTCTCTACTAAAATACAAAAAATTAGCTGGGCATGGCAGCATGTGCCTGAAATCCCAGCTACTTGGGAGGCTGAGACAGGAGAATCGCTTGAACCTGGGAGGCAGAGGCTGCAGTGAGCTGAGATTGCCCCAGTGCTCTCCAGCCTGGGTGACAGAGCGAGACTCCATCTCAAATAAAAAAAAAAAAAGAAGTCATTCTTATGATTACCATTTTAAAGATGAGGAAACTGAAATACAGAAGGGGTAAGTAACTTGCCCTGGATTACAGAATCAGTAAGTGCAAAACTGGAATTTGAACCCAGGCAGTCTGTCTCTTAAGTGCTGTGCTATACTAAGAAGGATTCCTTCTGCTATTTTTTGAGCCAGGTGTCCTAGCTATAAGGAGTCAACTTTTTATCCCAGTTCCTAGCTAGCTGAAAAATCCAAAGCTTGTATGTTTGACTTATGTCTTAGGTGTTTCTAGGGGCAAGATGTGCTGTAAGTCTTGAGAGGTGACCAGGTAGCTCTAGGCAAAAAATGTATATATTAGGCATGAAGTTGTATAAGAGCATGACATTTTGGGGGAGCAGCATTCAGCAGGCTTGGTTATGGGTGCATAGGCTAGAATAATGTAGATGAATATGGAAAGTAACGTGGTACCAGATTGTACAGGGTCTCATATGCCATGCTAAGGAATGATCACATTATGCTGAAAGTGATGGGGATCCATGGAAGAACTTTAAGGAGGGGATTATAACTAACAGATTTTTTCTTTAGAAAAATTGTGCGGGGTGCAGTGGTTCACACCTGTAATCCCAGCATTTTGAGAGGCTGAAGCAGGTGGATTGCTTAAGCCCGGGAATTTGAGACCAGCCTGGGCAACATGGAGAAACCCTGTCTCTACAAAAAATACAAAAAAATCTAGCCAGGTGTGGTGGCACTCGCCTGTAGTCCCAGCTACTTGGGGGGCTGAGGCAGGAGGATCACCTGATCACCTGAGCCCTGCAGGTGGAGGCTGCAGTGAGCTGAGATTGCACCACTGTACTCCAGCCTGGGCAACAGAGCAAGACTCTGTCTCAAAAAAACACATATTCTTGTATCAGTATGGAGGATGAAATAGAGGGGGAGGAGGCCAGATACCACAAAGAGCCTTTTGCAATGGTTCAAACAAGAGACAATGAAATTAGACAAGCTGTGAGGTGGTGACTACCATCAAGCTAAGGCACTAGCATGGAGAATAGAGAAGATGGGATAGGCTTGAGGGCTATTTGAGAGAAAGAGACAAGACTTTGTAAATGGGTTAAAGAGAAGGAGAGGGAGGATATGTGATTATTTCTCACATTTTTCTCTTGACTAACTTGGGAGATGGTGATACTATTAACTAAGGGAATATGAGCGTAATAGGTTTTTATGGGAGAGATGATCAGTCTGGTTTTGAAAACTTGATCTTGAGGTGCTCTAGGGAAATCTAGTTATAGGTACTTAGAAATAGTAGCTGTTTCTTACAAACCAATAAATAAAAGAACATCTTTATAGAATAAAATGGACAAAGTAAACAAAACCACAATTTTCAAAGGGAGAAATACAAGGAACAATTAACAAAAAATTAACAAATAAAAACTGAAATTCTTTTGAAATAATGATAAAATAAATGGGCAAAATGAAAAACAATGCTATTTTGTATTCTTGGTAAGGGTTTGGGAAAACTAATATTCTCGTCCATTGTTGGTGAAGAACATACATTGGTACAATCTTTCTTTTGAGGACAATTTGACCAAATGTATGAGCAACTTTTTATTTTTATTTTTATTTTTATAAAGACAGGGTCTCACTGTGTTGTCTAGGCTGATCTCGAATTCCTGGGCTCAAGTGATCCTCCTGGTTTGGCCCATCCCAAAGTTCTGGGATTACAGACATGAGCCACCATGCCCGGCCTTGCTTATGAGCAACTTTAAAAAGGTTTGTATGTTTGAACACAGCAATTTAGCCACAAGAATGCCATCACCATATTGTTTATGATAGTATAAAATATTGGACAAGGCTAATGTGCAAAAATTAGAAGAAAAGTTTAAAAGAATTTTGATAGTCATGTCATGAAATACTGTGCAGTTATTAAAATAATGGTGTAGGATTATACTTAGTGATCTGGGAAGACTACAACAAAAAATAATCACCAAGCAATGTTTAATTATGTCAATAATATTTGGTCAATATGTATGGCCAATATTTTAGCAAAAAAGATAGATTTTTATACCAAATATTTAATATTTTGCATACAAATGTTTATAAAGTTAGAGATACATCAAACTATTAGTAGTGATTATTTCTGGAAGTTGGAATTTCAGGTTTTTGCCTTTTGGATTTTCTTTGTTTCCTTGCATTTCCCAATTTTCTACAGAAATCACGTATTACAGGCCAGGCACGGTGCTCACACCTGTAATCCCAGCACTTTGGGAGGCCGAGGCAGGCGGATCACCTGAGGTCAGGAGCTAAAGACAGCCTGGCCAATATGGTGAAACCCCGTCTCTACCAAAAATACAAAAATTAGCCAGGAGTGGTGGCGGGCACCTGTAATCCCAGCTACTCAGGAGTCTGAGGCAGAAGAATTGCTTGAACCCGGGAGGGCGGAGGCTACAGTGAACCGAGATCATGCCATTGCACTTCAGCCTGGGCAACAGAGCAAGACTCCAACTCAAAAAAAAAAAAAAACAAAAAAACCCAAAAATCGTGTATTACTTGTGGAATTTTAAACAGTAACTTAAAAGTCTAAAGTTTTGGGTAATCAAGATTACTTTTACAGAAGGGATGATTCTGAAGCTTAGCAGGTGATGAGTACTAAAGGTGAAGAATTGGGAGTCACTGGCTTATAGATGAGAGTGGATGAAACAACCCAGGGAGAGCAGGCAGAGAGTGAAAGCAAAAACTAAGCTGGATGCTGTGGCTCACACCTGTAATCCCAGCACTTTGGGAGGCTGAAGTAGGTGGATCACTTGAGCCCAGGAGTTTGAGACCAGCCTGGCCAACATAGTGAGACGCTGTATCTACAAAAAATAAACAAAAAAAACTTAGCCACACATGGTGGTGCGCAGCTGTAGTCCCAGTTACTGGGGAGGCTGAGGTAATACGATCTCTTGAGCCCAAGAGGTCGAGGCTACAGTGAGCTGTGATTGCACTACTGCACTCCAGCCTGGGTGACAGAGTGAGACCCTGTCTCAAAAAAAAAAAAAAAAAAAAAAGCAAAAAGTGAGCCCTGGAGATTAACAAGATTTATGGAGTTAGTGAAGGGAAATTCATTAAGATTTCCTGAGAAAGAGTAGTAGGAGGAATGGTGGTTGATCAAAAGCAAGTCATGCTCTGTGATAAAGATCAAAGAAGAAGAAGGTTTCTTAAAGAATGAAGTGATCACTGTGGTGGGCAACAAAGAGGTCCAGTAGGTTGAAGGCTGAAGGGCGGTTGTCGGGAGAAAAAAAAGCAGGTTGGAGAGCTCTTGGATGACTCTGGTCTGGGCTGGGTGTTGCTGCACAGTGAAACATTGGAGATGGCAAGTGGAGTTTACTCTCTGAAGGATCTTTGTGGGTAGGAAGGCAAGAGGACATGGCTTTTGGGGCGGAAGCAGAGTTGAATAATGGGATGTTTTTAACAGAAGAGACTTGGGATGTAATTAGGTTGAGTTAAGGGAGCCATTATTAGCAAAGAAATTGAAGAGATGAGGGAAAGTGGGGATGAATAATGGACAAGATTGGAGGGATGTGGGAGAGGAAGAGATAAGCGTACATGTGGGTGGATTGGCCTGGAACTGAGAGAGTGGCTAGTTCTGGAAGAGGGAGGATCCGCCCTTTTCTGCGGGGGAAGAGGGAAGGCATCCTGAATGCTGAGCTGAGCTGCCCACATCCACACATCAGGACTGTAGGATGTGTCCTCCCAGCTGCTGGGTTTCCCCTCTTCTTTGAGAATGGCCTCAGTTGAAGAGTCGCCTTAAGCAAGGCCACAGCTCTTCCTGGGGCCTCCCACATCTTGCTCTCAGAAGGGTCCTCTGCCTGGTTAAAAGCTCTGCTGAGACTATCTTGAAATTCTCAGTGATTTTATCTTTGAATTTGTGTTTTGTTAATCTGATGGGACAATGGAGCACACGTGTGAACAGAGGGAAAACGGCCCAGATGAATGCCCCACATTTCTTGCTACCTCCTTTGGATACAGCATTCAGGATCACCGTGAAACTTCCAGAACATGCTTAATTTGTACTCATTTTGAGTCTCGCTGCGTTCTCATGTATCGTGCCTTCACAGAATTCCGTGCTCATGCTTCCTATCAACATGTCTATGACCGAGTAAGCAAGACACTTGCAACCCACCAGGCCATACTTTTCATTCATCCAGAACTTGCTTTGAACTCAGAAAGAAGGCAGTGGCATTCTAAGAAGCGCAAACAACCAAGAAGCCCTATCATATCCCTTTCTATGTGCATTACTTTCCTGTATTAGCCAACCACTTATCCTGAAAATGATGACATATGAGGAAAGCGAAAAACAGAGCAACACATATTTCCTTTCCCTTTCAGTCTTTGCTTATTCACCAGTGAGCCAAAGGTAAGAAGTATTGATAGAATGTATGCATACCAAGAAGTGAAACAAAACCAGTTTTGTGCAGTATTTCCACTGTTCTGGTAAGAACAAGATACAAGTATATGCCCAAGCTATGAAATTCCAGTGAAGTGATTCTATATGTATGTGTGTGTGTGTGTATTCTTACATTTGCATCTAAAATTGGCATTGCACAACATAAAGATGAACAGTAAAATTTATGCTAATGGTTTAGAATTTTAACTTTACTTACCTCTCATGTTTTATAAGTAATAAAGTGGTTTTTTTTTTTTTTTTTGTCTTGAGACAGAGTCTCGCTCTGTCACCCAGGCTGGAGTGCAGTGGTGCAATCTCAGCTCACTGCACGCTCCGCCTCCCAGGTTCACGCCATTCTCCTGCCTCAGCCTCCCAAGTAGCTGGGACTGCAGGCGCCCACCACCACGCCTGGCTAATTGTTTTTTTAAGTAGAGACGGGGTTTCACCATGTTAGCCAGGATGGTCTCGATCTCCTGACCTCGTGATCAGCCCGCCTCAGCCTCCCAAAGTGCTGGGATTACAGACGTGAGCCGCTGTGCCTGGCCATAATAAAGTATTTTTAAAGAAAAAAGCTAATAGCAAAGATGTGGAATCAACCAAAATACCAATCAATGATAGACTGGATAAAGAATATGTGTTACATATACACCATGGAATACTATGCAGCCATAAAAAGGAATGAGATCATGTCCTTTGCAGGAACATGCATGGAGCTGGAAGCCATTATCCTCAACAAACTAATGAAGGAACAGAAAACCAAACACAGCATGTTCTCACTTATAAGTGGGAGCTGAATGGTGAGAACACATGAACATATCAGGGGGAACAACACACCCTGGGGCCTATGGGGGGAATAGGGGAGAGAGAGCATCAGGATAAACAGCTAATGGATACTGGGTTTGATACCTAGGTGATGAGTTGATCTGTGCAGCAAACCACCATGGTACACCTATGTAACAAACCTGCACATCCTGCACATGTACCTCAGAACTTAAAATTCAGGAAAAAAATAAACAAATAAATAAATAAATAAATAAGCTTTACAGGTGTGGTGGCTCACACCTGTAATCCTTGCACTTTGGGAGGCTGAGGCAGGAGGATTGCTTGAGTCAGAAGTTTGGATCAGCCTGGCAATACAATGAGACCCCATCTCTACAAAAAATTCTTTAAAAATTTAAAAAAGAGAAAAAAGAAAGAAAAAACTTTATAGGCGAGTATATTAAAGAGTACTTTTCCCTCCCTGCTCTTTGAACAAGGGGTCCTGAATTTTCATTTCCCACTTGGTCCACAGATTATGCAGCTGGCCCTGGCTGGGAGCCTTGGGCAAATTACCCAACCTTAGTTTCTTTATCTGCAAACTGATGAAAAAGATGAAGACAGTTAATATATATAAAGGGCTTTCCATAGGGCCCAGCAAAAGTCATGCTATGTGTTTGCCACTGTTATCAGAAAAGTAACTGTGTGGCTGAATCTGGAGGTCAAGGAAGGACCAGAGGGGTGGTGGAGAGAAGATGGGAAGAGTTTGGAAGACTAGAGGTCTGGAAAAGGGAGATGCATGGTTCTAAAGGAGCCACAGGTAGAAAAATGAGAAATTGGCTTTAGGGATCAGGCTTTTTAAACTTAAGGGTTTGCTAATGAAACAGTTCTAGGTGATGACAAGATCCAGGGTGTTGCCATGGAAGTGGGTCACTTAAATGAAATGAAGGTGAAATTTGTCGGTCGCGAAGGAAATCAAGAAACTGCGAGTTCAAGTTATTAGATGAGGCACCTGCTTGGAAACTGAAGCCATTTGGGATGATGACAGAGATTTGGGTGGGAGGAAGACAAGTGCTAGCGGTGGAAGTTCTGTAGGAATCTGCGAGAGTGACTGAGGTCAGCAAATGGCTTCAGTGGGACTGAGAAGAGTGTGGCAAAGGGAAGAGCAGTTGGATGTTGGAGCTCAAAAGAGGAGGAGCAATTGAACGGAGCTGTTTGTTTCAACATGAGGTTTTGCTCCAAAAGGCTGAAAACAATAGCAGCCAACATTTAATATAGAAAGTACCAAAAGCATATCCTTGATCCCAAAGGCAAGTAGAATGAAGCCCAGGACTAATAGGAAAACACCAAGCCCTGATTGGTAGGTAATAGGGTCACAGACAGAAATGTGAGCCAAAGATCAAAGAACAGCAAAGCAGAGGAAGCATGGGAACACAGAGAGTTGGGAGATAAGTGGGGAGAGGTCCAATAATTGGATAAGGCCATCAGACTAATAAGGGATCCAGTTAAATGTCTGGTCATCCTGCTGGCTACAGACATTGTACACAGCGTCTGGGAGCCTGGAGGAGCTGTGGAAAGTCCATTTTACCTCTGCCCCGCAGCGGGCATCCCTTGCCGCCAAGTTCTCTGAAGGCAAGCAGCCCACCTCCCATCAATGAAATGGTGAGCAAGTGATAAAAACATGTCCAGAACATTTCTCTGTCTAAATCAAATTGTAGCTGGTCTGAGTGCTCGCTTCAGCAGCATATCCACTAAAACTGGAATAATACAGAAAAGATTAGCCAAAAAAAGAATTATAACTGGTCTGACACCCCCGAGGTTGCCAATGTCTGCATGTTTTCAGAATATTCTCACATAAAAAACAAACAAACAAAAAACAGCAACAACAAAACTTGGGCTTCTCAGGTCTCAGAAGGTGGAAGTGAGGTGTCCTCTGTTTGGTCCTGTCTATGATGCTCTTGGCTGTGCTCCTCATCCAGGTCCACACAGGTGAACTGATACCATGGAGACTCCCAAGACCATGGCCTGGGTGCTCAATCCTCACGGACACCCATGGAGCCCTCCAGAGCCACCTGATCCTCCCTCCTCAGAAGATCTGCATTCCCTGGGGTTCAGGTATCTGCCTCGATGGAAACCACAGGCCTCTTCCTTCTCCTCCTTTCCCTTCCTGAGTATCTGGCTATCCTCTTCAGGGTCAGAGGTAGGCCCTCCTCCTCAGCCAGCCCTTTTCATTTCAAACCCCACACTACACACCCACCAGGTTTCTCCCCTATATGTCAAACCGCATTTAATCGCTTGGTCGTTCCCGAGTTTAGCAAAAATAATGGCATCTGGCAACTTCTCCTTTGTTCTATGAAACAGAGGTAAATGTTATTAACCGAATAAAGAAACTTAGACCTCAAGGACACAAAAACCTGGAAGAGAGATAGAAGGAGGGGTGGGGAGGAGGAAAGGAAATACCTTTCGTGCCTTTGTGTTGAGCCTACTGCAGAGAAAAACAAGACACAGGTAATTTCTGAGTCAGTTATTCTGCTCCATTAAAGTCTCAATAAATTGCCTTGCTATAATGCAAACTCTCTGGAATGTGAGCATGGTCTTTGGTAGATTCAGGATTCACCCCTGGAGGGGAGCATAATGAAGACATGGAACTAGTTAGGTGTCCCAGAGGCCTGTCATGGTGGCTGGGGGAAGATGTCTGAGTCTGAGACAGGAGCTGACCAGGCCTTGGGCATCTGATCCCCCAGAGGAGCCAAGTTCTCACTGTGCCCAGTGACCTTCCCGCAGTTCCTCAGAAAATGACATTAAGCCCAATCACATGTGTTCAGGCATACAAATGGATATCAGAAAGCATTTGCCTGAGGTTGGGGGTGAAAAAGAGAATGTATTTCTGAGCCAAATACAATAAGCAAAGTGTGCAAACCTTCTCAGGATTGCTTATTAGCCAAGGGAAAAGGGAGTTAGGGAGAGTGATTGGGGAAGGAGATGAGGCTGGGAGTCCTGCAGCCACAGAATCTGAGCAGATCCTGGTCTTTGCTCTCATTTCAGGTAACAAGATGGAAAAGTTAGAGCCCTTTTATTATTTTTTTTTTTTAATGAAGAAAACAGCCCTCTTGGGTTTCTCACTCCCAGTTAACACTCACCACACTACCTAAGCTCTTAACTCAGGGCCAGGGTCAGGGAGAAACTCTGAAAATAATAGCAATGGCTGCATTTTGCCCAGAAGCCACATCTTTTTTCTTTGTGCTTTCCTTGTTTTCGCCTCATTCATTTCCAGAAGTGGTAGCAGGTCCATGCTTTTTGTTTTCGGTGGCTGTGTGTGTGTGTGTGTGTGTGTGTGTGTGTGTGTATGTGTGTGTGTCTTACAACCCTGGCAAGGGGCATAAGTAAGAAAATCAATATTTGTTTCAAATGTGAAATTTACAGGAAGGGCCTGGGGGAGGAGAGAGAAGTTGAGGCAGATGACTGGAATGCTCAGAAAAGAGGGGCCTTTTTGGAGGATGGCCAGCCATCCCCTGAGAGAGGAGCCCACCTCTGAGGGAGGGGCTGTCCTCCAGCTGCTCAGGCAACAGACTGAGGCCTCGCTCGGGGAATGGCTTCATGGAGGGCCAGGCTGAGACTGTGGTGCAGGGGACCACGGGCAGGAGGGGAAGCTAGGAGTGAGGCTGGTAGGTGGACTGGGTGGGCCTAAAGGATTTCTTTTAGGGAAATGGTGGGGACAGCTGTGTACTGCCCTGGAAATATTGCTTTTGATGAGATTGTCAACATTGCTTGACAGATGCACCACCAATCTTTAGCCAGATAATTCTCTGGAACCATTAAAGATACCCTGGGGACTGTCCAGTCTGTGGGCTGCAGTGTTGACGGCTGCCACCCTAATGACATCAAAGACAACATCGATGGCGGCGCAGAGGAGTGCCCAGCTAGGTAAAAAGTACAAAGGAAAATATTTCGATAAAGGACCATTTGACAACTAGTAACATAAATAAATACATAAATAAATAATAATTAAGTAAATAAACTCACTCCCCAAGGGATAAAGTCACACTAGTGCCAGGGCAGGCTCAACATCCAAAGCTGGACCTTACAGACCATGGAGATTCTTAACTTCAGTTAGGAGGCAGGGCTTTGCTTCAGGGAGGTTCCTATACTTTGTCACAGGACCTCCTGCAGTGACTCAGCTACAGAGATGGCTACAGTCCTTGAGGGAGAGGCAGAGAAAGCTGGCAAGAGTTATGTAAGATGGTGGAACCCTGGCCATGTGGATGAAGATTCAGGGCCATTCTCTAGCCCCAGACTCTACCAGGGAACCAAAGCAGGAGCCCACTATGCTGTCTGGGCCATCATGAGTGGGGCCATCTGAACCTTGGTGAGTACCTAGGTCACCCAAGCCCACTAGATGCTGAACTGAAGATAGCAAAATTCAGACCGTGCCTCCTTGTATAGATGGAGCTGTCACACGCCCTATGCTGGGGTCAGCTTCTACTCAGAGTCTAGGAGAGTGTGAGCCTGCAGACGAAAGGTCCTTGAGGCCTACAACCGAATGGGACTGAAAGCTAGCAGGGGCTGAATAGACCCAGGGAGAGAGAAGGATGGGGAAACCAGCACACAGTGGCTCTTGCCATGAGGAAACAGCAGGAGACCAAGCTGCCTCTGCAAGTGGAGGAGAAGAGTATGGAGCAGAGCCACAGCCATGCAGAGCTCTGCTGCCAGCTGACCTTGGGATCCTCCGGAAATAACCCAACCTCCATGCACCCTAGTTTCCTTATCTTGGGGAAATCATATTTTATAGATAAAAATCTCATCTACAATGTAGGCTTATAAGAAATACTCTAAAAACTTCTTTAAATCAACTGGAACCCAGTTCTTGGTTCATATTCTTCTAAGCAAGTGGATAATTATTTCATCTTAGTCATTGAGGAGACTCCCCACCCTAGGGCTGTGCAAAGGTCCTGGGATCTTATGCAGTGCAGAGGCATCTGGAAGTCTTTTATTCATCCGGTGACTACTTTTTGACATCTGCTTGAACCAAACACTGTTCCCGGCACAGAATGTATGAGCAAAAGAGACAGAGTCTCTGTTCTCAAGAAGTTTACGTTCTGTAGGGGATGGTAAGAAAGGGGAGGTGTGTGTCCATGTGGTATGTATCAGATGGGGGTAAGGCAAAAGATGTGTAAACAAATGAATCAACCAATAAATATAATGATTTCAGGGAGAGGCAAATGTGGTTTTGCAGAACCCAATATATAACATACCTGTTCCCAGCCTGTGTTCTGAACGGTTGGAGAGACAGATATATGAGTCAGACAGTGGATACCCAAGCACCATGGCTAATCACAGCTAGGTTGGAGGATGTGGCTCCAGCCCACGGTTGGAGTGCAGCAACCATGAGCTTCATGGCACTGTACCCTGGAATTAGGCAGATTTGCACATCCAGTTTTAGGCAGTGATGGTTGACCACAGGCCTCCATCTGCAAGGGCAGAGCCTCTACCCCAAAGCCTACTTCCTGGCTTATAGACGATCAGCACTCATGTTCTCTGCCTGAAGTATGTCCCAGCAAGAAAGGGAGGGGCCCATGTAGTCCCAGGAACTTCTCCGAATTTGCCAACCAGATAAGACACACCTGCTCTGCGGAGGAATGGGTAAGGGCTGGGGAGACCAGTAGTGTTACTCTGTCTGATGGAAGGTCCTTCCCATGGAAGGGAACCTTGGGACCTTGTCCCCTCCTAATGCTATGGGGTAAACAGTGTAGGATGATAGGCTGGAGAGTGAGGGGTGGGGGAACATGGTGATTACTTTAGCCTGAATGGTTAGGAAAGGCACTCTGAGGAGGTGACATTTGATTAGAGACCCAGATGATGGGAGTGAGCCACTATGTGAATATTTGGAAAGGAGCTCTCAAGACGTGGGGGTGGGGGTGGGGGAAGTGGGGGGAGTGGGTGGAGGCTCTAAAGAGGGAGGGAGTTTGGTGTGTTCAAGGAGCAGAAAGCCAGCCAGCGCTGCTGGAGTGAGTGAGAAAACAGGCAACGATGGAGGCTAAAGTCAGTAAGATAGCAGAGGCTGGCCCTCTGCTTTGTCCTATTCTAATGGCAAATCGCAGCTTCTGAAGTTTTCTAAGTGCAAACCAATTCAGCACCAGGCAAGAGTCATCCTTCCAGAGAGCTCACCTCTCTTGATTCCCAGACTCATGTTTTTTCTGTTATCATGTGCGGTCTCTTCCCAGAAACAGAAGGATTTGTTATCCCTGCCCTATCTTCCTCAAACAGTTGTGTTGAAGATGAAAAGGTAGAGCCCGTGACAAAGCTCTGAAGAGTTACAAGTGCAGTTAACCAACTCCTAATTAGGCTGTAACCCTCCACTCTTGCCTTGCGGCTACGGGTTGTGGCCAGAGGCTCAACTTGGGGTCAGGCAGCCTAGGAAATTGAAAAAGAGGTAGGAGATCCAGACATGACAGAATCCAACCTCCCCACTTTTAGAGGAGTTCAGATCAGCAAGGAGAGGCAGACTGGTCAGGTAGCAGAAGAAGTGGGGTACACCCCAGGACTTTGGGTCCCTAGAGTCCTTTCCATTGCCCTCTGTGAAGATAATGCCTTTGTTTTGCTAACATAGGTTCCTTTCTTAAGTGCCAAGAATGAATGAATAAATAAGCACTCGTGGAGCCTCTATTACGTTTAAAGACTTTCTCTTTGTCCTGGCTCCACATTCAGTACCTCGCTTACTCTTTTTTCCTCTCCCCTCTGTCTCCCTCTTCCCCTCCCTTTCTCCCTCTTTTAATCTACTGTGATCTTGAGCCTCCCAGATACTCTGTTTTCCCTTCTACATCCAGGCCAATCGTAATTGCCCTCCCTATGGTACAGGGTGATTGTGAGATTTCAATGAGATAACAAATGCAAAACACTTTGTAAACTGTAAGGTTTTACTAAGCTGTAAGGAGAAATGTTTTTATCATTAGCCGAGGGAAGGTAAGAGCCCCTCAGGATGGGTGAGCAGCCCCTACTTGCATACAGATGCAACCTCCCCTGCTCTTGCTTGCCTGGACTCCCCCTGCCCTCCTACCAGTTCCCTGGCCTGTAGTTTATCTTCCTGCCTCTGTTATTTTTTCCCCCCACTCTGCTTCCACCCCCAAGCGGAACTCAGCCCAGACACAGCAGCTGATAGTTAGCAAAGTGCCTGCTTTTTAACCTAATTATCTCAATGGGCTTGCCTGGGGCACAGGGGGTCAGGGAATGGATGGGAGGTCACACCACAAGCCTCCAGGTCCCCTGGGAGTAGGCGGCTCCTCTGGCAGCCTCCCAGCACTCTGGCTGGCCACACCCTACACAAGATTTCAAATCTATGCTGGCCAGGAAGACAAAATAAAAACTCAGAGGAGTAGGTTCACAGCAAGGTTTCTCAACCTACTCTAATTTGGGCCAGACAATGCTTTGTTCTGGAGTGTTCTGAGCAGTGTAGGATGTTTAGCAAGATGGCAACCAAAACTGTGATAAACAGTGACGCGAACACACCCGCTCAACTTTTTCATTATTTTAGTGTTAATCTATGGGTCTATTCTCTAAATGCTGCCATTTTGCTCTTGATGTGCTGTGTGTGTGTGTACATGTGTGCACATGTGCGCCGTAGCAAATGACTGGAGGAGCTGTCCCCAGTGAAACGCAGATTGGCTCCGATGTGATTGATACACTGAACAACGTGAGCATAAAGCAGACTTCACGTTTGCTTATGCACGATTCTGGCCTCCAGAAACGCTAGGTGAACACAGAAAACTGAACCAGCTGCAGTGAATATACCAAACACACGCACACACATCAAATATCTTCAGAAAGAGGGAGCGTGAGCAAGCCAGCACACTTTCCTTGTCAAACTCCTGCACTTTTCCTTTTTTGCCCAGTAGATGGGGACGGGGTGGAGAAGAGCTGGTCTGGAGGTGGGGAGGCTGGGTGGAGTTGAGTTACAGCACCAAGAGCACCCTGGGCTATAAGGGAACTAGAATGCAGTTGTTAGCAGCAGCGAATCTGCATGGGTCTGCAGCAACCTCAAGTCTCCTCAGAAGAAAGAATTTGACCAAGGGGCATAAGGCAGAAGGAGAGACCCGGGCAAGCTTCAGAGCAAGAGTGGAAGTTTATTAAAAAGCTTCAGAGCAGGAATGAAAGAAAAGTACACTTGGAAGAGAGCCAAACAGGTGACTTGAGAGATCAAGTGCGTAATTTGACCTTTGATTTGTTTTTTGTTTTGTGTGTGTTTTTTTGAGATGGAGTTTCGCTCTTGTCGCCCAGACTGGAGTGCAGTGGCGTGATCTCGGCTCACTGCAACCTCCGCCTCCCGGGTTCAAGCAATTCTCCTGCCTCAGCATCCCTAGTAGCTAGGATGACAGGCGCCCACCACCACACCTGGCTAATTTTTTTGTATTTTTAGTAGAGATGGGGTTTCACTGTGTTAGCCAGGATGGTCTCAATCTCCTGACCTCAGGTGATCCGCCCGCCTCGGCCTCCCAAAGTGCTGGGATTACAGGCGTGAGCCACTGCACCCAGCCTGATTTGGGGTTTTATACGTTGGCATACTTCTGGGGTCTTGGGTTACCTCTCCCCTGATTCTTCCCTTGGGGTGGGATGACCACGTGCTCAGTGGCCTGTTAGCACTTGGGAGGGGAGCTTGCACAGCGTGTTTACTGGAGTTGCGGGCGTTCTTCCCTTACTAGTCCAGTGTTCCTAGAGGAAGGTCACATACCAGTTAAATGCTGCCATTTTGCCTCTTGGTGCGCATGCCTGGGCCCACTCTCCCAACTCCTGAGATCTTATCGGGCAGCTGCTGATCACCAGTTTCAGGTGTTTTGTTTGTTTTTGTTTTTGTTTTTTTTTGTTTTTGTTTTTGTTTTTTTGACAGTGTTGTTCTGTCACCCAGGCTGGAGTGCAGTGGTGTGATCTTGGCTTATTACAACCTCCACCTCCCAGGTTCAAGCGATTCTCCTTCCTCAGCTTCCTGAGTAGCTGGGATTACAGACACCCATCACCATGCCTGGCTAATTTTTGTATTTTAAGTAAAGACGGGGTTTCACCATGTTGGCCGGGCTGGTCTCAAACTTCTGACCTCAGGTGATCTGCCTGGCTTGGCCTCCCAAAGTGCTGGGATTACAGGCATAAGCCACTGCGCCCAGCCCCAGTTTCAGGTTTTTTCTATCTATTGAAACTGCCTTTCCCTGGCATTGGCTGTAACCAATTATTATTTTAGACAGCTAACAACTGCCTGACCATCACCTGATGGTCACCTGACATTCCTGGTGGTAGGGGGCCCTCTCCTGCCCTGTTCACACCTGACTACATACCGTAACAAAGTGATGAAGGAGCTAGGAGGAGGTAAAAATGGATAACTTGAACCAATGGGTAGAAATAAGAGAGCCAAGTCAACTGGAGAAGGATTTTGTAACAATCAGGGCAATCATGGAATGGATTGGTTGAGTGTTTCTCATTCCTGAATGAATTTAAGAGGAGGGTGTGTTGTGGAAGGGAGGACAACAATGGGTAGGTGTTTTGACTGAAAGACCCACATGTTTTTTTCTAACTTTGAGGTTCCATAATGTTGTGAAAGCTGCTGTAGGAAATGCCAGTTTTGAACAAGGAAGTGAGTTCCTAGAATGGGTGCATTAAGAGAATTAATCTGGAAGTTCTGAGAGACACATCAAAAGAGGTAGAAAGGCTCCCAGAGGAAAGGCCTCATTGCAGAGACCTAGTCATAAAATCATGGGGACATAAATATATGTGCCAAGGCAGAGACAGAAAGAATGTGGGTGAGTGGGTGCTAAGGAAGAGGAATGTGACGATCAAGGGGAGAGCTTTTTCCTGGGTCCTCTGAAGGTTCTCTGAAAAATCAACTCACAAAAGGTAGAATAATTAGAGAGAAGGCATACAAATTTATTTAATGTATGCACGGAGTATTCATGGGAAGGATCACAGAATAATTACACCTCAAGGTAGATCAGAAGCTTGTACACCATCCTGGCAAAATAGGTTATGAGAGGAGAGAGAAGAAGAATTCTGTTGAGGGGATTACTAAATGAACGGGTCAGGGAGCAGAGATCAACTTGTACGTAATCTTGCGAAAGGGGCTGTTCAGGTGTGGTGATATTCTTGGTCTTAGAGGGAGGGGAATTAAAAAACAACCGCTTCTTTTGATGGGTCTGTGCCTTAGATAAAGGCTTTGGGAGAGACGGTTGGGGCTGGAGGCCAGGGGGAAGGTCAGAGAGACCTTGAGGCTTCTTCAGTTTGTCATGACAAAGTACCATATTTTGTGGTATCAGTTTCTGAGCCCCAACAGGAACTAGCAGGATTTGGAATTGATCAGATTTGGGGAAAAGTGTGGAGAAGAGGAAGAAGTAATGAGGAGGGGGGACCCCCCACTGTCATAAACATAGATGACTAAAATGATGGTCAACTGTGGGGGAAGATGATAAGTGTGGTTTTATGCTATGCTATTTTTGAGAAGGTACGTGCTGTAATCTGTTTAATGATAGGTTTTATGCAGGAAACATCACTGTACTCTAGAAGCATCTAGCACGGTGCTGGGCACAGAACAGGCACTACATGATAATGGGTTGACTATTAGTTGCGAGGTTCCTGGTGACAAATCCAGGCCCAAATATCTCAGGCAGTGTGTGTGTATGTGTACATTTTCATTTCAGAGCTCTCGATGACTCATTTGGTGGGATAAACAAATTCATGTGCCATTCTGAGAGAGACCACGTTGGGGTGGGGGTGCGGAACAATGGGAGAGGCATTTTATAGTTCATCACGATATTGGTATCTACAGCTCATTTTGTACATAAGTATTAATAGCACTTCCAGGATTTAGACAAATTAAATGTTGAGTGACAGTGAGGCATCCAAGTAGAAAAGCCCAGAAGGCAGTTGGAGACACTCAACTGGAGCTAAGGGAAGAAGTCAGGGCTATTGCTTGAGATATGAGAGATGTCACACTTCGAGGAAGAAGATGGGAAGGCTGGAGAAGCAAGGGACCCACCTGAGCCTCAGGCAGGCCCAGTGAGAAAAAGGAGTGAGGGAGTGGGGAGTGGGAAGGCCAGTGAAGAAGGCAGTCCACTGTGTCCAGGAGGAGGCGGAGGGAGGAGAGAATGCTGTCAAATGCTGCAGGGGATGAGGGAGAAGAGCTCTGAAAAATGCATTTAATCCGGCACAGAGGTAGGTTTCTAGGTAACGGGGAGAATGTAGCTCTAACGGAGTGGTGAGGATGGAGTGCGTATCGCAGGGTGTCACCAAATGACTGGGCAGGAAGAAGACGAGAGTAGGGGTATGAATGGACAATTTTGTCTGTGAACGGAAAGTGAAATTTAGAGATGTGTGGTTAAAATAAGTGGTTCAGAATGTAAGACCTCAAATAATACAAAAAAGAGTTAAGAAGATGTCTTAAAGGACATTGAATTTGAGTTGGGTGCTAAAAAATGAGTGAGCTCTGGCTGGGTGGAGAGCAGTGAATGGAAGTTTCAGGCATGCATTTGCCTCATGGTAACATTCTGGAAATCCCCAGGGTAGTGAACTGAGTTTGAGAGGCAGAGCGCTTTGAACTGAATACAGTTCACGTCAACGGAGAGTGGGACCTGGTGCTGTTTGACTCCAGGGTCCTCTGATAGTTGGAAGAAAGTTAAATAATAGGTAGCAACTATCAGCTTATGACATACAAATTGTTGAGGTTGAAAGCTCAGGCCTTGGGGTCAGAGAAACAAACCTCTCGAACTAACTTGGAACATCTAGATCACTTAGGGTGCTAGGAGTGTGGCCTTGAGCTCCTTACTTATGAAATATACATAGTAATACCTCCTTCAAAGCGTCGTTGTAGGGCTTAATGAGTTTAACACAAATGGCCCAGCTAACCATCTTTTGTACTACAGAAAACTGATGTTAAGTGTTTTTGTTTTTTTTTTTTTTTTTTTTTGCGGAGTTTCACTCTGTCGCCCAGGCTAGAGTGCAATGAGTGGCGGCATCTCAGCTCACTGCAACCTCCACCTCTTGGGTTCCAGTGATTCTTCTGCCTCAGCCTCCTGAGTAGCTCAGATTATAGTTGTGTGCCACCACGCCTGGCTAATTTTTGTATTTTTAGTAGAGATGAAGTTTCACCATGTTGGTCAGGCTGGTCTAGAACTCCTGACTGAGGTTAAGTTTTAACCAAGGTTGCTCAGCCAGTATGGAGTGGGATGAGATCAAACCTAGTTCTCCAATGCCAGAGATTGTCCTCTTTCACTTGCTTTCCTTCTCCCTTCTTCACATTTGTTAACTACTTTTTATAGGCTGGACTCTAAGGGGTGCATGCATGTCTCTCTCTCTTTCTCTCCTGTGCCTTTAGTCACATGTGGTGGGAGTAGGGTGGAGAGATGGGTACAAGGATAAATAAGGCATAGATTCTGTCCTTGAAGTGCCCGTGGTCCAGGCTAGTGGGGAAGGTACTATGCAGAGAGGTAATTAAAATAAAATGTGATAAGCGCAAAAATAGACTATAAACAGAGTGTCATGGCAGCCCAGGAGTGAGATAAACTCTTCCTGGGAAAGCTGGGAAAGGCTGCATAGAACAGGTGATGCTCATCTTGGATCCTGAAGAATAAATCAGCATTTGTCAGATAGAGATCAAAGAAAAGGCATTGCAGGAGAGAAGAACACAATGCAAAGGCCTGGACTCCTGTGGCAGCCACAGCATGGTATGTTCAGGAACAGGGCAAGCTCAAAAGCTCAGCATTTGGGGTACATGTCAAGAAGAGAGGAAGATGAGGCTGAAAAATGAGGTGGGGCCAAATTGTCAAGGGAGAGTTTCATGGTGGGCCAAGGAGCTTGAGCTTTATTTTTGGGTGATGAGAAACCAGCAGAAGCCTTTGGTAGGGGAATGAGTAGGTTTAATTTTTTTTTTCTTTTTGGGAGTACCAGTTTCATTGACATACAATTCACAATTCACCTATTTAAAATGTAGAATTAAATGGTTTTTACTATACTCACTGAATTGTTCAACCATCACTACAACCAATTTTAGAATGTTTTCATCACCCCCCAGAGAAATTTCATATCCTTTAATGGTAAGAACACCCACCCCTTCTTCCCCCAATCTCTCTCCAGCTCTAGGTAACTGTTACAGTCTCATCTGTGCACCATGATGTTGCAGTCTCTTGTTGTAAGGTATCACCCCGAGTTCTTTGTCTCAAGACCAGGAGAATTAAGGAGCATGGACACAAAAAGTGAGGTTGAGGCGAAAGTTTCATAAGTGAAAGAAAGCTCTCTGCTGCTGAGAAGGGACCCGGAAGGGGGTTGCTGTTTTCACAGTTGAATGCAAAGGCTTCTATAGGAAACCGATGAGGGATTAGTGTCTCATTTGCATAAGGTGCAAATTTCTCGTCGCTCCATCCCGTCCTCCTAACGCACATGTGGGCCCTTAGCTTGAGTTACTCCATATTGCTTTGTTCCCCTTCCTGCGCATGTGTCAGGGGATGGAATTTTCTATTATGGGCATTTCCAGGCAAGTCACCTGTGTAGCCTTTCTTATCTGTGCAGCTGTGGGCATGTCTTAGGCAAGTCCTCCTGTGCAAGTTCCCTTATCTGTGCCTGCAGGCTGTTTTTTTGTTTGAAAATATTCAACCGAGGACCTACCCTAACTGCCTGCCTGCTTTTTTTTCTTTCTCCTCTCTCATAACCAGTTATCTACTTTCTGTCTCTATAGCTTTGCCTACTTTGGATATTTCTTGTAAATGAAAGCATATAATATGTGGCCTATTGTGACTGCCCTCTTTCACTTAACATAATTATTTCTCCGTGTTCTAATTGTGCTTCATTCCTTTTTATTGCCAAATAATATTCCATTGTTTTGGATATGCCACATTTTGTTTATCCATTCATCAGTTGATGAACATTTAGTTTGTTTCCACTTTCTGGCTAGTGTGAATAAAGTTGCTATTAACATTCATATACAAGTTTTAGTGTGGACCTAGGTTTTCATTTCTTTTGGGTATATACCTAGGACTAGAATTGCTGTATCATATGGTAACTCTATGTTTAACAATCTTATGAGAAATTGATGGACTGTTTTCCAAAACAGCTGTACCATTTTACACTCTCACCAGCAATGTATAGAGGTTCTAATTTCATTACATCTTTGCCAACTCTTGTTACTATCTGTCATATTTGTTTTTCAGGAGGCTTGCTAGGGCATCAGTTTGAAGGGTAGACAGGTGTAGACCCCTTAGGAGGCCGTTTCAGTGACCAACATGAGAGATGATAGCAGAACTGGCTGCCAATCTGGCTAATACTGTTACTGACTGTATAGACTTCTTGATCCAATTTCTCTCTTGTGGATCTACAAGTGCGGACTTGAGCATTCTACTGTGAGGAAGAAGTCTCCTCTCCCCTTCCATGGGGTCCCATTGAAGCCAGCAGGAAAGGATTTCAATCAAAGAAGAAATATACTTCTGGTGTTTACTGGTACTGTTCTCTTCGGTTACATGGTAGTTGTGAGGACTTTCCTAGCTCAGCTACATAACAGGGATTAAGGAATTTTGCCTTGTTTTCACAGGGAGGTACTCAAAATAGACAAAATCTTCTTTGGTCAGAGAATGAGATGGAAAAACAATCATTAACTCTGGAAAGCAGGATAATGAGTTCCTTCTTATGGGATTGAATCCAGTGGATAAAATTCTCTGGGCCAGCCTAGTCAAGACTCCAAACCGGCCTGGCACGGTGGCTCACGCCTGTAATCCCAGCACTTTGGGAGGCCAAGACGGGTGGATCATGAGGTCAGGAAATCGAGACCATCCTGGCGAACACGGTGAAACCCTGTCTCTACTAAAAAAACAAAAATATTAGCCGGGTGTGGTGGCGGGCGCCTGTAGTCCCAGCTACTCGGGAGGCTGAGGCAGGAGAATGGTGTGAACCCGGGAGACGTAGCTTGCAGTGAGCCAAGATCGCGTCACTGCACTCCAGCCTGGGTGACAGAGCAAGACTCCATCTCAAAAAAAAAAACAAAACTCCAAACCAGTACCACCTTCCAATATATGAAGCTCAGCTAACAAAAACACTCTCTGATGTAAGAGTTTCGAGAATGTCATTTTTCCATTTAAGTCTTTACTACGCTACCAGTATTCTCCAAGGTCCTGCGTTAGTCCCAGTCTCGCCTCTGTGCAGTGGCCACATGATGGTTTTCTGTTTTCTCAGGAAGGCTAAGGCTCACCTACAGATTCCTCTTGCCCTGAAGAGACAGTAGAGGCCCAGGAGACTTGGAGCAGTAACACTCAGTGTCAGTGAGCCTTCTTTCATTTGATGAATATTTATTGATTCTCAACCGCACGCTGTGCTCTGTGCTAAGTCCTCTTGAGCACTGAACAAGACAAACAAAGCCCCTACCTTCAGATAACTTTCAGTCCAGGCAGAACCTTCATAAAGGAAGAGAAACACACACACACACACACACACACACACACACACACACGACATTGAGAAAGAATATGTGTATGTGAGAATTTAGGCTTTAGTTAGAATGCAGTCACTTGCCCTTGAATTAGTTAGAATTGTTTAGCAAAACAGTACTCCTATCAGCATCAAAGGACTGTAGGGCTACAGGGCAGACTTCCCTCTCCTGAAACAAAATGGAAGGGCTTGCAGGTGTATGCGTGTGTGTGTGTGTGTGTGTGTGTATGTGTGTGCGTGCTTGCGTACACATGCATGGGAGGGGGTTCCTCCAGGCAGGAAAATCCAGAGGGTCCTAAAGCCTCTTCTCTTCAATCTCCAACCCCCACCCTCCCACTTCAAAATGTCTAGATTGTTACAGGGCAAAGGGACAGGAAATTGTGGGTCAGCAAAATCCCAAGTTTATAAAAATAAAGCACACACCAATGCAATAAAGTGTGTAAGACAAAGACTTTCCTTTAGAAGTGGGAGCTTGAAAGTGCAGGAGATCACAAAAAAACAAGGAAGCGATGCTTCTCTCCCAATTATTGTGCACTCTCAGCTGTATTTTGTTGACCTCGCTGATTTCAATCAGCTTTCAGCACATCCAGCCTTCACCTGCTATGAATCAAAACCTGGAGGGCTCTCTGTTCTCTGTGCTCAGAAAAAAAAAAAAACCCTTTGATAAGGTTGTTATGGATGCAAGGCAGAGCGGGTTGGGCTGGGTGCTTTTCTTAGCCTGGCATTACACATTTATGATGCAAACCAATGAAGAAGCAAGGGCTCAGAGCGCAGGGTCTGGAGAGGGGGGCCTGAGGCGCAGGTGGGGCGGGGTTTGCCTTAGGGGAGTCGCTCACCCCTGTTTGTCTTTCATTGTTGGAACAAAAGGCTGATGAGGGAAGGGCAGGTGCTGGAAGGCTGTGACCACAGGTCTCCTTTGAGGAGCTTAGGACTGTGAAGCTCAGTTTAGGACTTCTATCATGATCTCTGGGCTCCTCCATGGATTGACTTTTCTCTTAGGAAGGTGAATGGACTGACGATTTTGAGCACTAGAAACCTCTTTGGCAGAACATAATCTCCATGAAGGCAGGGATTTTTTTGTCTGCTTTGTTCACTCGTCTGATGTCTAGAAAAGTACCGGGCATAAAATAGGCATTCAATTAAGTATTTGTAGAATTAATGAACGGCTAGGCATCCTGGTTTTTAGGGCCACCCTGACAGGGGTGCATAGTATAAGATCATTTCTTCTTGGCTTTGGTGAATTTAGGAGCTTTTCTGGGCTCCAGGCTGCTATAGTGACTGCTGCTGGGGGTGGTTGGGGAGGATGATAGTGAGTGTGGGAGACAGATGGTGGAGGAAAATCAGGTGGTTCAATTAGCTTGTACTAAAAAATACAGATGCTCATATACATATCACCCACCCCGTAACCGTCTGCTCTTACCAAGGGAAAGAGCAGAACCCTCCTTTTCTGCTTTCTCCCACAATTAAACCCCCAAGCATATGATTTTTTTTCAAACTTCCTTTCTTCTTCAAGGCTACCCATAACATTACTTATTCCTATTTGGATGCTGGCTATTTATGTAACTTTGATTTTTCACCTCTAATATATCAGTTTTCTCATTTGCAAAATGGGCTTCATAAAATTGATCTCATCAAGTGGTCAAGAAAATAAATGAATTAATGTATGATCAAGCCCCTAGCACGTAAGAGCTGCCCCATGTATGCTAACATTGCGTGCCGTAGCTACTACCACTAAAACTAATTATTGTTCCTCAACACAAATATGAGTCTAAGATTGCTCTTTGTGATTCAGGCCTGAGGTGGGAAGAGGGAAGAGGAAGACAGCTGTTCTTGACTGGGACCATATTTCCTGAGGGCAGATGTCCCTCTTCTGATAACAGATTCCCTACCAGTCCTTTCTCAAGGCCCAGACTGATCAAGAGCCACCATTGGGTTTCTCCAAATGGTGGTGCCCAGGACACAGGGTGTTTTCAGTATTTATTTATTTATCTTTTGGGAGATGAAGTCTCACTCTGGCACCCAGGCTGGAGTGCAGTGGTGCAATCTCGGCTCACTGCAACCTCTGCCTCCCAGGTTCAAGCGATTCTCCTGCTTCCATCTCCTGAATAGCTGGGGTTACAGGCATGTGCCACCATATCCAGCTGATTTTTGTACAGTTAGTAGAGATGGGGTTTCACCATCTTGGACAGGCTGGTCTCGAGCTCCTGACCTCAAGTGATCCGCCCATCTTGGCCTCCCAAAGTGCTGGGATTACAGGCGTGAGCCACCGCTCCTGGCCCTGTTTTCAGTGTCCTCCAGTGACTCCCCTTACTTCTCCTTGGGAGCCAGGTCTCACCACTTAGTGCTTCTTTAATTCTCCCGACATCCCCTGCCATGTTTTGCATGTAGTATGGTGTTATATTTCAAATTTGACATTGGATCTCATGATCTAATGAAAGATTTGGGGTTGCTTTCAGGTGGGAAAGCCAGTATGGGAGGCTTGGGGAAGCAGCAGGATGAGGTCCTGGACTGGGTAGTGACAGCAGGCAAGTCACAGGGGCAGGTAGCCTGGGCTCACCTTCCTGCCCCAGCCCTCATCAGCTGTGTGATGCCAGACATGTTATGAAACCCCTCTGTGGGTCAGTTTTCTAGTCTAGAAAGCAGCAGTGATGATCCACTCAACAAATATTTAGTAATCACCTCTGTGTGCCAGGTACAGTTTACAAAAGGCATTGACATCACAGGTCAATAGATGAGGATCTGCACGGAATAGATGAGATAGTGTATGAATTACACTCAGCTAGAAAGCATGGAACATGCCGGGCGCGGTGGCTCACGCCTGTAATCCCAGCACTTTGGGAGGCCGAGGCAGGTGGATCATGAGGTCAGGAGATCGAGACTATCCTGGCTAACAAGGTGAAACCCCGTCTCTACTAAAAATACAAAAAATTAGCCGGGCGCGGTGGCGGGCGCCTGTAGTCCCAGCTACTTGGGAGGCTGAGGCAGGAGAATGGCGTGAACCCGGGAAGCGGAGCTTGCAGTGAGCCGAGATTGCGCCACTGCAGTCCGCAGTCCGGCCTGGGCGACAGAGCGAGACTCCGTCTCAAAAAAAAAAAAAAAGAAAGCATGGAACACATGTTAGCTATTGTCATTATTTCATATGGTTTAGATGCCAACATTTTGGAATATCCAGGACTTGTCATTGGTTCTCTTTGTTAGAGAGAATGTATGGAATTGGAATTGTCTAGAAAAACAGGCTATATGGTCAGTGAATCTGTCCAACATATGCTTCCCTGCAACTCTTTGCACCTAAGAACCTTGAAGTTACAACAGTTGCTTATGGCTTGGGTCTTCCATTATTCCAGCTGCAATATGTACCTAACTCAACCCCACTGAATCTTCCTCTCTGCATTTTTAGGTAAAACCTCATTAACGTAACTGCAACAATGAAGACATTACCTAGTAAGTATGTTCTACTGAAATCTCACTGTTTTGAAAATGCTTTTAAGATATAGTACCTCATTGGCTCCAATGGCCAGGGAGGCCTATGCCTGATTGGAGTGTGGATAAAGGTGACACTAAGCCCCTGAAAACTGTCATAACCACATTGTGTTTCAAGTTTGAGAGCGTAATGGTTTATCCTTTGTCATCATCTACAGCATCTAGGCTCTTTGCCTAGAAGAGTTTGTGAGACTCCCCCTCCCCAACCCCCCCAGCCCCACATTGTAGACAAAAAGGTTATAATAGACTGTGTGTGAGTTTGGGGATCAAACAAATAAGCATTCAATTCCAGGTATATCACTTGGGGAAAAGGCCTAGTAGCTTACTGACCTCAGTTTTTTCCAAGAGAAAATAGGGCAACAATATATATTCCAAAGAGTTGTATGAGAATTACGTGTCTATAGTAAGATGTGTAGCATGCCTCCATAAATATTCCTTCACTTTCCTCTTCTCACCCTCCTCCTCCCCACAACACCACCTTTCCTGTGTGTCCCTAATGTTCTCTGGGGTTGATCATCACCCCTTATCTCCACTATGTCTCGAGTTGTGGAGTGTGTGTGTGTGTGTGTGTGTCTGTGTGTGTGTGTGTTTTGTGTGTGTGGTAGTGGAAGCGGGTGGGGAGAGACAACATGGAGCCTGGCTCCTTCTCTGCTCTGTCCTGCGGGAGGAACCTAGCACAGCAGCCCCACGCAGCTCACATAATACCATAAGTAAAACACAAACAAAGCAGAGGTTGTTCTGCTTGTCAGCCTCCAAGACCATATGGAGCTGAGACATGATTGTATTACCTCTGCTATACTGCAGTCGAGCTAAACAGAAAAGCCATAATAAACTATTCTGGGAGGTCCCTGAGCTCCACACACAGAACACAAACAGATAAACAAGAGGGTGGCTGTTTTTTTTTTTGTTTTGTTTTGTTGTGGGGTTTTTTTTTTTTTTTTTGAAGGAGCACCAGAGAAACAAGGGAGAAAGTGAGAAAAAAAAAATGGAGGGGTGCGGTGGCTCATGCCTGTAATCCCAGCACTTTGGAAGGCCGAGGAGGGTGGATCACCTGAGGTCAGGAGTTCGAGACCAGCCTGGCCAACATGGTGAATCCCCATCTCTACTAAAAATACAAAAATTAGCTGGGCGTGGTGGCTGGGGCCTATAATCCCAGCTACTGGGGAGGCTGAGGCGGAAGAATCGCTTGAACCCGAGAGGCAGATGTTGCAGTGAGCTGAGATCACGCCATTGCACTCCAGCCTGGGCAACAAGAGTGGAACTCTGTCTGAAAAAAAAAAAAAAAAAAAAGGAAGAAGAAAAAGGAAAAAAGAGAATGGGAGAAAGTAGGAAAGAGGGCTATGGTTCAGGACCATTTTAGTGGAACTGCTGGATCAATGGAGCATTGCTCCTGAAAAGATTTATACCCTCTGGGGGACTCATGGTTTCACCTAGGCAGAGAGTAAAATCTGATTGTAAATTTAACTTCTCTGTGGTGTGTGTCTATATTTGTAGAGGAGTTGGGAGAATTGAAGAGGAAAAGATGCCACACAGCATTGAGGAATATTTGGAACACCTTTAAGTCTACCCATATCTCCTTTCCTCTTTCTCCCTCCTTGTGTCCCTCATCCTCATGATTCCAGTCCAAACAGGTTGATGAGACTCATATTTTGTGACACTGACTAGACTCTTTACTTCAGCAGGGTTGGAGCTGTGGGCTCAGAGAGAGAGAGAGTGTGTGTGTGTGTGAATGTGTGTGTGGATATGTATGTGCAAGGAGTGAGGGTGGATGGATAGAAGGGTACACGTTCAGATAGAAGCTATATTGCCCCTGGGGTTGGCAGGCTATATGCCCACTGGGAGTCTTCCCAGACCTCAGGAAAAACTAGAGAAAGTAAATCAGGAAGAAAGACAAAATAAACAAAAACAAAATAAAACAAAACAAAACCCCACAGCCACAGCCACCCAAGCCTTACAATAGGAAAGAAGGATTCCCAAAGTGTCAACAAACCCATATGGAAATGTCTGCAAGATTAAAAAAAGCAAATTCCCTGTTTGAATGTTGTTTCTCCCAGGTGTGAAGGCAGGTCCCAGCACTTTGAGAACTGCTGTCTGTTTTGAAAGTGTGTGTAAGGATAGAGTTCAAATGCAATGCAACCATCAGCAGTAATTACTTTTATGTAGCCACTACCTCCTACTCAAACATTATAGCCACTTTTTCAAATTCTTAACTTATAAAAGCCATATACGATGGCAGTTGAGGATGAGGGATTTTGATTTAGACAAACCTGGGTTCAAATCCCAGTCTGACACTTATCCATTGCGGGGCCTTGAGGCATCTAGTGTAGGAAGATGGTATAAACAGTCTTGGGGAAGCAGCCTGCTGCTAGCCTCAAGAGCAAAATATAGAATTCTACTCTGTGGAGGATCATGGGGAGAAAAGGAGCAATTAGATTATCTGATGGATATAAATGTTTGAAAAATTATTGCTAGGCGATAGATCAATTGGAGTATTTGGCAGTGGTCGTGGGGAGTCCATTTGACCCCTGAACAACAGAGACTTGAGCTCCATGGTCTACTTGTACACAGGTATTTTTTTCCAACTAAACGTTGGTTGAAAATACAGTATTTGCAGGATGTGAAGCCTGTGTACATGGAGGGTCGACTTTTCCTATAGGCAGGTTGCTCAGGGCTGACTGTGGGACTTGGATATGCGTGGATTTGGACGACCTGGCTCAGCAGAGAGCAATACTTACACAGTCATCATAGTATAAATGCAGATGATTGATTCAACCCCAAATGTGATATAATTACACCAGAAGGATAGGTGAGAGATAGTAGGAAGAAGGTGGCAGTGTATTAGAGAACAAAATTCTCAATTGCAATAAAAGGAATTTAGTAGAAACTGTCTAAAATGGTTAACTTGAGAAATAGCAATATGAATATGTTATTTTAAATGGTAAAGGTAAATGCCAGTAGAAATTGCTAAGAGTTGAGAGAGGTTACCTCTGTGGGACTGAGGAGGTAAGGAGGAGTAGAGCTATTGGTTGATATGAGTCTTTTAGTACGACTTAATTTGTAAAACCATGTATATAGATTACTCTGATAAAAACAAAATTAATTTAGAAAGATAGTACATACAAAGTGCTTAGCATGGTGCTTGGCACACATTAAAGTCTTAATAAACATTAACCAACATTATCGGCTGGGCACGGTGGCTCACACCTGTAATCCTAGCACTTTGGGAAGCCGAGGCGGGTGGATCACTTGAGGTCAGAAGTTCGAGACTAGCCTGGGCAACATGGCAAAACCCCGTCTCTACCAAAAATACAAAAATTAGCCAGGTGTGTTGGAGTGTGCCTGTAATTCCAGCTACTTGGGAGTGGTGGAATGTGCCTATAATTCCAGCTACTTGGGGGGCTGAGGTGGGATAATCGCTTGAAACCTGGAGGCAGAGTTTGCAGTGAGCCAAGATGGCACCACTGCACTCCAGTCTAGGTGACGGAGTGAGACTGTCTCAAAAATAATAAATAAATAAATATAAATAAATAAATAAACAAACATTAACCATCATTATAGAACTAGACTGTGTAGGAAAAGATTATTTTTTCCATTCCCCCTGCCTTTAGTCAGGCCAACAGCTAAACTCCCCCACAGGGCTGGTGATATCATTGGGTAAATCCAGTGACTCTGCCAGCATCAACCATCTGTGTGACTTTGGTGAGGCCTTTTCCCATAGTCTATAATAACCTCAGCAAGGTTGAACGTCAGGGCCAATCCTGGGCACAATTGCCACATAGGTAAAGTTGCTGTAATAGGCTTTCTGTCCTTGTAGAAGGCTGAATAATGGTTCTACAAATATGCCCATGTCTTAGTCCCCAGAACCTGTGAATGTCATTGGGTATTTGGCAAAAGGGTATTTGCAGATGTGATTAAATTAGGGATCTTGAGATAGGGAGAATATTATCTTATTATCTTGATGGGTCCAATATAAATAAAACAGTCTTTATAAGAGGGGAGCAGAGGAGTCAGAATCAAGGATAGTAGGAGATAGGACAACAGAAGGAAGAAACTGGAATGATGAGCTTTGAAGATGGAGGAAAGGGCCATAAGCCAAGCAATATAGGCTGCCATGGGAATCTGAAAATGTCAAGGAAACAGATTCTCCCCTGAGGACCTCCAGAAGAATCAGTCCTACTGACCTCTTGACTATAGCAAGGTGAAATTGACTTCAAACTTCTGACCTCCAGTCCTGAGGAAAGTATGTGTTGTCTTAAGCCACTAGGTTTGCCATAATCTGTTACAGCAGCAATAGGAAACCAAATAGAGTCCTAAGCCCCCCAAATTTCTCTCCCTTTCTCTTCAGCTTCTACCATCCAACCAACATAAAGCAAGTCTGGTAACCAGGGCCTGTCTGGGAAATGGGAAAATTTGTTTGCATTAAAGTGTTATGAGTTGTTGTATAGCTTTCCAAGAAATTTTACATCAAGAAAAAAAGATTCCAGGAAGAGAGCATGAAGAACAGAAATGTTTTCATTCACATTTGTATTTCTAGTATAGTCGGCCCTCCATATCCACAGGTTCTACATTCCTGGATTTGGCTGATTACAGATCAAAAATATTTGGAAAAAAAATAAAAATAAAAATACAACAATAAAAAATGGTACAAATGAAAATATAGTATAGCAACTATTTATACAGCATGCATATTGCATTAGGTATTATAAGTAATCTAGAGATGATTTAAAGTATATGGAAGGATGTGAGTAGGTTATATGCAAATACTATACCATTTTATATAGGGACTTGATCATCTGTGGATTTTGGTATCTAGGGGTAGGGGTCCTGGAAAAAAATCCCCTGCAGATACCAAGGGATGGCTGTACCTACCACAGTGCTTGGCCAATAAACAATTGCTGAAAGAGTGAATGAGTAAGTAGCTAAATACATAAACGAATAAATCCCTGAATAAGGACCCTAGACTTAAAGAAGCATTCCATCACTGCTCATTAGTCAAAGATATTTAATACTTCTTACTGTTGAGAAAGCCTTCTTGCTGCCTAATTGAAATCCCCCAAGCTGAATTTTAAGTGCTGTCTTTTTTATCCTCAGTGGATTTAGTGAACATCTGGTGACCAACCAACATCTATTAAATCACTCACAGTTTTCTTTTTTCTGGCTAAATCTCCATTCAATGAACTATTCATATCAGTCTTCTCTTGTCATGGTCAGAGCAGGCCAGTTTCAATGGTGGGCTTTGCTGTGGGCTCGCTGGCTAAAAGGAACTACAATAGAATGGGGTTTCTATTGTATTCTAGTTCTCTAACCTTTGCACACATTTGTTTAGGGGCTATGGACAGAGAGATTCTCCTGTCTTTGTTGTCAGCATTGTGCTTAGAGAAAGTAGAACAATCTGAGTCACATGTGTCAGTGGCCTATTTCTGTAACCTGTGGAGGCACCACACTGAGCAGTTAAGAGTATGGATTTTAGCCTCTGATAAACCTGAGTTCAGGCATGGTTCTCTTACTATCTGTGTGGTGTTGGGCGGATCACTGAAGCTCTCTAAACTTGATTACTATCGTCTCTAATACATAATCTCTAAAACAGGAAGCTTGTAATGTTGTTGTGAAGATTAAATTAGATAATATAATTAGCACTCTTAATTGTGCCTGGCCCTTAGTGAGTGCTTACTAAATGTTAACTATTAATGGTGAAGAAATTGGGAAAGGGTGTGGCAAAGCTTGCTTTTCTCCTTCCAGGACAGTCAGGGCCATTCACGGGGTGGAGTAGGGTGGGGGATTCAGGTCAGGTTATCTTGGGCAAGGAATATCATCATTCATTCATTCATCCATTCATCCATTGCATGCGCTTTTATTTTGTGCCCTCAAGGCATCCTCAACGAAGTAGGGAAACAAACAGATAAACTTACACTTGTGAGGCCCTGTGATAAGGGGTTCTGCAGTGGCTTCTAGAGAAGGAGATGTTTGAATGAGTTTTAGAAGATGAATAGGTGCTACTAGGAAGAGATATTGGCATTCCAAACAGAAGATGAAACAGAACATACAAAGCCATCAAATATGCAACAGCACAACGGGTCCCAGGGGATGTAAGAGGGAAGTCATAAAAGTTATTTATCCTATTTCAAGTTTTCTACTTTCTTTTCTCCCCCTTCCCCTTCTACTTCCTCTTCCCCTTCCCCTTCCCCTCCCCTCCCTTCCCCTCCCCTCCCCTCCCTTTCCCTTTCCCTTTCCCTCTTTCTTTCTCTTTCTTTCTTTCTTTCTCTTTCTTTCTTTCTTTCTTTCTTTCTTTCTTTCTTTCTTTCTTTCTTTCTTTTCTTTCTTTCTTTCTTTCTTTTTTCTTTTTCTTCCTTCCTTCCTTCCTTCCTTTCTTTCTTTCTTTCTTTCTTTCTTTTTTCTTTCTTTCTTTTCTTTCTTTCTTTCTCTCTTTCTCTGTCTCTCTCTTTCTCTCTTTCTTTCTTTTTTGACAGAGTCTCACTCTGGCTGGAGTGCAGTGGCACCATCTTGGCTCACTACAATCTCTGCCTCCCAGGTTCAAGCAATTCTTGTGCCTCACCCTCCTGAGTAGCTGGGACTACAGATGCATGTTACCATGCCTGACTAATTTTTTGTATTTTTTGGTAGAGACAGGGTTTCACCGTGTTGGCAAGGCTGGTCTCAAACTCCTGACCTCAAGTGATCCAGCCACCTTGGCCTCCCAAAGTGTTTGGATTACAGGTGTGAGCCACTGAGGCTAGCCCAGTTTTCTACTTTCTTAGTATTTGTTGGTGATATGGTTTGGCTCTGTGTCCCCACCCAAAACTCATGTTGAGTAGTGATCCCCAGTGTTGGAGGTGGGACCTAGTGGGAGGTGATTGAATCATGGAGGTGGTTTCTAAAGGTTTAGCATCATCCGCCTGGTTCTGTCTTGTGATAGAGTTCTCATGAGATCTGGTTGTTTGAAAGTGTGTAGCGCCTCCCTCTTTGCTCTCTCTCCCTCCTGTCGTGCAGGACGTGCTGGCTTCCTCTTTGCCTTCCTCCATGATGTAAGTTTCCTGAGGACTCCCCAGCCATGCTTCCTGTACAGCCTGTGGAACTGTGAACCAATTAAACCTTTTTTCTTTATAAATTACCCAGTCTCAGGTAATTCTTTATAGCAATGTGAGAATGGACTAATACAGCGGACTTGTACTTGGCCTCCTTAGAGTTGGGTTCCACTCTATGGCCGTTTGACAAGGAGTAGTGAGCAGAAGTCACTTGTGCTAGGGCATTTTATTATTGACATGAAAACTTTCCAAACTCTCTTTTCTTTTATTACAGTGACTGGTAATGTTTAAGATGGCAGCTGTTCTCTTAGAGTAGGTGTGGAGAGAGGAGACATGGAACAGAGTCCCTAGTTCTGTTCTATTCCATATCGTATAGTTTACAGAATAATACCTCTTATTGCTACAAGTCAGCAAGACTTTGAGGTCGTTTGTTACTGCAGCATAACCTACTCTATCCTGACTTGTCAGGTAAATATAGCTTAAAGAAATAGCAATATTTGGTTTCCTTTTCCCCCCTTTTCAGACCCACCCTCACTCTCAAGACATAGGGCAGAGTTAAAGAATTTCAAAGGCAGCTTTGAATGAGAAATGTCAAAAATGAAGACTGTCCATGTGTGTGCAGTTGGAGTTCCCACCCAACTCTTTGCCTTTGGCGAGGGAAGGTATTGTTCAGGGATTGGCTGTAAACATGGTGCTTTGGGTTTCCCTGGCGGCAATTGCCTCCCTGAGCCACTGCCCAGCACCAGTGTGTGGGTTCCTCCAGCTGGGTCCCACGGTGATTCTCCATAATAATGATGCCACTTTCCTTTGCACAGTTCTCTGCCCAGGGTAATGTGCTTTCACATATTTTACTTCGCTGACACATCACAACAACTAGTGAGGTTGGTGTTATGATTAATCTCATTTCACAAATGAAAAAACGAGGTCAAAAAGGTTATGTGACTTGTGCAAGATCACACAATTAGTAAATTTTAGAGACATGTTTCAATTTGGGGTCTGCTGATACCAGCCTATGAATTCTTTCTGCTCAATGTCTTCTGCCTCCCCCTACTATTTTTTTCCCCACCGAGGATGGTTCAGCCTGCCTTTCTAAATACACCCAGAAACACAGAGTTTTCAATTCATAATAGTGATGGCTTCAGGGACAAAGTGAAACAAACAAACAAACAAAAAAACAACCTTGTAGGAAGTTTCTTTCCAGCTATTCACTTTTTTCCCATCAGAAAAAAATGTAAGGGGTATCGTTATGATCTTCCAAATACTTTTATTATAAATATGCAATGTCTATTTGTCCATCCCTACACAGACCCAGATTTTAGCTTTGAGGAGCTTAGTCTTTTCCGAGTCTTTTCTACTGCAGAGCTTTGGCTCATTCTAGAATGTTTTAGACTGTAGCATACAATTTTTTTTTTTTTTTTTTTTTTGAGACACAGCCTCGCTCTGTCTCCCAGGCTGGAGTGCAGTGGCATGATCTTGGCTCACTGCAACTTCTGCCTTCTGGGTTCAAGTGATTGTCTTGCCTCAGCCTCCTGAGTAGCTGGGATTACAGGTGAGTGCCACCACGTCCTGCTAATTTTTCCTATTTTTAGTAGAGAC
Organism: Homo sapiens; assembly: GCF_000001405.40. NCBI lineage: Eukaryota > Metazoa > Chordata > Mammalia > Primates > Hominidae > Homo > Homo sapiens. The sequence goes on from NC_000011.10 coordinate 115,601,852, forward strand.
AGGGTTTCACTATGTTGGTCAGGCTGATCTCAAATTCCTGACCTCAAGTGATCTGCCCACCTCAGCCTCCCAAAGTGCTGGGATTACAGGTGTGAGCCACCGCATCCTGTAGCGTCCCTTCTCCACGGAGCCTTTCCTAATCACCCCAAATCTATTCTGGTTTGGTTCTTATCCTGTAATGTCTTCTATTATGCCTAGCTGTAAACATGTCTGACTTCCTCACTGAAATGTGAGCTCTTGGTGAATAGGGACTGTGACATACACATTTTCGAGGGGGCTGATGTAATAGATTAGAAGGCCCTGGGTTTTAGCATGAGCTCTGTCATTTGCTAAAGTCTGTAGCCTTTGACAAACCATGTCACTTCTCTAGGCCTCAGTTTTCTTTTTTGTAAAATATGAGTGTTGGGATAAAGGCTTCAAAGGCCTATGATCTCTCACATGCAAACATTCATATCTATGTGCAATTTCTTTAGAAATGATTCAAAATATTTATCAGATTCTTAAAGAGGTCTGTAATCTAAGAAAGTTTACAAAACAATAAAGAATATTTGTTTCCTTCAAGCTCTAACATTCTGAGACTGTTTTTAAAAAATCCATCAATCAATGGAGCAGAACAGAAAGCCCAGAAATAGACCTAACACTTATATAGTCATTTGATTTTTGACAAAAGTGCAAAAGCCATAAAGAAGGGAAAAAAAGTCTTTTAACAATTTTTTTTTTTTTTTTCCTGAGACAGGCTCTGTTTCTGTCACTAAGCAATCCTCCTACCTCAGCCTCTTGAGTAGCTGGGACCACAGCTGCATGCCACCATGCCCAGCTAATTTTTTGTTTTTCATAGAGTATGGGTCTTGCTATGTTGTCCAGACTCGTCTTAAACCCCTGGCTTCAAGCAGTCCTCCTGCTTCAGCCTCCCAAAATTCTGGATGACAGGCATGAGCCACCACACTGGCAACAATTTTTACTGAAAACAACTGGATATTTATATGGAAAAAAAATTTTCCTTGGTCCCTACCATATATGAAAATTAATTTGAGATGGATTACAGACCTGAATGTAAAAGCTAAAACTACAAAGTTTCTAGGCCAGGTGTGGTGTCTCACACCTGTAATCCTAGCACTTTGGGAGGCTGAGGTGGGCAGATCGCTTGAGTCCAGGAGTTTCAGACCAGCCTGGGCAACCCGGCAAAACCCCATGTCTACAAAAAATACAAAAATTATCCAGGTGTGGTGGCAAGCACCTGTAGTCCCGGCTACTAGGGAGGCTGAGGTGGGAGAATTGCTTGAGCCTGGAAGGTCAAGGCTTCAGTGAGCCATGATCGTGTCACTGCACTCCAACCTGTGTGACAGAGTGAGACCCTGTCCTAAAAAAACAAAGTGCAGTGGCTCAAGCCTGTAATCCCAGCACTTTGAGAGGCCAAGGCAGATGGATTACTTGAGGTTAGGCGTTTGAGACCAGCCTGGCCAACATGGCGAAACCCCATCTCTACTAAAAAAATACAAAAATTAGCTGGGCGCCATGGCACACACCTGTAGTTCCAGCTACTTCGGAGGCTGAGGCATGAGAATTGCTTGAACGCAGGAGGCAAAGGTTGCAGTGAGGAGAGATTGAGCCACTGCACTTCAGCCTGGGCAACAGAGCAAAACTGTCTCAAAAAAAAAAAAAAAAAAGAGGACTGGGTGCCAAAACCAGCCTGCCCAACATGGTGAAGCCCCATCTCTACAAAAAATACCAAAAAATCAGCCAGGTGTGGTGGCATGTGCCTATCATCCCAGCTACTTGGGAGGCTGAGGCAGGAGAATCGCTTGAACCCGGGAGGCGGAGGTTGCAGTGAGCTGGGATAGTGCAATTGCACTCCAGCCTGGGTGACAGAGCAAGACTCCATCTCGAAATAAATAAATAAATAAATAAATAAATAAATAAATAAATAAATAAACGAATAAATAAAAGAACTGGCACAACACAATAATGAAAAGACAAACAACATTAACAAAAAAATGGGCAACAGATTGAAAAGATACTTCACTAAAAAAGTTTACAAATGGCCAATAAGTACATGAAAATATACTCAACAATGAGATACCACTACATGTCTATAAGAATAGCTAAAATGTAAAAGGCAGCCAACATCAAATGTTGGCAAAGATGAGGATTAACTGTAACTCTCATGCATTATGAGTTGCAGTACACAGACACTTTTGAAACCAGTCTGGTAGTTTTTTTGTAAAACTAAACATATATCTATCTTATGATGCAGCACTACCACTGCTAGTTATTTATCCAAGAAAAGTAAAGACAAGTATCCGTAAAGTGACTTGTAGAAGATTCATAGCAACTTGATTGATTAAAGCCCCAACCTGGAAACAGCCCAGGTGTTCATCAACAGGAGAATGGATACAAATAAAAGAATACCACTCAGCAGTAAAAGGGAACAAACTACTGATACATGCCTCAATACAAATGAATCTCAAAAATGTTGTGCCTTACATTGTGAAGGAAGGCTGGCACCAAGAGTACATACTGCATTATTTTATTTATGTGAACTTCTATAATAGGCAAAACTAATATAAAGTGAAAAAATCACAACAGTGGTGTCTTCTGGAGGACAGGAGTGGGGTTTAATTGGGAGGATCATGAGGAAAACTTCCAGGGTGATGGTCATGTTCTACACCTTAATAGGATTTTGGTTTACACATGGGTATGCATTTATCAAAGCTCATTGAATGTTACACTTAAGATTTCTTTCTACTTTTTGAGACAGGGTCTCACTCTGTTGCCCAGGCTGGAGTGTGATTGAGCAATCTTGACTCACTGCAACCTCCACATCCTGAGTTCAAATGATTCTTCCAGTTTAGCCTCCTGAGTAGCTGAGACTACAGGCATGCACCACCATGCCCAGCTAATTTTTGTATTTTTTGGTAGAGATGGGTTTTTGCCATGTTGGCCAGGCTGGTCTCAAACTCCTGACCTCAAGTGATCCAAGAAAGTGCTGGGATTATAGGCGTGAGCCAACACACCTGGCCGATACACTTAAGATTTGTGCATTTCATGGTATGTAAATTTTTCTTTAACAAAAATAACCATAAACAAATACTGAAGACTAATGATTTGCATGCTGAAGTGTTTCAGGGTGAACTGCACTGATGTCTGCAATTTACTCTGAAAAGCATCCAAAAACATAAGGTAGATTGATGGGGGATATGAGAGATGGCTAGATGGTCGATGGACAGATATGTGATAAATATAGAAAAATGATAATTGGCGAATCTAGGAGGTGAGTATATGGGCGTTCACTATACAGTTCTTTCAACTTTTTTGCTATGCTTTAAAACTTTCATAATAAAATGTTGGGAAAAATATCTGTCGATCTGAAACCAATAACTGACCAACCAAATGACCGAACAGCTAACCAATCAATTAGTAAGTCAGCTAAGACAGTGTTCCCCAAACTTCACTCATTTGGATACTCCCCATACCGTTATTTATTTAATAGTGTATCTGAACGTGACTCAGTTTTATTTTATTTTATTTTTTTGAGACAGAATTTTGCTTTTGTCGCTCAGGCTGGAGTACAATGGTGTGATCTCAGCTCACTGCAACCTATGCCTCCTAGGTTCAAGCAATTCTCCTGCCTCAGCCTCCAAAGTAGCTGGGATTACAGGCATGTGCCATCACGCCTGGCTAATTTTTGTATTTTTAGTAGAGATAATGTTTCACCATGTTGGTCAGGCTGGTGTCGATCTCCTGACCTCCCAAAGTGCTGGGATTAGAGGTGTGAGCCACTGTGCCCAGCCACGTGACTCATCTTTAAACTTATGTTCTACCTTAGCCTTATCCTGAGTAATAATATCTGTGAAATTAAGTGTCTTATATTAGTTATATTTATATAATACAATACACATTAATATAGCTAAACGTTAACTTTAAAATGTTCACACATATACCATGTACAATTATTTCACTTACCCTCTAATATATATATATCACACTTTAGAAGTTCTGATCTGTGTTTGGTGCTGTGGGGGAATTAGAAGTGAGTCATGTGGTCCCTGACCTCAAAGGACTCCAGCACGCATCCCATCAATCTGCAGAAGGAGAGGACAGACTGCAAAAATGGGACGAGCCTCGGGGCTGGACACAAGTGGCTGGGAAACGTCCGCAGCAGGTCTCATTCCCCGGGAGGCGAGGATGAAAATTACAGGTGACACATGGGTCAATGGCCTGTCTCCTGACTCAAGACACACAAGGAAGAGACTCTTTGAAGCCTCAGGAGCAGACACTCAATTGGATAGCGCCTGGGATTTGAAGGTCTGCCATAGAGTCCGAAGAGAGGGGGAAAACACACGCAAACCACCCAATCACAGGGACCCCTGTGGCTCCTCACCCACCCTCCACCCTCCACCTTCCACTTATTCCACTCCTCTCGATTGTCAATTAAAATAAACAGCCTTGTATTCCACGGCCTGGCTTCAATCTATCTTGGCTGGGAGGATACGCACAGATTTGTGGCAGTGCCTGAAAGTCCTTGCTCAACCTTTTTAATATCTGAACAAAGCAATCAAACCCGATAAGATCTAGCGAAGGCAAGATCAATCTTCTGTCCCCGGGATGGAAGCTTATTAGTCTGTGGCCCACATCATCAGAGTTATTGTGCCATGTTAAATTTATTGGTACTATCTCACCTCATTAAATACTTAAATAGACCTGACAGGACAGAAAAACGGGCTTTTTAATTTTTTTCCTCTCTCCAAAGGGAGCTGGTGTTTCCCATGTCCCAGTTCACCTCTGCTGCAGCTGTTGGCAAAGAAGTGAGAAAGCCTGGCCCTGCGCAGAAGGTTCGGGCCGGCTGCGTGGCGGCTCCCAGGGTCCTCCTGACTCTGACCTGCCTTGGGCCAGAAGTGAAGAAAGCACCTTGGAGTGTGTGTCCATGAGAAGGAGGTGAAGAAGAGGCAGAGGGCAACCATGGCATTTATTCTCTTTGCCAAGTTACCCAAATCTGTGTGACTTTTTACATTTTCTAAGAGAAACCTCATCAGTCATTTAGCCAGGACAATTGCCAGAAATAAAGGTCGGGCTCACTGAGGAGAGAGGAAATAGGGAGTGTGTAGGGGAGTGTGGAAGTGGAGTGGGGGCGAGCTCACAGCAGCTCCCGTCCATCCCCCAGCACTGGGGCTTGTGGTCTTTATTTAGCAGATAGCCCTGGTATCCAGGGTTGGATTCCAGCCAAGGCCAGGATTTCCCCAGATTCTGAGCTAGAGAACTTGGCAGGCTGGTGAAGCCTTGCAGAGAGCCACTAGCCTGAAGGTTTCAAACAAATTACAAATGATGAGAGGTGGGAGTCAAAGAACGCGGATGTTGCTTGGTCCTATTTCTTTCCCCAGACCCCCTCATGACCATCCCCCAATTTTGTGTGTGTGTGTGTGTGTGTGTGTGTGTGTGTGTGTGTGTGTTCAGAGGGCAGAGTGCAAATTCAGGAACTCGAGAAACTTTGCAACCTAGAAAATATTCCTTAAACAGTTTCATCAGAAGTTGATTATTTTTTTTCTCATTTATCAAGCCAATTTTCTTCTCAGCCAAGGTGATTTGGGACACAGCCTCCCTGCATCCCCTTCCTCTCCTTATATCTCTACCTGCAGAGAAGGTCTCTTTTCTCCAGCTGTTTCCCTCTCCCAGCCGAGGTCCTCGTTTGCACCTTGTTAATAAGGTGGGCAAAGGGCCAGGAAGCAGCTCTTGGGTGCCTTCCGTTCCTAATGTCCTAAATGGCCATGACACTGTGCTTAATTTCCGTCTTAGTGCAATGGCTGGCGGGACATCAGCGGGCTGAGACCCGGGTCCTGTGACAGTATCTTCAACCGTGGCCATCAGCCTCCCTGTAATTAGAAGCCACGTGGAGCCCGCTGTCCTGCAGTGCCAGAGCTCCGTGGACTTATGTAACTGTCCCCCTGTTCAGAGCACAGGCTCTTTACAAGCTCTGAGTCTCCCAGCGTTAAAACAGCTATAATCCTTTGCCCACCCTGGGAGGGAAAGCAGGCCATGACCAGATGGGTTATCTATGTGATCAGCTTAGAATAGTGTGGGGCACGTAAAACCCTGCGCTTGTGCAGAAAACCTAGATGGTTGACATTTACCAACTGGGGAGCGTCACTCTTTATCTTTTTTGGAGTGTTCCATAGTAGACTTAGGGAAGTGAGACGGTCAGAAGCCCTGGGTGGGGACTTCTGTTGCTTTCAGTGCACATCAAAAAATGTTAAGTAGGGAGCAAAATGGAATGTTAAGCATTGTGGTTGAGCTATGTTGGTAATGAAAGACTGCCAATCATGACAAGGGTTTTGGGAGAATTGGAAGTCTGCCTGAACATGTGGATATAAAGACCCAGTTTGGTTTGAACCAAAGGGGGGTTTGGATGGTGGGTGGGGGAGGGTGGAGGAGGTGATTAATTACTGCCTGGGTGGCAGTATTTCTTCATTTAGAAGTTGCAGCCTCAATTATCTTTAATTACTTCCCTGGTGGCCTTAAATCCAGGGTGAATCCAGAATGGGGGTCAGCTGCTGGGGTATGTGTCTCGGGTGGGCTGGCAAAAGGTGGGCAAGGGGTTAGAGGGTCACTTTTGGGCACACGTGGATGGGGCTATTTCAGATCATCCCTTCCCTCCAGGACTCAGTGATAGAACTGACAATAATCAAAACCTGAATTAATACTACCCCAGATACACAGAGCATCTTCAGAGGAGTGCAGTGCCTCTTCTGAGTCATTTGTTTTTGTTTGTCTTCATTGACCCATTAGGGGGGCCAGAAGGTGTGAGTGGGGACTCTCCTTCCCATTTTATGGATGGACAAAAGAAACCACTTATATCTATGCAGCAGGTTGGAGGCCATGCTTCTCTGCTTTTGTCTGAGCAATCTCCTCTCCCAAACCCATGGATAGGAATCACCTAAGGTGCTCATTAAATATACAGATTCCCACACTAGATGTATGGGATAGATGTATGGAATCAGAATTCTCAGGGGTGGCCAAGGTTTTCAATATTTTTAACAGGCTTCCCAAGTCCCCCTTATGGGACTGGCATTTGGGAACCACAGCACCAGGCATGTCCTTACATTCTAAGCAGGGGGAGACCAGCTCCTTACCTCCTGGAAGCCTCCTGATCCCTGTGCCCTCCTCCTCATTCTGCAAGTTTTCAAACTTGTCAGGGCTGGAGATGGTATTTTCAAAATCCAGGTCTCATTTGCGAGGCAATAAAAAAAAAGAGAAAAAAGTGATCTGAAATGTGGCAGGCTTTTCTTTAACATCTGCCTACTTGCCTGGGGGAGGATGAACGTGGGAGGTGTGAACTTATAGAGCACTATGAAAGGGAGGTGAGCTCAGGTACAGACGTTCACTCTCCCATCTCGGAGCTTGAGTCGCCTTATTGGTAAGATAGTGGGATTGGTCAGGGCAATTGCTACAAGCCCTTCCTTCTTAGAATTCTAGGATTCTCCAGTCTTCAGGCCGAACTTATTCCCCCATGGCCTAATATCAGGGAAGAACATTTCAGCTTCTAGGTGTGGAAAAGAAGTTGGAGCACCTTATGTATCACTCACAGCATAGCCTGTTGCCTCCTCAGCACAATAGGAGTCTCTCTGGCCTCTCTTCCATCTGTCTCCCACTTCATCTCTCACTCCATCCCCATTAAACAAAGATGGGGTCCCAAAGCAGATCACCCCACCCCTTGTCCAAATAAAGCCCCTGAAAATCATCTACTGATCTACTCTCTGTTGCTCAGGATGTCTGGGCCATTTTCTGCTTTCATGTAGTCCTTTCTTCCCAGACTGGAGAATTTCTTTTAGCTTCCTACTCCATACTTGAGTGTCGGATCCCCGGGTGGCCCTTCTTAATTTATTGAATATAAATTATGCTCTCAGAGACAAATATCTCTTCCCTTCCTGCTTCTTATGATCTTATTGCCCCCAACTCAAAATGCAGGACACTTTCTCTCAATGGAATCTTATGCATCCAAGTTCTCAGCTACTTCAAGGCATTAGGAAGAGTTAACTGGCAAGTTGCTGTTGTCTCTTTTAGCCTGGTTCCAATGCCAGGGGAATTTATGAGTTTTATCCCAGGCAGACCTCAGGATGACTCCAGGGTATTTGGCCTTAAATAATAGAATTGCTGTTCACAATTGACCACTGATTAGCATCTGCTTGTAGCTTCATAAAATATGGTCTTTGGGAGAAAAGCTGGAAATCCTGACATGACTACTTTGCTGTTTTTATTTTTTTTTATGCTTTAAGTTCTAGGCTACATGTGCACAATGTGTAGCTTTGATACGTAGGTATACATGTGCCATGTTGGTTTGCTGTACCCATCAACTTGTCATTTACATTAGGTATTTCTTCTAATGCTATCCCTCCCCTTTCCCCCCCTTCCCACAGGCCCCAGTGTGTGATGTTCCCTGCCCTGTGTCCAAGTGATCTCATTTTTCAGTTCCCACCTATGAGTGAGAACATGTGGTGTTTGGTTTTCTGTCCTTGTGATAGTTTGCTGAGAATGATGGTTTCCAGCTTCATCCATGTCCCTGCAAAGGACATGAACTCATCCTTTTTTATGGCTGCATAGTATTCCGTGATGTATATGTGCCACATTTTCTTTACCCAGTCTATCATTGAAGGACATTTGGGTTGGTTCCAAGTCTTTGCTATTGTGAATAGTGCTGCAATAAACATATGTGTGCATGTGTCTTTATAGTAGCATGATTTATAATCCTTTGGGTTTATACCCAGTAATGGGATTGCTGGGTCAAATGGTATTTCTAGTTCTAGATCCTTGAGGGATCGCCACACTGGACATGACTACTTTGAATTCAACTGAAGAGGCATCTACTGATGGCCACTATGTTCCCACCACAGTCCTGGCCACTACAGATGCAGGAAGACACCAAGAGGAAGAAGACATAGACCCTGCCCAGTTAGTAGTGATAGGGTGCAGGGTAGTTGTATCTGAAACATTCAGAGAAGCAAAGCACAGTTAAAAGGACCTTCAAAAGTTGCAACACTGAAAGTTTAACCCTGCCCTGTGACAGGGTTAAGCTACAAGCATGCAGTGTCTGCTTTGAACTCAGTATATTGGAAAATATTTCCTTTCCTCCCTAAGAAGGGTAGGGGGTCTCTCCAGTATTTTCACAAGTACGTAGCGAGATTCAGGCTTTTGACAGTGGTGAGTTCCTTTTTTTTTTTTTTAATGGAGGATACTGACCTTTGTCAATACGCAAAGATAGAGAGGTCTGTGTGCTAAAGCAGGAGGTTAAGAAATCTGAGAATTTATGCCAGATTCACTGATTTCCTAATTTATTCCCTGATTCATGTATTGATTCTTTGATATACTGCCTGATAGATTAATGATTAATTCATTTATTCAATAAACATCATTGGATTTCTTTATACAAGCTCTTATCCAGGAAAATCAAGCTGAATGTTTTTCTTCCTTCTGGTATCTCTTTTCTTGGTTTTCTTCCAAAGCAATTAAGAGAAGGTAGAGAGAGGGGAAGATATCGAATTTGACTCCTCTGGGATACATACCCTTCCCGATGCCAGTCCCCAGAGAAAGAGAGGGCCTTGAATGTGGAGAGAGGGAGAAGCATCTTCTTGGCATCTGAATTCCTCTCCTTTTCTTTGTCTGCTTCTCCAGCCCTCTCCGCCTTTGCTTGTTCCTTTGTTTCCTGAGTTTTTCAGGCTGGGGCTGGGTGGTCTGGAGGGATCAGCCACTCCGTTTGCCCCGTAGTTTCCCCAGTCTTGCTATCCTGCCTTCTTCCGCAGCAGTCCAGGGAGTTGGAAGCATCTGGTACTCCTGTCTCCTGAGAGCCTTTTTAATATTATTTCATTTCTTTTAACCTTTATTAAGACAAACATTGAGCATAGAACAGTCTATACTCCCACTAGAGACACTCTCCATTTTGATATTAAAAAACAAAACAAAACAAAACCTAAACCCACCCAACCTGAGGCCTGGAGGAGAGAGAGAGGAGATAAAAAAAAAAAAGAAAAAGAAATATCCTAGAGATATTTTTACCTTCAAAGATCCATCACTCATTACTGCATATCACAGACACGTCTACAATCTCATCTTCTTACAATTCTCCGTGAAATAAGTGTAAATGGAAAATAATACCCCATTTTGAAAGTTCAACAAAATGTCTCTATCCACCAAATGTAGCCCCAGCTGTCTCATTTTCAGAAACAAAGCCTGATTTTAAATAGCAGCTCACCACCCAAATAAACACCGGCAGCTCTATCCAGCTCCACACGGCAGAGGCTGTAATTGCCTTCCCAGGCTACATGGAATGGCCTTCTGTGATGGCCAAATGCCCCAGCTCCAGCAGGTCTTGGGGGGGTTCCCTTTGTAGTGGGAGAAATCATAGACTTTTGTAAACATTTAAAGCTGTCTCTTCCTTACCACTTGGGGATAGTCTCCTAGGTTACCAGCCCCCTTGGAATCCCCTTCCCACTGCAGACCTTAGCATGCATACACTGTCACCCCGAGCAAGGGATGACGAGCGAGGGATGACGAGGTGAAGAGAAGGCTCTTCGCTCTGGAGCCAGTGCCTGATTTCCACTTTGATAGACAAATGGCGTGTGACTGTAGATTGGGTTCCCTGCGGTGAATGGAAAAGGTGCTTAGAAACACAAAGAGGGGGAAAAGCTCCTACCCAGAAGGTTTAACCTCCCTTTCCTAACTAGCTCTATGGCAATGAGCAAATATTTGAGATTCTTGGCTCCTCATTTTCTTCCAAGCTCCTGTCTCTGTGACTCAGATGTTCCATGGGAAGTTCAGTGTGTCCCAAACCAAACTCCTGCTCTTCTTCTGATCTTCCCCACTTCAGTTAGAAGCAACTCCATCCATCCAGTTGCTTGAATCCTCTCTCTACTCCACCCACATCTGATCTGACAGCAAAACCTATTGGTTTTACCTTCAAAGACAGCCAGAATCTGATCCATTCTCTCCACTACAGCCACCTTTTCCTAGGCCCCTATCACTGCTACTAATTGCCTTCACCTTTGCCCTGATCGAGCAGCAGAGTAGGGTGGGAAAAGCACAGAATCTGGAGCTAAACTGCCTCCATTGAAAACCTGGTGCTGTGGCTGACTAGCTGTGTGACCTAGACAAGTTACTTATAACCTCTCTGTGCTTTCCTTTTCTTGGTGTAAAATGGGAACAATGATAGGACCTATGTCTTAAGAGTTGTTGTGAGGATTAAATGATTTAATATGCAGAAGGGACTTAAAATGGTGCCTGGCACATAGGAAGTGCTACGTAAGCATTAGCTTTTATTACTGTTGATATTATTCCTAGCACAGCCTCAGAGTGAACCTGTTGACACATAAATCAGGCCATGTCACTCCTCTGTTCAAAACCTTCCAGTATCTCCCCTGGGATAAAATCCAAAGTTGGAAAGGCAACGAGGCCCTAGGTGAGCTGACCTCTGGTACTTCCTCTGTTTTTATTCTGTTCCAGCCTCGTGGGCCTTCTCACTTTTCCTGGCACACACCAGGCAATTCCTTCCTTAGGGTCTTTTCACTTGTCATTTCCTCTGCCTGGAACACATTTCCCCAGAGAGCCTCATGGTTTGCTCTCTAACCTCCTTCAGATCTATTCCAAGATCACCTTCTCAGGGAGGCCATCTCTGACCACCCTATTTAAAATTAAACCCAAATAATCTCCATTCCTTTTATTCTGATGTAGTTTCCTCCCTAGTGCCTATCACCATCTAATATACTATCTATTTTACTTATTTATTTAGTTTGCTCTCTGTCTCTTCTCATAAAGGTTGTAAGCCACATGAGTGTAGGATATTTTTGTCTGTTTGTTGACTGATATATTCCCAATGCTAGAATGGTTCTTGGCACATAATAGACGCTCAGTAAGTATTTGTTCAGTGAATAAATATAAAGACAGTTAAACCTGATGATCTTGAAGACCTCTCCTTTGAGATTAACGTTCTACGATTCTTTACCTGTATATCTTCTTATGTGTGGAGTAGAGATGTTTGTAGTTATCCCATCTAACAGAGGTTAAATGATTTTTTAGGAGCTGCAGGAATGCTGGTAGCAGAAACAGTTCCAGAACCTGGATCTTGTGACGATGATTTCAGTCCTCTCCCTTTCTCTTTTAGCCTCTGCTAGCCCTGGATTGATTCATGTTTACTAAAAGGATGGATAAACAGACTCCTCTCATCCTTGGGAAGTAGGTAGGAGACAGTAAAATGAGGCTGGTCTGAGGAGGAGCCTGGAGTCTGTTTGATGAGTGTGAGGCTGATGCAGCGCCCAGCCGTGGTTGAAAGGGTTCATCGGTGCTTATGCTGGGCCATGAATCACCCAGATGATTCAGACGCTGGGAGGCCTGTCAGGGGAATCTCAGATGGAATTGATGTATCAAGGTGTCGCTCTCTCTGAGCTATTTATCGGAAGTGACACTGAGGGAGATTGACAGGCAGTCACTGGACAAATAGGTAGATCACAGGCTCAAAGAGACTCCCTGTGGTACCTGTTGTGTGAGACAGGAGCAAGCCTCCACAGCGGCTCCTGCAAACTTGGCCAGCAGGCCCATTGCAACAGCAGGCAGGAGTAGTGTTGGGCGAACAGAAGTGATCCAGCCTCAGGACCTCATGGCCACTGGGGGTGGGCGATATTCTTATTTGTTTTTGTCTTCTGCTTTATTTCTTTTTGCCCTATCAGAGAGCCAGCTGGATCACTCCACATCATCCCCTGAGGTCAGCATTAAAGGGGCCCAATGGCTATACAGAGAATGTAGGTAGACCAGAACGCAATGTGTCACTGAGCTGGGGATGTGGGGTCCATTACATCTTCTCAGACCTGCACCAACCTGTCCACTTCCCACCAATGCAGTAATGATGGTCAATGGTTATTGAGCATTTACTTCATTTCTGTTCAGCCCTTAACATGACTTAGATTATTTTGCCTTCACAACAGCCAAATGAGGTAGCGGTTATATTCCCCATATTTGAAGCTAAAGACATGAGCCTCTCAAGGTTAAGTTACATGGCTAAACATTGACAGTGGCCGAGCCAGGATTGCAATGTAGGTGTCTATTACTCAAGGCCTCAGTGTTGACCCCTAAACTTCACTCCATAGAAGGTCAGAGCCAGGCCTCGTCCCACTACTCAGCTAAGCCTTCCAAGTGCACCCATGAGGCATTTTTCCATTACTTTCCATTACTCCCAACACAGATGCTTAACCAAGCCCAAACCCATATTCCTTCTAATCCCCTTTCTCAAAGGCTTTTTTGTGTGTGTTTGTGTGTTGAGCATAGTGCCTGTCTCACAGCCAACATTAGATGAATGTTTGTTGAATAAAGAAATGACTTGGCTGGGCATGATTGCTCACATCTATAATCCTAGCACTTTGGGAGGCTGAGGTGGGAGGATAGCTTGAGGCCAGGAGTTCAAGACCAGCTTGGGCAACAAAGCGAGACCCTGTCTCTCTATAAAAAATTAATAATAAAGAAATGACTTGTTTAGACCACATCTCAATGCCTTATACCTGTTTTCCCTATCCCAAGTTTGTCTCCATACCTGTTTTCCAATCCACATCTCTCCCCACTTTCAAAGCCTAATTTATTTATATTTGAGACAGATCCATGCTCTGTTGCCCAGGCTGGAGTGCAGTGGCACGATCTCGACTCACTGCAACTTCTGCCACCTGGGTTCAAGCGATTCTCATGCCTCAGCCCCCCAGGTAGCTGGGACTACTGATTGTTGTATTTTTGGTAGAGACAGGGTTTCACCATGTTGGCCAGGCTGGTCTTGAACTCCTGGCTTCAAGCAATCTGCCTGCCTTGGCCTCCCAAAGTGCTAGGATTACAGGTATGAGCCACGGTGCCTGGCCTCGAAGCCTAATTTAAATCTTCACATTCTTCATTTGATTATAAGTGTACCTTGGTGCAAAATGCAAGGGACGACTTGACAGAGGATAATAAATGCCTTAGAAATATGTTTATCCTTTGGCTCAGTACTTTTATTTCTAGGAACTTATCCTAAAGAAATAATCATACATGTCCATAAAGAGCTGAGCACCAGAATGTTCACTGAAGCATTGTTTAAGGTGGCACAAACTGGAAATCTCTGAAATGTCCAATAACAGAGGACTGGCAAAATTCATACACATTCTCTTTTACATCCATGCAAGAGAATTATTAGCAGTCATTAAAAATAATGAAGATATATATCTATTGACACAAGAAATTAAGTGAAATAAGTAGGTTATAAAATAGTACACCCAGAATAATTTGATTTTTATTAATATTGTATGAATATAAATACATGTATCGAAAAATGTCTGGAAGGGCATAGATCAACCTGTAGAGAGTCATTATCCTCAGGTAGGGATTATGGGTGATTTTTATTTTCTTCTTTTTACATATTCATTTTCTAATTTTCTGCAAAGCGCTTGTTTAAAAAAGAAAGAAAAAGGGGATGTTATCTAAGAAATATTTCCTGATTGCCTCTCACCTTCCTTAATCCTTCCTAGATCTGATGCTCCCACTGCCTGGCACTGTTTTAGCATGCGTGCTATTAGATCAATTGTAAGGGGCTAAGATTGTTCCCATAGGTGATTTTCATTACCTTTATAAACTCCTTGAGAGCTGGGGTTCTCTGTTTAATATATTTTTTTTTTTTTGATACGGAGTCTCATTCTGTCACCCAGCCTGGAGTGCAGTAGTATAATCTCAGCTCACTGCAACCTCCACCTCCCAGGTTCAAGTGATTCTCATGCCTCAGCCTCCCGAGTAGCTGGGATTACAGGCACCTGCCACCATGCCCAGCTAATTTTTGTATTTTTAGGAGAGACAGGGTTTTGCCATGTAGGCCAGGCTGCTCTCAAACTCCTGACCTCAAGAGATCTGCCCACCTTGGACTCCCAAAGTGCTGGGATTATAGGCATAAGCCACTGCGCCTGGCCCAATTTTTTTTTTACTGCAGAATTTAGTATAGGATGTTGTTCTTGGGAGTGCTACATTTTTTCTCCCCTCCCCGCCAGCCCCCATCTTTTATTCCTATGAGGTAGACAATAAAGAGAGTTGAATTCACCTTGCCCTTGGGGAAGAAGGAAGATGAAGACATTTCCCCCGGGCTGGGCAGAGGCCCAAATTAGCCCATGAGGCCAAAGGCAATAAATAATCCCCGGACCTCTGAGGTCAGGGCCCTGCCTCCTCCACAGCCACCCTGACCTGCATAATGGGACCACAGGCAGTTATGATTCATGCACACACTGCCTGGGCTCCTGCCAGCCCGGTCTGAAGAAGCTTCACAGTTGGAACTGGATAGGCCTAAAAATATGGCCCCCCAGGGACAGCTTGGGCCATGCTCTGGGGAGCCTGGTGGGGCTAGAGGCCTGGAGAGAGTTCTTAGAATCAATACTGGAAACACAGGGCTGATTCAGCCTTCTTCTGTCTGCAGCTGGAGCCCCAGGGAGAAATCAACAGCCATAACCCAACCAGACAGAGCAAAAAGAAATGAGTTTAAAGCACCAGAAGGAGGACTTAGATAATAATAATGCAGTGAGTGGCTTGGGCAGCAACTGTTGCAATAATATCACCTCCCATTTGTACAGGACTTTACTGTGCACAAAATGCTCTTACATATATTATCGTATTTGACCCTCAGGACAACCCTGTGAAATAGACAATCTTTGCCGGGATTTTCAAGTGAGAGAGTTTGGAACTCAGAGAGATTAATCAATTCACCAGAAGTCACACAGCTAGTGAGAGGCCAGGTCTTTTGACTTTACAATGCTAAAAGGGGATCTACCTGAATGAACCAGAGGACATACAGAGCTAAAGAATAAAGAAATGTCATAGTTATCTTTTAAGAATAGAAGACTCCCCACTATGTTTGGAGGAAGTTCAGATAGAGAATCTGGCTGGGGAGGAAATAAAATGACTCCCCAAAGCCTCAAGCTTATACCAGGGCAGGTGGGAGGGCAGAAGGGCTGTGCCCATGAACACCAGAGTGTATATTTTGCCTTCAAACACATAATCTCCTAGCACAGTGACAATAGAGACTTGGCTTCTATTTTTAGACACCAGTGGATGTGGAGGATGGGGTCAACGATGGAATTCTCAGCTCAGGCCTTAGACAAGACCCTCCACGGTGCAGTGTGTGCATGAGCAGAGGATGTAAGGAACTAGGGTGCAGGGAGAGTCAGACTAGTACTTATGAGATCTCAGGAAATTAGAAAGAAAAATAAATCTCTGAGTTTGTTTTTGTGAGCTCCAGAGGGGGATGGCAAGAGACTCAGTTGGGAAAAGCCAGCCAGGAAAACAGCTGCTCTGCCCATTCTATGAACGAAGAGGATGCATCCCAAGGGCCTATTTCCTCGTTCTAGAGAGTTTCCAAGGCAAGGCCTGAGTGAGGGTTTTTTGTTGTTGTTGTTTGTTTTGAGACAGGGTCTTGTTCTGTGACCCAGACTGGAGTGCAGTGGTATGACAATGGCTCACTGCAGCCTCGACCTCCCAGTCTCAAGTGGTTCTCCTGCCTCAGCCTTCCAAAGTGCTGGCTGGGACTGCCGGTGTGAGCCACCATGTCTGGCCCTGAGTGGATTTTCTCCTTGCCTCACCTTTCATTTCCTGCCCAGTGGAGTGAAGAGGATTCTCCAGGTTTCTCAGCCACCACAGTTGGTATCCTTACCTCCATGAGAATTATTCATACCCTGTGAGGTGGTGAACTGGCTTGATGGGCCTCTCTTCCTGGGCTTTGTGAGCCTCAGGAATGCTGCCCAGCCAGGCCCAAGTCCTGGTCTGCATCATCTTTGCCTTAAGGAGGATGGTGCAATCCTCCATCCCTTGGCCCCAAGTGCTCAGACAACTTTGTTTCAAGGAGCAGAGTACAGTCAGAAAAACAGAAACCACTCTAGGCATTTCAACAGAAAATATTTTATACAGGGGCTTGGTTAAATGGAAGGAAGCAGTCCTTACCTAGGTCTGGATGAACAATGAGGAGAACCTGGGGTTACCAGAACCGAGAAGCTCCGAGGAGGAACCCTGCAGCACTTGGAGCTACACCTCAAAGCTGGGGGTGCTGCCTGGGTGCTGCTGCTGCCTCTGAAGCTTGAAGGAGGGGCCCCAAGGCTCAGAGTTCTGAGGTGTGACACAGCTGCTGCTAATATCTTAGGAGCTTGGGAAGGGGCTCTGTGGAGTGGGGACTCAGATGTCCAAGAAGGGGGCACTGCCTGGCTGGTGCTGTGACCTCTTGGGGGGCGTGCAGTGAGGCTGGTATTGGGAGAGCCAATGAAGCTGTCAGTTGGAAGCAATTACTGGACAGAGCTTCTCTCCAGGCACGACACTGGCAGAAGCACCAGGCAAATAGGGAGCAACAAATCCTTTCTCATCTCCTTCAGCTTTCTCATCTCCCTCTAGCTCCCGCTAGATGCAGAGCCAAGCAGGAGCTAACTGGCAAAAGAGAAATGCAATTTGTAGCGTTCCAGAGCCTGTGTCCCAAAGCAGAACAGAGAAAGGTGGGGCATCCTCTGATTCCCAGAGGATGTATTCATGGGGGGATATTTTCCAGACAGGCATAAGAAACCTCAGAAGGTAGTTTGGACTCTCTTTCAGCCCATGCACTTGGCCATCTGTTTGAGTCTCTATTGTCTGATCTGTCAGTTCTTCATTTTCTATGACAGGTCCTGGGGCTTTTATACACTGCTTTTATTTATTTTTTTTAAATGAGAAGTTGGGACCACATCTCATTTTTATCCCTTTGGGGATCATCTTGATCCTCTGCTCCTTGCCCCAAACTGCACAAAGCCCACTTCCAAGTGATAGGAAAAAGGGAGATTCAACTGTCAAACAATAATAGCAAGATATTATCAATGTAGGCCTGTGATTGTGTCATATAAAAAATAAAATACACACCAGTTAATCAAAGCACTACAGACACTTTTAAGTAATCCCACTTTGGCTTTGCATAACTCCATACACTGCCGGCAGTGCTCTTGTCTACCACCAGAGACCATAATATACATCAAAAATTCTCCTTTAAATTTATTTTCAGTAAAGATTGGTCTTTTGAACTGCGGCAGTGGAGGCTTAAGGGTACAAAATCTCTCTCGCCTTTTTCTCTTTTCTTTTTCTGTCTCCCCCATCTTTCTCTGGTAGGGCGGTGACTCTGGGGCAGGGGAAGGGAGCAGCAGTGGGTTCCACACATCCTGTTGAAACTTCTGTCCTTTGCATGGATCAGTTCCTCTCATCTGACACTTGATTAAGTCATTAAAGCAGGAAGGTGAAGAAAGGTTGAGCTGCAGCAAAAAGGAGAGAGAGACAATTCCCTCCATTTGCTTGGGAGAACGCCTCCAATTGCTGGGCCCAAGGATGGTCTTGAGCTACCCCAGCTGGGATAACACAAACTTAAGGCTTTCTTAAAATCCCAGATTCTGTGACATGTACAACATTGGGTGCTTAGGGGCACAGATGACAACCCCACACCATTGTGGAATCCTTTCTTGCTGCCGTCACCAATAGGACAATGAATGAGATAGCCTTCCCAAATCATAGGGGGACGGTGGCAGGTCAGTTTGTCATGACAAACAGTATATTTTAGTGGCTAAACCTTACTCCTAGGTTTGAATTGGAATTTATTACTTCATAGCTGTATGACTTGATGTCAGGGATTTTTAAAATTGTGGTTAAATATACATGACAAAATTTACCATTTTAACCTTTTTTTTTTTTTTTTTGAGGCAGGGTCTCACTTTGTCCCCCAGGCTGGAGTGCAGTGGTACGGTCATGGTCACTGCAGCCTTGGCCTCCCGGGCTCCAGTGATCCTCCCACCTCAGCCTCCTGAGTAGCTGGGACTACAGGCGCATGCTACCATATCCAGCTAATTTTTTTTTTTTTTTGTATTTTTTGTAGAGACAAGGTTCTTCCACGTTGCCCAGATTGGTCTCAAACTCCTGAGCTCAAGTAATCCACCTGCCTCAGCTTCCCAAAGTGTTGAGATTACAGCGTGAGCCTCCGCTCCTGGCCCATTTTCACAATTTTTAAGTGCGCAGCTCACGGGTATTAGGTATATTCAGATTGTTGTGCACCCATCGCCACAGTCCATCTCCAGAACTTTTTTAGCCTCTTGAATTGAAACGTTATACCCATTAAACACTAATTCCTCATCCCACTCCCCACAGCCCCTGGTAACCACCATTCCACTTTCTGTCTCTACGGCTTTGTCCATTCTAGGTATGTCACAGAAAGGGAATCATGTAGCATTTGTCTTTTTTGTGCCTCGCTTATTTCACTTAGCATAATGTCCCCAGGGTTTGTCTGTGTTGCAGCGTGTGTCCCGGATGTCAGTCTTTGCTCTAAGTAGACTGAGAGTTGCCAGCTCATATACTCTGCTCCCTTGCCCTGCCTCAAAATGAAGAGTGGGCTAAGTGAAACCTATAGGGGGAAGAATGAGAATATATCCATAGACTCTTAGAGGTGAAGGGGATCTTAAATGTCATCTGATTCTACCTCCCACCATTGGGGGACATCCTCACTGTCAGCTCTGAGCGGGAAGGTGGACTGGTAAGAGTGGTAATCCTCTATATTTTTAAAGTAATTTATATTTTTTCCTGAGATGTTTCTATCCATGATTTCACTGGATCCTAACAACAATTCTAATATAGGTCCAGGCAGGTCTTATTTTCCTGGAAACCAAAGCCCAGAGGTAGAGTTGAATTTGCTTCTGAACAATTGTGACGGAGTCTCTTGTTTTTTAGTCTTCCATCCTTTCCCACAGTAGCCCAGGTTTGCAGACCTGTTTCTATTTCATTCTTTCTTTCTTTTTTTTTTTTTTTTTTTTGACAGAGTCTCACTTAGTCGCCCAGGCTGGAGTGCAGTAGCACGATCTCAGCTCACTGCAACCTCTGCTTCCCAGATTCAAGCGATTCTCCTGCCTCAGCCTCCTGAGTAGCTGGGACTACAGGCGCGTGCCACCAGGCCTGGCTAAATTTTGTATTTTTAGTAGAGATGGGGTTTCACCAGGTTGGCCAGGCTGGTCTTGAACTCCTGACCTCAAGTGATCCACCTGCCTCAGCCTCCCAATGTTCTGGGATTACAGGCATGAGCCACTGCACCCAGCCTCTATTTCATTCTTTATCCAAGGTTCACTTGACTCTCCCAATTTTCTTGGAGTTATCACTTCAAAATCCCAAGTAAGCTATATGAGCCTTCTAGATCATGTCCCAGAAAAAGAAAGGTGCTGCTTAGGAATTGTCGGATTTGAGCTGGGGTGAAGCTAAGAGCTCAGAACAGGGGGACCCCCTGCACTAGAGATTTCACAGCTTCATGAAGGCCACCATCTTGGGAGTTGGGAGATTCTTCTGGCATTTGAACTAAATTCCTTCTACAATAATAATAATTGTCTTCTGTTTTATCTTGAGATCAATGGAAGCAGAGAGGAATAGCTGCTGTCAATTACGCTATACCTGTACAAGACAAATTTCTCACCCAACCTCCTTGCCCTTGGCTGAATCATCCAATCCTGAACTTCCATGGAGAAGAGAGAAGTCCATGGACAGGGATTTTCCTCATCAGCTGCTCCTGACCACAGTATTGGGGTTTGAGTGCTCAAGGTGCCCCTAAGGAACCATCCCAAGGGTATTTTCCCTAGAGGTCTCTTAAGAGTTGGGTGAAATTTAAGAAGAGCAAGCTGCCTTCCATCTGCTATCCCCGGGGTCATGTGCCCCCAGATGGTGCAGGATGAGTGGGGGCAAAGGGCAAGGGGGAAGTATGTCAACTGGAACATCACAGAAGTCTAAATAAGGACTGTTCTGTTTGCCATCCATCTCTTAATTTTTTGATCTCACTAAAGGAATACAACCCTATAATAAACACTCCAGCCTTACATAAATAAGCACCAGCTTGCAACTGCCTCTGTAGCCAGCTCACTGGATTCCTGAGATTAAGAACACAGGTATACCTCTTAGAAGGTGTCACAGCTAGGAACTATAAAAGTCATCCACAATGAAAGTGATGAGACACTTGGGTGGGTAGCCAAATGGTGTTGGGGTGGGGTCGGAAATGGGGTAAATGCTACAGAAACAGCTTCCCTGGGGATAAGAAAGCCTAGGAGAAATGCTGGTGTCTGAACAGTCCAGATGTAGGAACAGTTGAAACAATCTTATTTGGGCTTGAGCAGCCAAAAGACTCTGGAAATCCAGGTCTGAGCCTCTGGAGCTTTCTTTTCAGCTGCCCCAGCTGCACATTCCTGAAAAGCCAGCACTTGCACGAGGCATCTCCCAACTCAGACATGAGTCACGCCAGCTTATTTTAAGTCCTGACCTCTTCCCGGGAAGGGACTCTGACATGGAAAGCCACGTGCTGTGAAGCAACCATGGACCCCGGCCAAGGGAAACAGAGGCCCCCAACAGCTTCCTGACAGTGTCCTTCCCAGAAGCCCAGTGTGAGCAAGGGCCAGGAGCAGCTGTGGGCACTCATGCCCCCTCCCTTGCCAGGGCGGAACAGTGGGCCGCACCACACCAGCAGCTCTTGTACCCACCGTGATGCTGCTGACGGCTGGGGCAGGGGGTGCCAGGCAGTGAGGGAAGCCCTGTGTGCTCCTCTTTCCAGGACTCTGGCCTTGGTTTTCCAGTCCACACCAGATTGTCCTGAAAGGCTACTGCAGTCCTTTGGGGATAAATGGACAGAGGGAGTATGAAGCCCATGCTCTCTCAGCCAAATGTATTTAAGCCTTTTAATAATTCATATCCCCATTTCCATACACAGCCCCACTTAAAGAGGGATCCCAGGGAAACCTAAAAGCTTTTCTGATTGCACCAGCTCATCCAGCATCTTCATAAAAGGTTCTCAACTGGCCTCTCAGAATCGACGGCAGCAATGCTTATGAAGAAAACTAATAGTTCCAGCTGGTAGTCATTGAAAAGTCACTTAATATTTCTCAGTGCAA
Organism: Homo sapiens; assembly: GCF_000001405.40. Lineage (NCBI taxonomy): Eukaryota > Metazoa > Chordata > Mammalia > Primates > Hominidae > Homo > Homo sapiens. Next base: position 115,623,781 of record NC_000011.10, read on the forward strand.
GGAGCTCAACTTAATGGGACACAATGTTTTTTCCCTAAGCAGTTGGGAAAAAAAAACCTTGACATCATATTAATAATGTCAAGTTTTATTGGCTCTCTTATTTGACATGATATTAAACTTTTCAGGCTCTATCTCGACTGAGGTACAAGGTTGTTAAAATGTGGACAGATTGGAGCGCTACAAAAATGTGGCATGGAAGAAATGCCTGTCCAGGTGAGTGTAGAGAGATGGAAAGCCGGTGACATGGGGCTTAATAGACAAATCTACTTTGCGGAAAAACTCTTAGTACGTCACCTCCTTCCCTACACTGCCTTCTTTCTGAGACCGATGATGCAGGCACCTTAGGGGAAGATGGGGCTTCAGAACTCTATGGCATAGGGTTGTTCATTGTCCTCTGCAAGTCTAGTTTTCTGGACAGAATAAAGTGAAGACATCATGTTAAGACAGATTACAGTCTATGAGCATAGCTTTGCTCCATAGCACCTCCTTGGGACAGAAAATTCCCTGGGTTTCTCCTTTTTTTTTTTTCTTTTTTTGAAGGAGTCTGGCTCTGTCACCCAGGCTGGAGTGCAGTGGCGTGATCTTGGTACACTGCAACCTCTGCCTCCCGGGTTCAAGCGATTCTCGTGCCTAAGCCTCTCCAGTAGCTGGGATTACAGGCATGCACCACAACGCCCAGCTAATTTTTGTATTTTTAGTAAAGAGATGAGGTTTCCCCATGTTGGCCAGGCTGGTCTCAAACTCCTGACCTCAAGTGATCCGCTCGCCTTGGCCTCCCAAAGTGCTGGGATTACAGACGTGAGCCACCATGCCCTGCAACTCCCAGGGTTTCTAATAATAATAACAATAGCTAACTAACATGACCTGGTGCAACCATGTGTCTGACACCATGCTAAGTACTTTCCCATGTTTACCCCTGTTGGATCCGCACAAAAACCAAAAGAGTTAGATGTTATTGTTGTCACCATTGTCCCCATTTTAAGAAAGAAAACTGAATGAAAGAGGCATCGTATGATTTTCTAAGTCTGATGGCTAGTAACAGACCTGGAAATCCTATTCAAATAGGCTATAGCCTGAAATTATATGCTTACCACCCTTCAATATAATGGGAGCCATTATGAAGATGAAATATGTCACATATGCAAAGTCTAGGGACCCCAGCCTGGCCCTTGGACCTCTCCCTACCCTGGACACCCGTCCTCTTTCACCATTTTCACTGTTGGGGACTGAGAGGCAACCAAGAGGGAGGTTTATCCAGCAGGCAGTCAGCACTGACTTCGCCTGTCAGGCGCAACACCATAAATAACATATTTTAACCAAAGAACACCCCAGCAACCCAATAATGCATATCTAAAGCCATTTTGACGTTGCAGAGATACAGTAATACTTTTATGCTTTGTTTAAAGAAATTGTTTGCAGCATATTTGTAGTGAAATCAGTCCAAAGAGTTTATTTGGGATGATTGATTTATAGGAATCCAGCTCCCATACCCAGAGGATGACACTTAAATCATATCTTCTTTTCATTTATAATAAGGAACAAAATGATCATATTTTGACAAGTCTGATCATTTTGGGGGTTGAGCAGGTTCCCTCAGTGGGCTCAGTCTATAGCTCACAGAACTGATAGAATATTATTATGTCTCATTAAAATCAGCTGCAGCTGCTTCAGATGGCGGCCCCAAAGAAAACAAAGCTGCTGGCAGTTTATCCTAGAGTAGTCAGTCTACCTACTGATTTTTAAGAAGGGGACAAGTGGAAATCTTTTCAGTTGTGCTTGCCAAAGCCCATCTTCCCTGGGTTTGAACTTAGAACATCTCCTTAAAACAGACCGGCCCCACCTAGGGCTGACATCACAAGTCTTTCTGTGTCCTCTCTCCCCGCTTGATGCTACAATGCTGCTGCAGCCTCTGGCCTTCTGACCCCACAGAGGCTGTATCCCATTTCTAGGACTAATGGGAATCTAAACTGCCCAGGCTTAATGGGGAGGGTGACATTTGCTGTTTTGGCACCTGCCTCCTCACTAAACCAAACAAGCCGGTTTTGTAGTTCTCATTTGTTTCCAGATTCACAGCCGGGGCAAAAGCCGCCTGTGTCACATCCCCAGAATCTGTGCTGTTATTTCCATATTTGTGTTCAGCTCCTGAGGCTGGGCTTTGGGTCATGCTGAGCAAAGTCTGCCTTCTGCCCTGTCTGAAAGTCCCCTTTCGCTCCCCTGCGAATGACGGCAGGACTCCTCTGCTGGTCTCCCCATCAGACTGGGGCCCGGCCCTGTACCGCTCCCACTTCTTGAGAAGTGAGCTCAGTCTGTGACAGCCACACAGTGAAAAGACCGGAAAAGTTCTCCCGGAACAAAACCTCACCAAGTTCTCGGGGTCCATGGCAGTCTGCGTAAGAGTAGTACAGTGAAAGAGCTTCCTTCTCTCATCTCCCTCTTTCATCTTCCCTAATCCCCTCCCCTCAACTTATCTTTTTTTTCTCTCTGCCTCCAGCCCCCCTCCTCTTTCTATTCACTATCAAGAACAGCCAATTTAGCGGGCAGCCATACAGTTCCAGCAGAAGGCCCTGGGATCAGTGGCTATGGGGAATGGCACAGCCAGAAGGAGAAATCAAAGATGAAATGAGCATTTGGATCTTGCTTAAACTGAAGTTTAGCACCCTCTATGCATTATTCATGTGTGACATCGTCACCCTCTTCTCTACACTCTCCACTGAGCTACAAGAGAGCCCTGAATCCTCATGGCTTTGAAATAATTTGCACAATGACACTGATCTATCTTCAACCCTGCAAACGCCCCATAGAGGGCCAAGTTTTGGTCTGGCTCAGGTACAGGTGCAGGTCAGGTCAGCATGAAACCACAATCATACCCTTTTGGCAAGACACTTCAAGGAAGTGGGTAATGATTCACATTTGGTGTTTAGCTTTTGATACCTGTACCAAATGGTCAAAACCCTAAGCAAGCAACTGGTCTTGATTGGATTGTTTAAAAATATGAATTATTGACCTTGGGCAAGTCATTAGATTTCCCTGAGCTTTGATGTTCCGTCTCCAAAACTTGGAGTCCATGATGACTTCCTTACAGGGATGCTGTGAGGACTGAATTAGTTAATACGTATATGTGGACATGCTTTGTAAACTATAAAATACTGAATGAGTATAAAAGCAATTTAAAAAGGCCGAAGTGTATCAGGCATTCACGATGTGCTTGGTATTATGCAATTGGCACTTACTTGCTCATTTAATCTTCACAGAAATCCCCATGAGGTTGATACTATTATTCCCCCTCCTTTTTTTTTTTTCATGTCAGGCGGGTAATGTGCTGACGTTGTAACAAGGTTTGAAGGAGGCACATCTCACACATGTGCCTGAACACCCAATCATCTCGCTTATGAACTACAAAAGGACCTCCCCTTTCTTAAGATGAGGAAATTCAGGACACTCAGAGAGGTGGTTAAGGGAAGTCCAGAGCTGAGATTCTAGTCTAGGCTGTCTCTTCCCTCCCACTTTGCAGGTACCCATTCCAGACTGAGGAGCAGGTAAGTCTCCTGGCTTTATGCAGAAACACAAATATTGATTTACCAACAAGTCAAATATTTTCCCCTCCTTGGAATGCTCCTAAGCTGGAGGCACTTGGACATCTTGGGCCTCTGCTACTTCATTTACACTGGTTTTCCATTGACCTGAATGGGTGGGCCAGTGACTATTTGCAAGGTTGGTTGGGAAGGGTTGGCTCTCAGCTTGGGATTCCTAGAACAGGTGCACTTGGGGGCCTCCTCTTGGCCTCCACCTCTGCGGATCCCAGGGCCAATCTTTTGTCTCAACCCATTTTCTCAGGAACTCATCTAAGAGAGCTACCCCCTGGCGGGAGTAAGCTACCATCTCCAAGGGCCAGCACAGAACTTTGGGAGTGCCAATTGTGGAGAGAAGGGGGTGTTAGGAGAGATCGTCCCAGAGGATTACAGTGACAGGACACTTAGCCCTCCTCACAGGCACGAGTTTGGAATAATTACCCAGGGCAGACTCTCTGAAAGAGGAGGTAAGCTGGCTAAGGCTCTTAGAAGGCAGGCCTGATGACATTGTTATGTATCAGTCCAAGGCTCAGGACGCGGCGGGGTCAGGTATTAGCTGATTATCTGATTCTGTCAGCAGAGAGCTTTCAGTGAGTCCACAGAGCCAGCCCCCAGATTTCCGCACAGAAACGCTAAGCTTAGACACCTGCAAAGGAGTCCTCGTGTGAAGTTCTGCCCCTGGAAGGTGTCCTGGGTACTTACAGTATCAGCACTGGAGGCAGATCCTGCAGCTCCGAAACACCCTCCAAGCTTCACGTTGCCACACGGTTCTGGGAGATGAGGCCATGGCAATCTGTGGCTTCCCTTGCTCCTGAACTTGAGCCTCTGATTCCCTCTCCTGTTGGAGGCTTTAACACGGTCAGTCTACAGACACCAGTTTTGGCTGTTGAAAAGCTTTCCACCTCCAACCCTGCTGGGGGTGGAAGAGAAGGACAGAAGGGGAGTGAGGAAGAGCCACTTCTGTGACAGAAATCAAAGCCAAGGCAGGCAGACATGTAGGTGGACTTGAGCGGCAATTAATTCTTTTCAATCAGGAGAGAGGCCCAAATGACAAGAGGAGGCACTAAATTTAGACATAAAGAAGAACTTACTTGGTTTTGAAGGTTAGCCAGGATACCTCTAATAATTGTGTTATAATAAATATAATTTTATTATTTACTATATTTACTGTTCTATCAACTTTTCTTTTTCTCTTCTTTTCTTTTTTCTTTTTGAGACAGAGTCTGACTGTGTCACCCAGGCTGGAGTGCAGTGGCGTGATCTCGGCTTACTACAACCTCTGCCTCCTGGGTTCAAGCAATTCTCCTGCCTCAGCCTCCAGAGTAGCTGGGATTACAGGTAAGTACCACCATGCCTGGCTAATTTTTGTATTTTTAGTAGAGACAAGGGTTCACCATGTTGGCCAGGCTGGTCTCGAACTCCTGACCTCAGATGACCTGCTCACCTTGACCTCCCAATGAACTTTTTAATATTGTGTCACTTAATCCTTCCAACTACCCTATGAGAGAGGTATGATCATTAGATTTCTATTTTACATCTGAGAAAGCTGAGGTCCAGGTAATTTTTTTTTTTTTTTTTTTGAGATGAAGTCTTGCTCTGTTGCCCAGGCTGGAGTGCAATGGTGCAATCTCAGCTCACAACAGCCTCTGCCTCCCGTGTTCAAGCAATTCTTCTACCTCAGCTTCCCAAGTAGCTGGGGTTACAGGCATGTGCCACCATGCCTGGCTAATTTTTTTTTTTTTTTTTTTTTTTGTATTTTTAGTAGAGACGGGGTTTTGCCATGTTGCCCAGGCTGGTCTCAAACTCCTGACCTCAAGTGATCCACCCACCTTGGCCTCCCAAAGTGGTGGGATTACAGGTGTGAGCCACTGTGTCCAGCCAGGTCCAAATAATTGAAATAACTCATCTAAAGTCAGCAATTTGAAAGAGACAGAATCAGAATGTAGACCCAGGCAATCCGATGCCACAGTGCAGGCTCCCAGCTACTGTTTTCCAGGTGCCTCCATAGAAAGAATGGAGAAATGCTGGGGAGAGCTCCATCTGGCCTAGTTGGGTACACACCCGGGAGACAGAGGACTTCATGGAGGGCATTCAGGCTGTGGGGATCTGTGAATGTGGCATTGTCACTGATGTGGCTCCTTCCTTTTTTCCCTTCCCACCCAATTTCTCCATGTAGCACCCCTCCCACAAGCTAGCAGGAGGGTGGAAGTGAGGATGAAGGATCCTTGTGGAAGCTGAGTCCAGCCCAGGATGCCTCTGCCCACTTCTGCTCTGCTCTTAGCACAGGTGCCTGGCTCCCACCTGTTGAGTTACAGGCCACTGACTTCCAAGTCAGGCCAGGAGGTCAGTCATCTTTTCCACCGATCCTCTGCCCTGAGCTGAGTTATCTCGCACAAGTGGTACCCACTGGACCCCGTAGCTCTGGCCCTGCTGGAACTCCCTCGCAGCTTAGCAGGGGTTTTAAATCTGGCCCATGAGGCCTTGTCAGTTTCAAGAGCCCCCCCTGACCTTTTAATAAACATTTCCTTTGTTATCAGAATTATTTCCTAATTCATTCCCTTCTGTCCCTGAAAATCTAAATCCTATTTAAGTTAATGCCCTTCATTTTCATTTATAAAGACAGATACAAAATAATTATTTCCTATCTCCGTGGTTTCCTTATCTCCCGTCCTAATAATGCCTTCAGCAGATGAACATTCCCTGTCAGTTGAAACAGTTGGAGTGTTTGTTTTTTTCACTCTTTAAAGAAGAAAAATAAAATGCTTTCTCAGGCTTTGTCTCTTCTCTTCTCCTCTCTCCTCTTTTCTCTTTCTGCCTTTCTCGGCTCTTTTCTTCTCACTATCTGCTTTTCTCCCGGGCGCCCCCTCTCCCTCTTCTGACCCCCACAGTGACCCTTTCTCTCCCTCTCCTGCACCCTCTCCTGCTGTCCTGGCCCTTGCCCAGCCCAGTGTTGCTGGGCGCCTCTCATTTTCCTGTCCGTAGTGCAATTTCTCTGCGGCCTCACATCTGAATTTCATCAGCCCATGAGCCTGCCTTTGAGCTCAGGTCCCCCCAGCTAGTAAAACTGGTTTGGATGAGCAGACGCAGTCTCGAAAAGAAACATTCTTTGGTTTCCTCTCATGACAACTAGTGAGCAGAGAATTCACAGTTCCCTTCTCCGGGCGCCTCTTTGAAGTGTTTGATTGAAAGGAGAGGGGATGGAAAGGAATGGGGTGATGGGGGTTGGTAGTGGCGGGAACAAGGATTCCAGCTTTAACTAGCAACTCTGAAACCAGCGACCCAGACTTCCGGCGACCCTCTCTGTTCCTTGCCCATCTGGGTAGGGGAGATGCTGACTGATTTTTGGCTATCTGCACCAGATCCAGTCTTCCACCCTCCTCTCTTTTGTTTTCCAGTAAAACTCAACACACAATTTAAATCCAGGGTTTGGGAGAAAGTCATTAATAGAGTAGCTGATTTTAAGGGAACTGGTTCTGTTCTCAGAAAGCAGTTGTTCAAATCCTAACCATTAGCACATGCTGAATGCCTTCTATATGCCAGCTATGTAAATGATTTCATTTACTTCTCATGAGGACCCTGTGACCTAGCAGCTACTGTTTCCCCATTGTATGGATGAGGAAACTGAGGCTCAGAAAGACTGGGAAACTTGCTCACAGCCCTCGACCAGCAGAGGTACAACCAGGCCTCGAATCCAGGTTTTGCTTCATATCCCTCACTCTCTGACATACAGGCCTTCAAGAGAAAGGATTTCTGTCACTCCTCTGGCTTTAAAGTCTTTGTCAAGGCCAAGAAGGAACTATGAAGAACTCTTCTGTGACGGTATCTAACAGGTGGTCTCTGAGCTCTTTTATCTTTGGTAGAGAATGCAGATTACTAGGCACAAAGATTTAAAAAAACCCACGAGAGAAAAATGTTTGAAAGCATGGTGCTACAGAGAGGTCAAGGACTAATGGATGGGGAACGGAATGTACCTACATCAAGTCCCTTCATTTTATAGTCAGGGAAACTGAGGCCTAGCAAGAGCTGGGTCTCACTCCTGCCTTCACTTAGCTCAGCAGCTAAGACTTGCTGAACCCACAAAGAGCTTTCCTTCATCATCTGGAGGGAGATACGGAAGCCACCTAGGGGTTACCCCAGAGAGGCCAGGAGACTTAGAGTAAAGAAGGAGCGTAGGATGGCCAGCAATGGCCAGAGGCTTCAGGATAAATGAGCAGTCATGAGGTAACACTTCTAGACTCCTAAACTCTGAAAGGGTAAGAGTCCCCATGGCCACAAGTCCTAAAAGAGGTACCCATTTTTGGTCAGTGGATAGGGCTGGTTAGCGAGTGCCACCTTTCTTTTGGCTCCCTGGCCTGGGGTACCTGATCAGGCCTTGGGGAGCAGGTGACCTGGTTGCTCATATCACTTGGGCTCAGTGACATGCACAGGACCTTGCAAATACGATCAATGCAACGTTTGTGCAGCTCAGGCTGGAGGGCAGGAAGGATAATGTCAGCAAGGAGGTTCTCATAGCTGGAGACTATTTGCAAAACAGTGTAAATCAAACAACTCTTTCATAAGAGTGGGACACGGGGACCCAAAACCTTGGCAGTTGAAAGAACATCTCCCAGTTTGATGTTTGAAAGGTGATAAGAAGCCTTCCTGTCTCCTTGTCATCCTGTGATGCCACCATTAGAACCATTTTCTTGATTCTAGGAAGCACCTCTAAAAATACATATATGTAACTATTAATAGTATAGAAAAGCATGCTAAGCCATGGGTGTAACTGGTTTGATGTGGAGCCATGAAGGACTGGGGCTCCAGGGCAAGTATGGTTTGGTAGGTGTGTGAGTTGCTAGCCACGGGGCAGAGGGTGGATTTTGAAATTATCTGAGTATAAGTTCGTTCCTTCAGTGGGGAATCAGGACCTTGGAGAAGGAGAGGAATGGGAGAGGGCTTGGGGAAGGGAGAAGCAATCCTACAGTGTGTCTTCTGCACACAAAGGAGGCATGGCTAATCTCACATTGTTTATGACCACTGCTCTGGAGTGAAGGGAGATGTTGCATAGTGCAGAGAAAAGCAAAAATGATCTGGGAATGACCAGAGCTGGGTTCTGGTGCCACAGCTGTTTCTCAGAGCTTGAGTTTCTGGTCCCATAGAAAGAGGGTGTATAGTTATCAGAATTTTCCAAACCTCAATTTATTCACACACTATTTTCATAAGTTTCATCAGAGCTTCAAATATATATTTTTTCAATTGGCTTTTTTTTTTTTTTTTTTTTTTTTTGTGAGATGGAGTTTCACTCTTGTTGCCCAGGCTGGAGTGTAGTGGCATGATCTTGGCTCACTACAACCTCCATCTCCCGAATTCAAGCAATTCTCCTGCCTCAGCCTCCCAAGTAGCTGAGATTACAGGTGTGCACCACCACACACCCAGATAATTTTGTATTTTTAGGAGAGATGGTGCTTCACCATGTTGGTCAGGCTGGTCTCGAACTCCTGACCCCAAGTGATCCACCTGCCTTGGCCTCCCAAAGTGCTGGGATTACAGGTGTGAGTCACCATGCCCGGCCTCAATTGGTTGACTTTTAAAATTTGTCCTCATTCTGAACATACTAATGGGTTTGCTGTGGAAGTCATACTGTGTCCGGAATTGGTGGGTTCTTGGTCTCATTGACTTCAAGAATGAAGCCGCGGACCCTTGCGGTAAGTGTTACAGTTCTTAAAGGCAGCGTGTCCAGAGTTTGTTCCTTCTGATGTTTGGATGTGTTCGAAGTTTCTTCCTTCTGGTGGGTTCGTGGTCTCGCTGGCTCAGGAGTGAAGCTGCAGACCTTCGCGGTGAGTGTCACAGCTCATAAAGGCAGTGTGGACCCAAAGAGTGAGCAGCAGCAAGATTTATTGCAAAGAGAGAAAGAACAAAGCTTCCACAGTGTGGAAGGGGACCCAAGTGGGTTGGCACTGCTGGCTCAGGCAACCTGCTTTTATTCTCTTATCTGGCCCTACCCACATCCTGCTGATTGGTAGAGCCAAGTGGTCTGTTTTGACAGGGCACTGATTGGTGCGTTTACAATCCCTGAGCTAGACACAAAGGTTCTCCACCTCCCCACCAGATTAGCTAGATACAGAGTGTGGACACAAAGGTTCTCCAAGTCCCCACCAGAGTAGCTAGATACAGAGTGTCAATTGGTGCATTCACAAACCCTGAGCTAGACACAGGGTGCTGATTGGTGTGTTTACAAACCTCGAGCTACATACAGAGTGCCGATTGGTGTGTTTACAATCCCTTAGCTAGACATAAAAGTTCTCCATGTCCCCACCAGAGTAGCTAGATACAGAGTGTGGATTGGTGCATTCACAAACCCTGAGCTAGACACAGGGTGCTGATTGGTGTGTTTACAAACCTTGAGTTAGAGACAGAGTGCTGATTGGTGTATTTACAATCCCTTAGCTAGACATAAACGTTCTCCAAGTTCCCACTAGACTCAGGAGCCCAGCTGGCTTCACCCAGTGGATCTCGCACTGGGGCTGCAGGTGGAGCTGCCTGCCAGTCCTGCGCCCTGCGCCCACACTCCTCAGCCCTTGTGTGGTCGATGGGACTGGGCGCGTGGAGCAGGGGACGGCGCTCGTCAGGGAGGCTCGGTCTGCACAGGAGCCCACAGAGGGTGGGGGGAGGCTCAGGCATGGCGGGCTGCAGGTCCCGAGCCCTGCCCCACGGGAAGGCAGCTAAGGCCCGGCGAGAAATCCAGCGCAGCGCCTGTGGGCCGGCACTGCTGGGCGACCCAGCCCACCCTCCGCAGCCGCTGGCCCGGGTCCTAAGCTCCTCATTGCCCGGGGCCGGCAGGGCTGACCGGCTGCTCCGAGTGCAGGGCCTGTGAAGCCCAAGCCCACCCGGAACTCCAGATGGCCCGCAAGCGCTGTGCGCAGTTCCGGTTCCCGCTCGCGCGTCTCCCTCCACACCTCCCTGCAAGCTGAGGGAGCCAGCTCCAGCCTTGACCAGCCCAGAAAGGGGCTCCCACAGTGAGCGGCGGGCTGAAGGGCTCCTCAAGTGCCGCCAAAGTGGGAGCCCAGGCAGAAGAGGCGCCGAGAGCGAGCGAGGGCGCACGCCGTCACCTCTCAATACTTTCTCTAACGTATATTGAAACAAACTATTAAGTTCATTTAAGGCCCATCTGTGGGCCACCTAAAATTCCCTTTTGTGTTACCCATTCAGGAACTCTGGGCCAGGTGAGCGTGGTCCACTCCTCCCCCATTTCTGTGACTCTATGGTGTTTTACACAAGGGAATACCTTCCTTTTCCTTTCTAAATGGAGGACGGGATTTGCAGAAGCTCTGAGTCCCTACTGGGAAAGAGAAAAAGATCTGCATGTTTCACGGATGCTGAAGCCAGATTCTGAGAGGAATGACAAAGTCATTGCTAATTGCAGCCAATTACTCTATCGGGTGGTACTGGTAGGGAAAATGACTTTAAGTCTAGAGTTGCCTTGGAAAGAATTACCATACTGGTAAGTAATTTTGACTCGAGTAATTTTTAACGCTAAAATTTGCTACAAGTACTTTGAGAATTAAAAAAAAAAGAAGGCCATGCCTTCATTAGAGCATAATAAGGCAGTTTTGTAATTAATAAGCTAAGCTACTAGTCACACCTGTAATTTGGGGTATGAAGATAAACGTTCACTATGTATTCTTTGTTTCTCCTTTTTCTGAAGAGTGGAATTATTTTCTTTCAGTTTCCCAGGGCCTGAGAAAACCCACTGGAAGGTGCCCTAGGTTTTCCAGGAGACCTTACTTTCTCTTCATCCCTTAGACTAAAGGCACAAACATCCACTGAAAAGGAATGAGACCGTGTGTCTTCAGCTGGGGCTTCTAATTCCTCCTGTGTCTTCTCCTAGCCATGAGAGAGTGGCTGGTTTCTTCTGTTTTCTGTGTGCCTCAGTTTCATCATCTATAAAATGAATATGAAGTGAAATGGCCTGCCTGAACACTGTGTGTGTGTGTGTGTGTGTGTGTGTGTGTAAACTCTAAGCTGCTGCTACACTTTTTTTTTTTTTTGAGACGGAGTCTTGCTCTGTTGCCTAGGCTGGAGTGCAGTGGGGCCATCTTGGCTCACTGCAACCTCCACCCCCTGGGTTCAAGCAGTTCTCCTATCTCAGCCTCCTGAGTAGCTAGGATTACAGGCTCGGGCCACCACGCCTGGCTAATTTTTGTATTTTTAGTGGAAATGGGGTTTTGCCATGTTGGCCAGGCTGGTCTTGAACTCCTGACCTCAGATGATCTGCCCACCTGGGCCTCCCAAAGTCTGGGATTACAGGTGTGAGCCACCGCGCCTGGCTGCTGCTAAGTCTTTAAGCAAATACAGACATGATATAATTTAATGAGTTTATCATTTTATTTATTCTCACTCATTAAGTACCTAGTAAACACTATCACTTAGTCCTTCAGTCCATCCATCTATCCACTGATTCACATTTTCAACAAATATTTATCAAGTATCACTTATGTGCTGGATGCTGAAGGCGATACAAAAGAAGTGTAAGGGAGAGTTTCTGCCCTCCAAGACCTTATGACTTTTTTTTTTTAATAAAAAACGATGTTGGCATATGAAAGTTAACTAGCAACATGATTTAGCAGGAGCCAATTACACCATGAATGATGCAGAGGATAAACATTCTAAGAAGTAACTTTTATATTATATAGTTTCAAATAGCTAGAAGGATATTGAATGTTCCCAAGACAAAGAAGTAATAAATGTTCAAGATGATGGGTATGCTAATTACCCTGATCACTATACATTACATATATATCTATCAAAACCTCATTATGCGCACCATGAATATGTACGATGATTATATATCAATTAAAAAAAAAGAAAAAAGGGAAAAGAAAAAATCCTTTGAAAAATAATTTAGAGAAGGAGAGAAAGATGTTTGTAGGGGGATAGATTAAGAAACAATTGGGCAAGAGGAGACTTGAGCAGGGTATTGAAGGATGAATTCCATTTGTGTTGGAAGAGAAAATGATAAAGGTTAAGAAATGGGCATTTTCAGCCGGGCGCAGTGGCTCACTCTTGTAATCCCAGCACTTTGGGAGGCTGAGGCGGGTGGATCACCTGAGGTCAGGAGTTCGAGACTAGACTGACCAATATGGTAAAATCCTGTCTCTACTGAAAAATACAAAAATTAGCAAGGTATGGTGGCAGGCACCTGTAATCCCACCTACTCGGGAGGCTGAGGTAGGAGAATCGCTTGAACCTGGGAGGCGGAGGTTGCAGTGAGCTGAGATCGCTCCATTGCCCTCCAGCCTGGGCAACAAGTGAAACTCCATCTCAAAAAAAAAATTTTTTTTTGTATTTTTTTTTGCATTTTCGATAGAGTATCAGCTCTCTGCCATCTACTTGCTGTGGGACTTTTGGCAAAACTGTTAACCTCTCTTATCCTCAATGCTTTCTTCTGTAGAATGGGAGTTGGCCTGGTTGCTATAAAACTTTACGATCCAGTGAAAAGATAATCTTGACAAGGGAAGAGCATGAGTGATTTCAGTACAGAGGCAGGGGAAAGACAATGACCTTCAAATGACCTTTCCTAATATGCCCAGAGTGACTGTTCTGCATCAGGAAGCATGGGCTATGTTTGAATTGAGGGCCATAGCCTGGAGGTCTGATCCGAATTCCCTTTCCCTGGACTGGAAGAAACACAGTCTCACTATCTTGCCAACAACTGCCTGTGGCAAATTCAGTACCCGGCTTGATGCAGCATTTGGAGGAAAATTTTCCATGAAAACAAAAGTTTTTGCTTAATTATTCAGCACACTCATGCATTTAAAAATACTGTCCACTCTCTAACTAGCTGTCTTTTTAATAAAGCTTCTTGTCTCCCAAGGAGCTCGGCTCCCATTGTCTAAGGCTTCTTTATAAAGAACTCTGGGCCAGGCATAATCCCAGCTGTCCCTGGGTTTAGAGTGAAGCTTCCCCAGGCAGAGTGAGGTGTCTGAACTGCTTTTCCACAGAGATATGAGGAAAGCACATCTGAGCTCCCTAGGGGCTGGTGTAGGCAGAGTGTGGATGGCCATTAGACAGTGAGACAAGGTCATTTGCCCCTAGCGTGGCTGGTGAGTTTAAGGGGATCAGAAAAGTCTTTCTCCATACTGTTTCTTCATCCAATTTTATTTATCCATTCATCTGACATCTACTCATCTGGCCATCCATCCAACACATATTTGTTGCCTACTGTGTACCCAACACTGTTCTATGTCCTGAGACCATCTGTACAGAGAAGAATCAATGTAGAACAATTTTCAGAGGAAACTGGGAATTTTTCTAATGGCCTAGAGGAGACCTTGCAGTTTTTGCCTTTCCCCAATTTATTATCTGATTTCTTTGGAACTTGCTTGATGCATGGCGTTTGGGAGACCTGGCTCCACTGATAGAGATTATCTCATCACGAGGAGGGGTGTCAGACCTCAGCTCCCAGAGGGCAGAAACGTGCTTGTCTTGCTGACTTCATGCACAGTTCAGCCCAGCACTAGCTCAGCAGAAGGTGGATAACTGAAGGATCTGGATGGTTAAATGCTATTTATCAAAACAGCAGCCCACTTAGATACCAGAGTTGCCGCATTTAATGCAGTTACCAACCTACGTGTGTCCCCTTAATATTCTAGCCTACTTCCCCAGTCTCCTTGCTGAAGATGCCAGGAACAGCAACATCAAAGAAAGAGAAAGTGCCTGAAGTTGGAATAGTGAGTCATTCTGGAGTGAAGCCAGCGAATTGGGAGGGGCTGTCACTTTGCCCATGATCCTGCCAGAGGGTCTTTCTGCCACCATTTACCTTTTCTGAGGCGCTGACTTCTTTCTAGCAGGGGTGGAGACGTGGGTTGGGTGGTGATGGTTTGAGGAATGGAGTTTGCAGTCATCTCCAACTCTGGGCCATAGAAGGCAGTTCAGGCTTACCAATCATTTGATTTCCACAGCTAAATAGAGGACAGTGAGAGGACAGTAGCATTCAGAAAGAATTTAGGTAGACATTTGGGAGGACTTCCTGACTCTAAGGTCCCAAAGAGACTGAAAAGTTAATGAATTAGCCATGGCCATTGGTTTCTTCATCTGTTAAACTGGGATAAATTCCTATCTTGAAGGTGGCTATAATGACAGGATTTAAAGAGATAATGTATCTGAGGGCCCCAAGCACAGTGGTTGACACATAATAAGCACTTAATCCTTGTTGAATCTCGAATTTGAATATGATTCCTGGAGAGGAAAGAGAGGCTTCTTAGAGAAGGCAGCCTCTAAGCTGGACCATGTACATTGCTAAGAATATTTTGGCCAATAGGATACTGCTTTTTAAGGATTTCCCCCATGGACAGTCCATCTTGCAAATGACTCTTCTGATATTGACTTTAAAAATAAAATTGTTATCCTGAGCCTCTTTTGGAAACATAAAAAACAAAGTGCAAAGAGATCACTGCCGTTCTCAGATTCTGTGATTTGCCCATACCAAGAGTCAGAAGGTCTCCAGAGCCATTGGCACTGAGATCTGAACATAAGCTATGGTTTCTGAGCAGGTAGGAGAAAATAAAACTCCAGTATTTTGTCAATAAGTGCCTTAACTCGGTATTGCTAAGCTTATTATTTCCAATTCCCTATTCTTTTCTTACATCAAAAGTTAAAAGAGTAGGGATTCTCTACTTTGTCCCACTAAAGACAATAGAGTAGATAATAGGATGGCATTACAGCAGTGCAGATTTATAGTAGACATTGGCAAGAACTTTGAGATAGGAAAGAAGGGATTAAAATTGGACTGGATAGCCAGAGCTAGCCTGAGATTCTTTTTCAGACATCTTCAAGAATGGGAGAGGCTACTGTCTACCTAACACAGGTGCCTCATAAGATTACCTTGTAAGATTTCTTCCAGATCCAAGATTCTCCAGAGACAAGGCTGAGAAACAGTTGTCATGCTTAACTTCAGAAGCTGCTGAGCGTGGCCAGGGTCAGAAGCGGTCCCTTCAGAGGGACCTATGTTTTGTTTCTGCTGCCATTTGGTAAAGGGAGTCACCAGACTGGGAGAATCGTTTGACAAGTGAGGTCAGGGAAATGGCAATTTTTGATCCCAGGTGGCGAGAAAGCCTCCCAGTGAAGGTAAACAGAAGTGGAGATAGATCAAGGGGTGAGGGGTCAGTCCATTAGAAGGCTGACAAGGCCAGCTGTCTTCTGGAGTGTCTGGAGGGAGGGATGCTGATGTGATTGACCTCAGTCTTGGGATGGGAGCAGGAGCGGGGGAAAGGACGTGAGTAGCAGGATGGAGGAAGGAGACCACGGCAAGAGTGAGAAAGGGGCATCTCTAGCCCAATTTCTGCACATGGATACTGCTAGCTTTGGGCAGTTTAGCCTTGTGCTGCAGTTGTGCCAAGTGGAGTTGAGAGGTTGGCTAAAAAAAAAAAACCCAAAAAACCTCTTACTCATTTGCATGTGGTATTTGCATCTCATTTGCATATATTCACTTAATGTCAGATGTGCACAATTTTCCAGCTTCTGCTTTTTCGCCTCCCCAACTTCCCACCTTGTGCCTTCATCTTCCTTTCTCAACACCTCTTCCTCACCCCATGAGTATTTTCTCCTTATTGTGTTCTCTTCTTCCTACAAAGTAGTATGAAGAGCACAGCTTTGCTTCCGGGTAGAACTGCACTTTTGTCCAGGCTCCTCCATGTATCTGTCTTTTGGTCCTCAACAAACCTGTGGTCTCTCATATGCTCATCTGTAAAATGGGAACAATAATATCTATGTCTCAGAGTTGTTGTAAAGAATAAACTAAATAAAATTAGCATAAAGCACCTGGCCCTGCAGTAGGAACTTGACAAGTTGTGCCAGTTCTGGTCCCAGCTCTCTCTTCATGCCTTCTATATCAATTTAGGGAAACTGCGGCGCTGGAGTTGGTGTTTTCCTTGGAACTGATGGATAAGCAAGTTGATTCTTTAAATCGTCATCTTTCTTGGTCATGTGTCCAAGCTGCATTTACAACCAGGGGAAGGGCAGGAGAAACAGTGTGAACAACAGTGTTCCTTTTGGACATCTTCCAGTGTCTTCTAACTGAGGGCTTTTCTCATTCCTCTTCCCCAGTGTCTGAAGCCTGAGGATGCCCTGGTTCCTAATCCCAGGGCAGGGCAGACTGCTTTCTCTGTAGCCTCCCAGCTTCACAGCAGCCTGATCTCCAAAGCCTGGGGCACATCCCCAAATCCCTGGCTCCACCGCTGTCCCTGATGAAGATGCCTGGGTCAGCTTCCAAGAACCTCTTGCTTCTCTATCCAAACAGCATCCTGGCATCTCACCAGGCACTGGCTTCAGAGTTTGTATTTTGGGAGATGTATAGCAAGGAGAAAATCGTTAAATCTCCACTCTGCATCCTGAAAAGTAACTTCTGTGAAACTCTCCTTCCATCTCCTCATCAATTTCAGTCAGCTGTTTTTGTTTTCTCTTTTTCTCTGAAGCAAGGGCAAGGAGTTGTATTGTAAAATGATAGTAGCTGATGCTAGAGCAGCATTTACTATGTGCCACTTACTGTTCTAAGCACTCTATGTATATGATTTCATTTAATTCTCATGACAGTCTTATGAAGTAGATATCCCCATTTTACAGATGAGACTAAGAAGTTTAAAAACTTGTCCAAGGTTTTACAGCTAGGAAGGACGGAGACAGAATTTTAATCTAGCCAGTCAGCTCCAAAATCGATTTTCTTAACCACTTGTCACAGTGGATTAACACAGGGAAGATGTGTCTGGAATGAAAAGTAATGAAGGTTTCCAAGTTTGGGATAAGAAATAACAGAGTCATGTTGTAGTAAGCGGGATTAGGTGGGACATCAGGTAGAACTTTCTACTTATAAGAATTGATAGCAGGGCTAGTAGCATCGTATGATACCCTGGTAGCAAATGGTGGCTCTCTTAGAGTCTGCAAAAACCACATGTTCCTCTGTGTGGAGGAAAGGCGATATCTATAGGTGAGGAGCTGGGACTGGGAAGAGGATTAAAGACTTCTGGAAAGTGATCAGAGAATCGATCCTCAATCAATATTTGGTGAGTATTATGAATAGGGTACTTAAATAGGAATTTGCTGAGATTTTTTTCTGGGCAAGGCCTTATGCCAGACACCAAGGAAGGATGAGCCAGGTCACCTCCTTGGGATCTTTCCAGGTTCAGAAGACCTTAAAGCCTCATAGTATGGGCAGGGGGAGGGAAGATTGATGGCCTCTACTTTTCCTTCTTGCTTCTGCTATGTGTGGTCCAGATCTCAGTCTATGCCTTCTCAGGTCCAGGAGCCCTTGCCCCTGGACTGGGACAGCCCCACAATCTCTGGACTCAATCCAGACTTGGTTCCAGGCCTCCTTCCCAAGTAGGCTTGAGTAGAACAACGTCCCTTATCAGCAGGTCTGTGAGGCTGTCTTCCTCATTTCCCTCTAAAGGCTCATTTGAACCTTATCTACCCAGTTTTTAAGAGGGTTTAGTTTCAGTTCTTTTTGACCTATCATCTGGTCATCAATTTATAGGAGAGTCATTTCGTCACTTAGTTATTGGTTCATTTATTCTCCAAACAGTTATTAATAGTCTCATATATGACAAACCCTGTGCTTAAGCCCAGGGATGTAGAGATCAAAGAGTTCTGTCTGTTCTGCTCTCAAGGGTCCACTGTCTAGTGGCAGAGACAGACAACTTCAGAACAGGTTGTACTATGTCCCCCAAATCATACTGTCTTAGAGGGACAATCTAGATAATCTGTCTCCTGATCAGGGCCCCCTACTGATCCTGTATTTTTTAGTGTGGCTACATTTGCCATCCATGGTACCAATTAATTAATTAATTGCTTTTTATTTTATATTCTGGGAGTTTTGGTGTTTTGCAGGGGAAATGCAAATGTATGCAAATCATCACACAAATTTATGCAAAGACAACATGGAAATGTGTCCCAAGATTTCCTGGGAAAAAAAAATCTGGAGGCCTCAGTCAGTCCCTCAGCAGGCTGCCTGTTCCCAGGCCTGTCCTGTCTTCCCTTTTGTTTGGGTTCTTAATCTGTGCTGGGTTCCCTGCCTGGCCACTCTGAGGTCAGTAATGCAGGTGGGCAGGTGGCAGCCTGGCCATCCATTATCCTGAAACCTCTCAGCTTCCCAAGCCACCAGAAAACTCCCTCACTCCCTATAATCGGCTTTCATTTGAAACAATCAAGAGATTTCCTACCACTTTCCCTATGACCAGGTTTCGGAAAACACCCAGATGGTGAGTTTCAGGTTTGGAGCTTGACTTGGACAAAGGGACTTAATAGAGGAGGTTGGCAGTGTCTGCTTGTGGTTATTGAAAAATCCAGACCAATTCAGTGAGCATCTTCTGTGTGCACAGCCTTGGTTCCCCAGAGAGATGGGAGACAACCGCAAGGGCTGGGGAAGCGAGGGCTGGGAGGATGGCAGAAACTCTGTGGCTCTGCAAGGTAAGGCTGCCCAGCAGGTGTCATGGTGATAAACAGCCTGTCTCCTGCTCTGGACAGGAAACCTCATGGAAGCTGTGTGGTGGAAGGAGGGGCTGTAAGGACAGAGGCTGACAGAGAGGGCACGAGAAGGGGATCAGCCTCATCAACCTGCAGGGTGTCATCATTGGGTAGTCCACGGCTTTGCAGAGTCAGAGAGCAAGGGGAGCAGGGCAAAGCTTGGGCCTCCATTGGAGAGGAAATGACAGCAGGAGGAAAGGCTGACCTGAGGGAGGAGCTGGCTACCTGCTTCCAGAACCTCCTCTGGCCAGGAGAGCACTGTGTCCAGGGCTGCACTTAGGCGTATGGTACACAGACACCATCGAGTTGCCAAGTGTGGCCAGTCCCTCATAAAACATGGAAGCTGAAGGCTGCCTGAGAGATTTGATTTAGGCTGGATGTAAAGAACTTCCGGAGGGTGGGCGTTGTGAGATACCAGAACAGGTGACTAAGAGAGGATGCAAAATCTCCTTCCCTTGGAGAGTCGTTGAAACATTTGAAATCCATTTGTTGTGTGGGAGAGGAGGCACAGTTCTGTCTGGAGGCAGAGGGATGGACTAGATGACTTCTGGGAGTTCACAGAGACTAAGGATAGATCTCCCCAAGTAGGTGTACAGCATCAATCTGCCTGCTCATGTGCAGCCCTGTCCAAAGATCCCTCGTTTGGTGTTTCTTGCTCTCCTTCCCTCCCTCCTTCTGATGAGAGTCTCAACAGATCACGGGTCAAGCCATCCCCTCCAGGATGAAATGGAGCTCTGTTTCATCGGGCCACTCATGCCCTCTCCCTTCCCTTGTGGATGCAGAGCTTCTCCACATCTTTGGGGGAGCTCCCCTCCAGGCCAGCAGCGCTGGGCAGCCTCGTTGCCATTCCGGCCAGAGCCTGGAGCTCAGCCCTCTGGAGGGGCACAGGGCAGCGTTCTGGCAAGCAAGCATGTCAGAGCAGCTCTGGCGTTTCCCTAGAACAATTCAAATTGCTTTTTTTACACCTCACTGCACTATGCCAACCCTGATTCACATTATTTGTGCACTCGCTAAGTGTACATTATCTGATCCGTCACCCTGTAAAACGCTGCAAGAAGAATCCGTGGCTCCTGTCTGCTGCTGACTGTGGGTCAGGCACAGAAGTCTCTGTACAAATTTTTTTGCAAAATGGGACAGACGGAATAAACCCAAAGCCACCTTCAACAATAGCCCACCATGGCTGTGAGCTGGGAGAGAAAGTCCATGCCTCCTGCCCCAGGAACTCAGGTTCTCTTGGAAAAGACTGTTCAACCAGAAAGCTCCAGCACCTTTTCTTCCCATGGCCTCCTTTCTTTGTCACATTATTTAACAGGAGGAGACAAGCAGGAGGGGTAACAAGTCTTTGAACCCAGCTATGCAGATTTCCTCTGACTGACGCTAAGGGTCTGGAGAGAGCAGGAGGCAAGAAGGAGGTGGGATTGAGAGAGAGCAGGAGGGATGATACTCTGTCCTGTGAATATCTCAGCTTCTCTAGGGGTGAATAGGGCTCCCTGTTCTGCTCTGCCCAAGGTACTCTGTAAATTGATCAAAGACCCTGGAATCCTTCCATTCTGGGTCAGCTGGGAGCTCTGCTAACTGGCAGCTCCCCATACCAAACCCTAGAAATAGCTTATCTGTAGGAAGCCCAAGTTTTCTAAAGTTATTAGAAAATTGCTGGCTCTTACTTTTGACCAGATATCATTCTGCCCTTCTGCTTCTCTCTTCTATAAATCTGGGTAAATGGGACACTTTTGTTCTTAGAGATCTCACTCTATCCCAAATGGCCACTGAAATATTGACAATTCATCCCATTGAAGATCAGGGGCTTATTTCTAAATGGGAACTGCCAGGATCTTCTGCAGGTTGGATGAAAGCCCCTGTCCAGATTTGAAAGTGGATCCCACGTTCTGCAGGGAGAGCTTCAGATTCATCCTCACATTGAAGACAAATGACTTTCCCTGCAAGCGTCCAGGTTTCCTGCACCATCTTAGGTCTGTGTTTAATTTGCTGCATGTGTATGGAGAACACACAGGGTACACGAGCCTATCCTAGGGCCTGTGGATTGGAGAAAGTGGAACAAGAAAAAGACCTGGTCCCTGCCCTGGGGTTGCTTATGATCTGGTTGGATTGACAAATAGCTCTCTTTCCCAGCTGTTCCTGATTTGGTTCCAGCCTCAGGGCTCCTGAAGGGCATTTTGCAGCAGTGAAGCCCAGGGGTCGCCCAGCTGAGAACCACATTTCCTTTCTTTTGGCAGGAGCCGGCAGCTTCCACATGGGAGCTCAAATCTCAATGAAAACAAGAAATCTGATGCCTCACTGACAACTCATTTTCTCAACCTTCATTCTAGGGAAAGGCGACTTTGTGTTCCAGCTGCCATATTGTAGCTGCAACCCCTGATGCACCATCAATTAAAAACAGCAATAATTATGCATGGGAAAAAGCCACAGATAATAGGCTTCCATTAGATTAAGTAGTTATATGAATAAAAAAAATACAACCTATACTTCGGCTAATTAAACCCACTCACCATCTGATTAAGATGTGTTGTGAGACCATGGAAAACTACCAACCACTAACTGTAAGTAATCCGGCACAGATGGGAATTAATAGTACATTCCCTGGTTTAGAGATAATGGATCTCCATAGAGGTTGATCAGAATCATTAATAAGCATCGACAGGATGGACAGTACAAAACAGCTGGTGCCTAATGTTGGGGTGGAGCAGGCCATGTTCTTAATTCCACTCCACCTACTGAGATGAGCCGGAAGACGGATAGATGTGCTGAGACGCCATCAGAGCTGAGGTTCTACGGGAGTTCTGGACTTGCTGCCTGGGCTCGAGGGAGCTGAAAAGGAATCGGGACCCAACCAAAGGGTGGGAGTTGGCCCCGCTGCTCGGCTTTGCAAGGATCTACTCCAAGGGTAGCTAGAACCAAAGCTTCCGCTCTCCGGGAAGGCAGCCTGCCCGTTACCCAGAGAGGCTCTCTCCTAGGGGCGTGGCTTGGGTTACCATGGGAACCAGGCCTGGTTGACATATCCCAGGGCTGCTGTTTTGGGGACTGAGAATTCAGGGCTAGTCCCAGAAATAACGCCTGGGAGTAGCAGCTGTGGGGAGAGATACGAGCGTGTCCGCTGCGTGGGGAGTGCGGAGGGGATCCGAGGGAGGTGGCCGGCCAGAGCGCCCTAGGACACAGTGTTCCCAATGTCCGTTTAGAGCTACTCTCCAGCCTCCAGCTTCTGTCCTTAGGAGCAGCTGCGAGGAGAGCACCCGGGCCCTGCCTTCTAATTACCACTAATTAGGTAAATGCGGAGACGCCTCTCTCTCCCTCCCCCGACCTACAAAGGCAACTGAGAGACACACAGAGAGGTCACACACAGCCGTTTCCAAATGGAGACAGGCAAGGGTGATGTGGCCTGAATACCAAGCAGCCGCTGCCCAAGGGAAGGGGAGCGGGGACAGGGCAGGAGGCTTCTGAGCGTGTGGCCCCTAGCTAGGGAGGCACCGAGGCGGGAGAGGGAGCCCAGGCCACTTTCCCAGCCTGGGTTCCTGGCTCCCCCGCCTTGACTGTGCAGGGGTGTCTGGTTGAGGAGGGAAGTCCTAGATCAGTCCCCAGTCCCAGTCCTCGGAGGGTTTGCTCTTTCTGGAAGTCCTTGGCTCAGGATCCTTGGACTTGTCTGTGGGTTTGGTTCTTCTCCTGGTTGTCTGGATGGGAGGGGAGGGGCCTAGGCTTGCTGGGGCTGTGTGTAGGGTCAAAGGCACTATGGATCCTAATGGAGAACCTCAGGGCAAAACCAACAGTACTGCCATACCCATGGATGTGGTGCAGGTTCGGTTCCAAACCATAGCAAAGCAAATATAGCAATAAAGCAAGTCACACAAGTTTTTTGGTTTCCCAGTGTGTATAAAAGTTATGTTTGCACTATAGTTGATTAGGTGTGCAATGGCATTATGTCTAAAAGAGCGTATACCTTAATTTTAAAATATTTTATTGATAAAAATGCTAACACAGAGACATGAAGTCAGCACGTGCTGTTGGAAAATGGCACTGATAGACCTGCTCAATGCTGGGTTGCCACAAACATTCAATTTGTAAAAAAATCTAACCTGCGGAGCATAATAAAGCAAAGTGCCATAAAAGGAGGTCTGCCTGTGGTTTTTTATCTTTTCCTTGGGCTGTGGGTGGGGGCCAATACCTGTCCCTGAAATAGGTATGGAAGCTCACCTATTTTAAGTTTGAGGCAATACATTGGCTTAAAGGGTTTTGTTTTTGTTTGTCTTCATTTTTATTTTTAATAGGTATCACTTCCTTATCTTACCCCTAACCTCATAAAGCTGGTGGTGTAAAGGGAATGGCCATCCCATTTTTCAGATGAAAAACACTGAGGCTGGCTGATCTCATCTTGCAGAGGTCAGCCCACACTCCCCTCTCTGAGAGTGTAAAACATAACATAACAAAACAAAACAAAACAAAACAAAACTGAGGCCAAGAGTGGGGATGTGGCTGGGTGCTGGTTCTTTTGTTTTTGTTTTTGTTTTTCTTTGAGACAAGGTCTCGCTCTGTCAGGCTGTAGTGCAGTGGTGTGATTGTGGCTCACAGCAGCCTCAACCTCCTGGGCTTAAGCGATCCTCCCGCGTCAGCCTCCCTAGTAGCTGGGCTACAGGTGCTTGCCAGCACACCCAGCTAATTTTTGTATTTTGTGTGGGAATAGAGTTTCACCATGTTGCCTAGACTGCTCTTGAACTCCTGGGTTCAAGTGATCTTCCAACCTTGGCTTCCCAAAGTGCTGGGATTACAGATGTGAGCCACCACGCCCAGCCTCGTTCATTTTGACATCATAGTCAAAGCAAAAACCCAAAGTATCTGAAGTTCTAGGCAATCTACTAATAATCCATAATGTTCAGAGAGATATTGCCTTTTTTTTTTTTTTTTGAGATGGAGTTTCGCTCTTGTCACCCATGCTGGAGTGCAATGGCACGATCTCAACTCTCTGCAACCTCCGCCTCGCGGGTTCAAGCTATTCTCCCGCCTCAGCCTCCCAAGTAGCTGGGATTACAGGCATACACCACCATCCCTGGCTAAGTTTGGTATTTTTAGTAGAGATGAGGTTCCACCATGTTGGCCAGGCTGGTCTCAAACTCCCGACCTCAGGTGACCCGTCCACATTGGCCTCCCAAAGTGCTGGGATTACAGGCGTGAGCCACCACACCCGGCCTTGCTTTAGTTTTAAGTTGTGGGAGGAAAACATGTTTGTTTGTTTGTTTTTAAATATTCAATTATTACAAAAGAGTTTAAAAAGTCTTTGAAAAATGTTCCATGTTTGTACAAGCACGTATGTTTATCTATATGTCTTTTCCTCAAGACATATACGTTATAATATTTCTAAGAAAACTATAATGCTGCTTTACAACTTTACTTTTTCATTTGTCTATTATACTTTTATTACCTGTTACAGTTTACAAAATGCTTTAATTCTCACATTAACCCATCAAGTTAAGTGAGATGGGCATTATTTTTATTTATTAATTTTAATTTTTATTTTTTTGAGACGAGGTCTCATTCTGTCACCCAGGCTGAGTGCAGTGGTGGGATCATGATTCACTGCAGCCTCAACCTCCTGGGCTCAAGCGTTCTCTAGCTTCAGCCTCTCTATCAGCTGGGACTGTAGGCATGTCCTCATGTCCAGCTTTTTTTTTTTTTTTTTTTGGAGAGATAGGATCTCACTATGTTGCCTAGGCTAGTCTTGAACTCCTGGACTCAATTGATTTGCCCACCTTGGCCTCCCAAAGTGCTAGGACTACAGGTGTGAGCCTCGTGCAGTGGCCAGAATGGGCATTAGTATCTCTAGTTTTCAGGCAATGAAACAGATTCAGAGAGGTTAAGTCATTTGTCTACTGTTACACAGCTGTTTATTGCTAGAGTCAGAACTCCAACCTGGGTATTTTGGATTCAAGTCCAATACTCTGTGTTATCTGGTTGAATCCCCACAACAACTCCATGGGATGAGCACTATTATTTCCCTCCTCAGTTCACAGACGAGGAAACTGAGTGACAGGCAGCTTAAATAACTTGCTCAGGGTCATCCTGCTAGGAATGATAGATGCTGGGGTTCAAACCTGAGTCTGCCTCCAGAGTCTTCAATCTTCACTTCTACACCACACTGTCACTTCCTCTGTGCCAGGAACTACTAGACGCTCTTCATGTATGTTTAGCTCCTTTGATCCTCACGACAACCCTGTATCAGGTACTAATGACAACATTGCACCACAGGCTCCTTCACCAATGTCCCAAGCTCAGAAATAAGGCATCTCCCCACAGTGCTGGGAGACTTCCAAGGCCACAGGACCTACCGGGATATGGAGCAAATTTATGAGTGGGGCAAAAGGAACACCCAGGCAAATCTTAGTAATAATAACACTAAAGATGCTACTACTACTAACGCTAATAATAATACAAGCTATCAATAAGTTAGTGCTTACATACCAGGTCTGGGCTAAAGGCTTTACATATTATACCTCTTTGTTTCATTTTTATAACAACCCTGTGATGGAAGGATTGTCATCCTCATGTTATAGATGGAGAACCTAAGGCTCAGAGAGGTTCAGTGTCATTCCTCAGGTCACGCAGCTTTTAAGTCGAAGAGCCAAGATTGGCCCCAGGCCTATCTCATCCTGAAGCCTGGCTTTGTTTCTGCCCAGCCTGTATCTTGTTTTTCCAGACCAGTTGGGGCATCAGCATCTTCTTTCTTTTTTAATTCCAAGGCTTGGGACAACTTCAGCTGCCTGCCTGGGGAGGAGTGGTCAGTCTATGGCGATAGCCTCTTCCATTTCAGAAGAATAATGGTTCCTGTCACGGATCCAATCTGCTCCCAACTCTCCTGTAAAAGCAGCCCCCTAGGCTATTTGCGTTTATAGGCTGGCTCGGCTGGAGATGTTACCAGGGTTGGAGCATCTCGCTCCCTCCACCCCACCTTGAACTCTTACAGCATTTGAGATGCATCTCTTGGGACTTTGAGCCTTCCTCTTATTACAGTTAGTTGGGTTCTTGTCAGTTGACTTCATAGGGTATAGGCACCACTAAAAACCCCAAAGCAGGTAGTTTAGAGTTTGCAAATAATAGGTGCTAAACAAATGAGCCCTCCAGTACCACATTGACTGGAGTTTTTAGAGTCAGGCTTTCCTGGCAGGAGCTCTATGTGTGAAACATTCTTTACAATCAGCCTGCATTTGAGGCTCCATCCTCAAATGTCCTTCCCTCTCATGGCTTGTGCTGGAGAAGGGAGGCTGACTTCCTGCCAACCCTCTCTCCTTGGTGCTTCTGCATAGGGGGCTTCCTGGTTCCCACCAGCACCTTGGCTGTCCACTGCAGGTTGCAGAGGATGCCCGTGAGACAGTCCTGGTAAAAATTCAAGGTTCGGGCCAAGGAAGCTGCTGCCATTTTGGTTTCCCAGCATTCTCAGGGGCCAAAGGCGTGAGGCGTTCAAAGCAAAACAGCTCAGAAATGCAGTCTGCAAGCTGACAAACAGCTGTGCATTTGTGCAAGTCCAGAAACAAAACTGTATGTATGTATATACCTCCCAAATGCTGTTCTGTGAAGCAGAGGCCAGATGCAATTTCTCCCTGGTTATATGGGGAAGGGGAGAGCTGGAATGGAGTTTAACTCCACTCTGGAGTGCTAAGTGCTATGGGACGACTTGAGACCTCATGGTCTGTAGTTGTTGGGGAGGGGCAGACTGCTACACTCCTCCCTGCCCCTACCATCCACCGTCCCCCTCCCCTTGCAACTCCTCCCTGCTGCCCCCAGGGAACCTTCCTGATTGCCCCAGGCCCAATTAACAAGCCTTTCGCTGTTTTCCAGTGCATCCTGGCACACATCTGTCAGTACACAGAATCACAATGTGCTCTTTTAGGATGTGTTTCTCCAACAGACAAGGGTCAAATCCTGCTCATTTTCCTCCTCCAGGCAGGGAACCTCAGTGAATCCTGTTAACGAACAATGACTTAGACCTGGATTCAAATCCAGACTCTGCTACTAACCAGTGTGACCTTGTGCAACTTAATTGACTTCTTTGAGTCTTAGCTGCTTTAGGTTTAAGGTCATAATAGTGGTTCCTACATCACAGGGTTGCCATGAGGAGTTAACGAATATTACAAGTATAACTGTTCGTCATTTCCTTCTCTGCGCTCAGGGGAGATGCTATCTGAATGATCCCTGCCCCTTTTTTCTATCCTGATCACCAAGTCCCTAGCACCTTGCTCTGTAAAGTTTTGACCAGCTTGGTACAGGTACCAGTTCCTAGAAAATGCTGCCGCTAAGATCTAGACATGCCCTGCTCCAAATAGTTTTCCTGGCTAGGTCTGATGGCTCACACCTGTAATCTTAGCACTTTGGGAGGCCAAGGCAGGAGGATCGCTTGGGGCCAGGAGTTTGAGACCAGCCTGGGCAATATAGCCAGACCATGTCTCTACAAAAACATGAAAAAAAAAAAAAAAAGCCAGGTATGGTGGTACAAGCCTGTAATCCCAGCTACTTGGGAGGCTAGGATGAGAGGCTCTCTTGAGTCCAGGAGTTCAAGGATGCAGCGAACTATGATTGCGCCACTGTACTCCAGCCTGGGTAACAGAGTGAGACTCCCTCCCCACCATCAAAAAAAAAAAAAAAAAAAAGGTGTTTTTAGGTGTATAGTGCCGTAGCGTTAAGTACATTCATATTGTTGTGCAACCATCACCACCATCCGTTTCCAGAACTCTTCATCTTGCAAAACTAAAATTCTGTACCCATGAAATACCAACTCCCCATTATTCCCTTCCTCCAGCTCCTGGCAAATGCCATTCTACTTTCTATCTCTGAATTTGATTACTGTAGGTACCTCATATAAGTGGAATGTTTGTCTATCGGTGACTGGCTTATTTCTTTAGCACAAGTTCCTCCAGTTTCATCCATGTTGTAGCATGTGTCAGAATATCCTTCCTCTTTAAGGCTGAATAATATTACATTGTATGTTATTTACCACATTTTGCTTATCCAGGCATCTGTGGATGGAGACATAGGTAAAGTTTTAAGCTCCACGTTGGTGTAGCTTTCCTTTCCTTCCTTTCCACAGGTAATGTGGAATTGACTAACTGTTTATCCATTCACGTGTTGTTACATTCAGTGAGGGCTCATATAGCATCTCTAGTTTACCAAGCTCTGTGATAAGCTTTGTAGATGATGAGAGAAATAAAACAGTACTCCTGCTCTCAAAATGCTCTCAGACCTAGCGGGGAGCTAGTTCTTTAATTAGGGCTCAGTGAGGGCTGTGTAGAGGAGGGGTGGTGGATTTCTACGGCAGGGATGATGGGGGTGTGTACCAGGAAAGACTTCACAGGAGGTGACATTTGAGCTGTGTCCTGACAGATGAGTAGGTGTTTGCCAGGCCAAGAGGCCTGGGTAGGGCCTTCCATGTAGGGGAGCAGTCCAGGTGGGAGGGAGCAGTGTGGAAGGAGGGTGAGATAGCAGGGTCCCTGGACAGGCTGCAGGCAGTGCTAGTGACTGGGGCACAGTGGGGGACAAGGCACAGAGATACATGAGGCTCCTGGAGCAGGAGGGGGCCAGATTAGTGCAGGGTCCTGTTTACCACACAAGGAGCTGGATGCTATAAAGGAACCAGTGCTGGAGAAGCCTCATGGTGACGTTTCCAGGGAAAGACAATTGAAACCATGTAATATGGTTTGGCTGTGTCCCCACCCGAATCTCATCTCGAATTGCAATCCGAATTGTAACCTCCATGTGTTGGGGGAAGGAACTGGTGGGAGGTGATCGGATCACGGGGCAGTTTCCCCCATGCTGTTCTCGTGATAGTGAGTTTTCACGAGAGCTGATGGTTTCATAAGTGACAGTTTCCACACTCTCTCACCTCATGTAAGAGGTGCCTGCTTCCTCTTCCACCATGGTTATAAGTTTCCTGAGGTCTCCCCAGCCATGCGGAACTCTGAGTCAATTAAACCTCTTTTCCTTATAAATTACCCAGTCTTGGGCATTTCTTTATAGCACTGTGAAAATGGACTAATACACCATGCTAGGTGTTCTCCTGCATGGAAGGGCTAGTGATCCATAAATGGAGGATTAAGGAGAATTAACTGGGTCCCTTGCTTAGGCCTAAGTGAGACGATCTTAGAGGTGCCTGTTGTGTTACTGGGGGCTGGTGTTAGTGTCAGTGGTAAGGAAATGGATACCTAAGGAATACCGCCCAGCTGCACTCTCAAAAACTCACAAGCTCAAAAATGCCCATTCTGGACCAAAGTAGCTAACAGAGTCAGCTCCAGGTTTCAATTTTGGAGGAAACAGGAAATCCATTGAATTGGAAATATTGTCAGACTGAACAATTAGAGGCAAGCTGGGACTATCAGAAATTTACTGAAGAGAAGAGGGAAACTTGGAGTTGAGTCAGAATACCTGATTCAGATCCTGTTTCTCTTAGTCACCAGCTATGTGACATATGAAAAATTGCTTGACTTCTCTGAACCTGTTACCTCATCTGTAAAAGAGGGATGACAAGACCCACTTTACTTATTTTTCATTAGGAACTCAGGAATAATCCAAATAAATGAGATAGTGTGGGTGATTACAACTGTGAGGCATCGTTACTGCATCATTGCCCTGAGCCCCCTTGCCTGGCACAAATGAGGGTCTGCACTGGACATGAAAGGTGGGGTGGCTTGCAGAACATAGTCAGGGGAGCATGAAGGGAGGTGAAGGAGTCGAGCTAGGACTTCTGCAGCACAGATGTGGGTGAAAAATCCCCTATCCTTGGGTGTCGGTAGCAGAAATGTACTCAGAGGCTGCTCTGGGATGTGCTGGTAACAGGGCCTGGACTGAGACCCCGTGGTTGTGTCAGTGTCGACTTTAGGTGACTCTTCCCCCTTACCTGAGGATGCTGCTGCCTAGGATCTCTCTCTGTGGACAGACGTAGCTGAGGTCACTGAGAGTTAGTGCCATGCCAGCTGGTCCCAGGAACAGAGCACCAAATCCGAATTCAGGAAGGAAAGCCCAATTCCAAGTCCTGGCACTGTACCAGTTTCCTTACCTGTGACTCTGAAATTATACCTTCCTTATCTGGTGGGCATTACACGTGAAAGTGCTTTTTAAACTGTAAAGAGCTGAAGAAATGCCATTTCTTGTATTGCCCTTCCCCTATCAGGCAGCTAAAAGACGGTGCTGTCTTCACACACACACACATGGTAGCGGTTCTCACCAATTCTGGGTCTATGGGGCCCGCCCATCCACCCAGCCTCGGCCGCCCAGGACGCCTGTAAAAGCTAAGAATACATTATAAAACTGCTGTAAGGTTTTATGAGTCCTCTTTCCCAGTGACCGATCTTGGCGCTGTGAGTCATACCAGCATTCGTATATGGGACTTGGAGCGTGGGGCCGGGACTAGGAGAACAGCTGGGACAGGGAGAGGTAGCTTCAAGGGAGCCAGTGGAGTGGCAGGATTGTGTGGCCTCAAAAGGGTTCAGCTCGGGGTGACCTTGGCTGACTCTTCTGCCGCCTCGATTGGGCCATTTGGTTTGATCCCAGAGATGGGAAGGAAAAAGAAAGAGTGGGGAGCGGGGACAAGATGCAGTGGTACAGCACAGAAGTTTGGAGTCAAACAGGCCTCAGCATGGGTCTCACCTCCTCCACTTTCTAGCTGTGTGGCTAGGGCAGGCCATGCAGTGTCTTTAGTCTTAATTTTATCATCTGCAAAATGAGGCCAATAATAGTGTGTATGGTTGTTCATATGAAATAATGGATGTAAAGCGCTTAGCAAGGTGTCTGGAAGAAAGTGATCAATATTACATTAAAATATAATACTTATTTTTTTGATGGTTAATAATTTAAATTTCAAATATTATTTTTATGCAGTGATTAGTACTTTGTAGTGTCCAATAAATATTTTCTGAATAAATAAGTGAAAGGATGAATGAATGAACAAATGCACAAACTGAAAGAGCTGAAAAAGAGGAAAACAAAGGAAAGAAAAGAAAACCTTGCTTGAACATCACCTTCTCTACAAAACTCTCTCTGGCTTTTATTTTCATCACCCGCAAATTGAGAGTTAGAGATTAGTTTATCTTCAAGGTCTCTCCCAGCCCTCATATCTGAAGACTCTTGATTCACTACTTAATTCATGCCTTGACCGAATATTTATTGAGCATCTACTATATGCTCAGCAGTATTCTAGGTACGATGAAAAAAACACACGAAACCCTTGCCCTCTCAACACTTGCTTTCTAGTAGTGGCAGAGGTGAAACACACAAAAGACATGATGAATAAATCAGTTAAATACTAAACTAGAAGTCATTAGGTGTTAGAGAGAACTAGAAAGCAGGGTAAGGGAGGTGGTGAACACTGAATTCTGGGGGAAGGGTATTGCAGTTTTAAGTAGGGAGGTCATGGTAGTTCTCCACTGACATGGTGCCCTTTGAGCAAAGACTCAGAGGTGGTGGAGGAGTGAGGTGTGCTGATATCTGGGGAATCTAGACAGAACAGCCCATGAAAAGGTCCTGAGGCAGGAGCTTGTCCTGCATGTTAGAAGACCAGCAAGGAGAACCCTACCCCATCTTCTTCGACAAAGAAGGCAGACTGGACCAGGGGAGGCCTCCAGCTGTGGTTCATCAACCTTCTTCCCCACCTGTACCCGCTCTGTTCCTGTCCCCACTTTCTCTACGTCTCTCCTGGTCAAGGCTCTCCTCCCCGAGAACAGATGGTTTTGAGGAGGACGTTTCTTTTTAACTTGAATAACTTAAATGTTATCAATTCCTCTGCTGGGTGGAAATGAAACCCCAAACCTCTGGTTGAGCAGGAGGGATTGAGGAGTGGCTGTTAATCATGCATTTGAAATTGGAAGAAAGAAGCAGGTGAGGAAGGTGGCCAGGGCTAGGCAAAGGCAAAGGAGATAGGCTCTCTGGCGAGGCTCGGAGACAGAGGCTGACACCTGCTTCATTCTGCCTCGTGGTGGGAAGAACATTGGAGTGGGAGTCAGGCCACCAGGTGCAGATCGGACCCTGGAAGCTGGGAAACCTTACTCAAGTCATTTCACTCTCCAGACCTCTGTTTCCTCCCCTCTGTAATTTCAGGGTGTTGAACTTGGAGATGTCTAATATTCTTCAAGTCTAGCGGTCATGTTTCTATTTTTCCCATAAGACTATAGACTCCTAGAAGGATAAGTCAGATTGTCTTTCTGTTCTTGGCGTCTGTATCACAGGGATGGTGTCTGATGGGTAAATGGAGGGCTTGAGTCTTAGGGGAAGGAGCTTCCCTACAGCCTGCAGCCTTTGTTGAAGAAGCTCTTATCAAGAGATAGCCTTAAGCTATAGCTCTGTGCCTGCTGTGGCCTCAGACATCCTGCTTTTCTGAGGATTGACCTCTTCAGCCCAAGGGACCTTCTATCAAGGGGTAGTTGATAGGAAGAATCAGTTTGTTTACTTTTCATTAACTTCTCTTAAGTGGGCTGTGTGTACAGGGAAAGGATGCTGGGAGCTGATTAGCTGTGCAGATAGGCAGATAGGCAGAGACCATCTTAGGCCAATTCACTTCTCTCTTCCTCACTCCTCAGTTCAGAGCCATGGCTCCACAAAAGCCTCCCAGTCCCCCTCCTGGGAGTCTCTAGGCTTGCTTTGGTCTCACCTGGAATCCAGCTGCCCTAATAAAGGGAACCTATGTTCCCGCATGCGTCTCCACACTCCTCCAGAGCGAGGCCTGCTGGCTGCGTGCAAGACCCAGTAATCGCCCCACTATTGATCTGCGGATGGTAATTCTCAAGCAGCCATCGGTGCTCTGCAGGGGGCTGCATGGTGGGGATGTGGTGATTATGGAGCAGTGGCCTGGACTGTTAAGGAGTCACTGGGAAGCTTCAGTGGCCCTCGACTCTGCTTGGCATTCCCAAGGCTCATTGAGGTGGTGCCTCTGCACTTCTGCCCTCCTGAGCAGTGGCAGCAGGGAGGATGGAAAGCACTGTGAGGAGTTCTACTCCTAACCCTGATTGGTTAGTGAGGTAGGAGGCAGGGAATACAGGAAGTACTGTGGACTTTGCACGCACAGCTTGGCAGCACCTCTTCCCATCAAGGAGCTGAGGTGTCGCCAGTGACCTAAGCGCCTTCCCATGGGAAAGTAGCACCAGATGACTAAACCACAACCAAGTGCAAAAGGCGCCCGAGCCACTGACTTAAAAGAAGTAGTGAACATAAAGAAAATCATGAAAATTAGCTTCAGCCCCTTATATACATGCCATCAATCCCAAGTAGAGAAATCCCTCAAACCCTGGCTTCTCTCCCCAGGGAGGGCTCTGAGATACACTGCAAAGATGCTGGGCCCAGAACTTTAGGTGTTCCCGTGACATGTTGTGAGACTTCTGGGGAGAAGCTGTGAGAGGCTGTTAGTTCCTTCTCACATTGCTATAAAGAAATATCTGAGACTGGACAATTTA